>NC_000003.12:66979696-67282727 GCF_000001405.40 Homo sapiens | reverse complement strand
TGAAGGTTGCAGTATTGGATTCTCTACTTTTGAGGTTTTGGGACTCGGACTAGCTTTCTGACTCCTCAGCTTGCAGAATCCCTATTGTGGGACTTCAACTTGTGATCGTGTAAGTCAATTCTCCTAATAAACTTTCCTTCATATATACATCTATACATCTATCCTGTTAGTTCTGTCCCTCTAGAGAACTCTGACTAATACAGGAAGAATGGTCGGGGAGGCCACAAGAAACTTACAATCATGGCGGAAGGCAAAGGCAAACACATCTTCACATGGCCAGGAGAGAGAGAGAGTGAAGGGGGAAGTCTACACACTTTTTTTTTTTAATTATACTTTAAGTTCTAGGGTACATGTGCACAACGTGCAGGTTTGTTATATATGTATACATGTGCCATGTTGGTGTGCTGCACCCATTAACTAGTCATTTACATTAGGTATATCTCCTAATGCTATCCCTCCCCACTCCCCCCACCCCACGACAGGCCCCAGTGGGTGATGTTCTCCTTCCTGTGTCCAAGTGTTCTCATTGTTCAATTCCCACCTATAAGGGAAAACATGCGGTGTTTGGTTTTTTGTCCTTGCGATCGTTTGCTGAGAATGATGGTTTCCAGCTTCATCCATGTCCCTACAAAGGACATGAACTCATCCTTTTTTATGGCTGCATAGTATTCCATGGTGTATATGTGCCACATTTTCTTAATCCAGTCTATCATTGATGGACATTTGGGTTGGTTCCAAGTCTTTGCTATTGTGAATAGTGCCGCAATAAACATATGTGTGCATGTGTCTTTATAGCAGCATGATTTATAATACTTTGGGTATATACCCAGTAATGGGATGGCTGGGCCAAATGGTATTTCTAGTTCTAGATCCCTGAGGAATCGCCACACTGACTTCCACAATGGTTGAACCAGTTTACAGCCCCACCAACAGTGGTAAAAGTGTTCCTATTTCTCCACATCCTCTCCAGCACCTGTTGTTTCCTGACTTTTTAATGATTGCCATTCTAACTGGTGTGAGATGGTATCTCATTGTGGTTTTGATTTGCATTTCTCTGATGGCCAGTGATGACGAGCATTTTTTTCATGTGTCTGTTGGCTGCATAAATGTCTTCTTTTGAGAAGTGTCTGTTCATATCCTTTGCCCACTTTTTGATGGGGTTGTTTTTTTCTTGAAATTTGTTTGAGTTCTTTGTAGATTCTATTTATTAGCCCTTTGTCAGATGAGTAGATTGCAAAAATTTTCTCCCATTCTTTAGGTTGTCTGTTCACTCTGATGGTAGTTTCTTTTGCTGTGCAGAAGTTCTTTAGTTTAATTAGATCCCATTTGTCAATTTTGGCTTTTGTTGCCAGTGCTTTTGCTGTTTTAGACATGAAGTCCTTGCCCATGCCTATGTCCTGAATAGTATTGCCTAGGTTTTCTTCTAGGGTTTTTATGGTTTTAAGTCTAACGTTTAAGTCTTTAATCCATCTTGAATTAATTTTTGTATAAGGTGTAAGGAAGTGATCCAGTTTCAGCTTTCTACATATGGCTAGCCAGTTTTCCAGCACCATTTATTAAATAGGGAATCCTTTCCCCATTTCTTGTTTTTGTCAAGTATGTCAAAGATCAGATGGTTGTAGATGTGTGGTATTATTTCTGAGGGCTCTGTTCTGTTCCATTGGTCTGTATCTCTGTTTTGATACCAGTACCATGCTGTTTTGGTTACTGTAGCCTTGTAGTATAGTTTGAAGTCAGGTAGTGTGATGCCTCCAGCTTTGTTCTTTTGGCTTAGGATTGTCTTGGCAATGAGAGCTTTTTTTTTGGTTCCATATGAACTTTAAAGTGGATTTTTCCAATTCTGTGAAGAAAGTCATTGGTAGCTTGATGGGGATGGCATTGAATCTATAAATTACCTTGGGCAGTATAGCCATTTTCGTGATCTTGATTTTTCCTATCCATGAGCATGGAATGTTCTTCCATTTGTTTGTGTCCTCTTTTATTTCGTTGATCAGTGGTTTGTAGTTCTCCTTGAAGAGGTCCTTCATATCCCTTGTAAGTTGGATTCCTAGGTATTTTATTCTCTTTGAAGAAATTGTGAATGGGAGTTCACTCATGATTTGGCTCTCTGTTTGTCTGTTATTGGTGTATAAGAATGCTTGTGATTTTTGCACATTGATTTTGTATCCTGAGACTTTGCTGAAGTTGCTTATCAGCCTAAGGAGATTTTGAGCTGAGACGATGCAGTTTTCTAAATATACAATCATGTCATCTGCAAACAGGGACAATTTGTCTTCCTCTTTTCCTAATTGAATACCCTTTATTTCTTTCTCCCGCCTGATTTCCCTGGCCAGAACTTCCAACACTATGTTGAATAGGAGTGGTGAGAGAGGGCATCCCTGTCTTGTGCCGGTTTTCGAAGGGAATGCTTCCAGTTTTTGCCCATTCAGTATGATATTGGCTGTGGGTTTGTCATAGATAGCTCTTATTATTTTGAGATACATCCCATCAATACCTAATTTATTGAGAGTTTTTAGCATGAAGGGTTGAATTTTGTCAAAGGCCTTTTCTGCATCTATTGAGATAATCATGCGGTTTTTGTCGTTGGTTCTGTTTATATGCTGGATTACATCTATTGATTTGCATATGTTGAACCAGCCTTGCATCCCAGGGATGAAGCCCACTTGATCATGGTGGATAAGCTTTTTGATGTGCTGCTGGATTCGGTTCGCCAGTATTTTATTGAGGATTTTTGCGTCGATGTTCATCAGGGATGTTGGTCTAAAATTCTCTTTTTTGGTTGTGTCTCTGCCAGGCTTTGGTATCAGGACGATGCTGGCCTCATAAAATGAGTTAGGGAGGATTCCCTCTTTTTCTATTGATTGGAATAGTTTCAGAAGGAATGGTACCAGCTCCTCCTTGTACCTCTGGTGGAATTCGACTGTGAATCCATCTGCTCCTGGACTTTTTTTGGTTGGTAGGCTATTAATTATTGCCTCAATTTCAGAGCCTGTTATTGGTCTATTCAGGGATTCAACTTCTTCCTGATTTAGTCTTGGGAGGGTGTATGTGTCCAGGAATTTATCCATTTCTTCTAGATTTTCCAGTTTATTTGCATAGAGGTGTTTATAGTATTCTCTGATGGTAGTTTGTATTTCTGTGGGATCGGTGGTGATATCCCCTTTATCATTTTTTATTGCGTCTATTTGATTCTTCTCTCTTTTCTTCTTTATTAGTCTTGCTAGCGGTCTATCAATTTTGTTGATCTTTTCAAAAACTCTCAGACCACAGTGCAATCAAACTAGAACTCAGGATTAAGAAACTCACTCAAAACCACTCAACTATGTGGAAACTGAACAACCTGCTCCTGCATCACTACTGGGTACATAACAAAATGAAGGTGGAAATAAAGATGTTCTTTGAAACCAATGAGAACAAAGACACAACATACCAGAATCTCTGGGACACATTTACAGCAGTGTGTAGAGGGAAATTTATACCACTAAATGCCCACAAAAGAAAGCAGGCAAGATCTAAAATTGACACCCTAACATCACAATTAAAAAAACTAGAGAAGCAAGAGCAAACACATTCAAAAGCTAGCAGAAGGCAAGAAATAACTAGGAAGTCTACAGACTTTTAAACAGCCAGGTCTGGTGAGAACTCACTTGAGACAACACTAGGAGGATGGTGCGAAGCCATTAGAAACCACCCCATGATCCAATCACCTCCCACCAGGTCCCTACCCCAACATTGGGGATTACAATTCAACATGTGATCTGGGTGGGGATACAGGATCAAGCCATGTCGGTGTCCTTCTGCTCTAACCCTCTGATGGTTGCTTATCTCATCAGCATAAAATCCAAGTCCTTACAATTAACTATGAATATTTTGTGATCTGCCACCTCTTCATGGCCTCTCTGACCTCATCTCCTATTAACCTCACCCTACCTGACTCTTCTCCCTGCCTTCTTGCAGCCTGGCTCCTTCTCTGACACACTGAGCACAGAGCCTTTGTGCTTGCTGCCACTCTGCCTGGGGTTCTCGGCTCTCACATATCCTCTCAGCTCTTTTCCTTACTTCCTTCAGCCTCATCTACGACGTTCTCAGTGAGTGTCTCAAAAAAAAAAAAAACCCAAAAAAAAAAAAAAAAAAAAACAATTCCCAGTCACCCAACTCCAACACTTCTGATCCCCCTTCCCTGATTTACCTTTCTTCTTAACATGCATCATTACATATTTCACTTGTTTCTTACCTGTCTTTCCCTCTAGAATGAGACCGCCACCAGGGCACACATGCCTGTCTGATTCAGAGCTATGCTACCAATGTCTAGTGCCAGTGCCTGATACTGAGTAGGTGCTCAATACATATTTGGGAAATTAATGAATAATGAAACAGAACCTCAAAGAGATTAAGAAATTTTCCTCACTCAAAGAGGTCAAAACAGGCAGGATTATTTGCAGTCTGAGTCTTAAGGTCTCTCTGCCATTGGGAAAGGCGGGATGCAGGCTCTTCTGGCTTTGGTCCACTCATGTCTGAAAGCCTCTGAAGTGCTGTTCTTGCCAAAAGGTGTTTTTTAGAACTCTTTGCAAGGGTGCCCCAGTGAGTAAGACCTGCAGGGGTGCCTGGCACATAACAAGCTGACACTGCTAACTCCTGGAGTTCTGTGTATAACCCAAATTCATAGCCCTTGACATAGCCTGTCAGCTTTCACTGTCTTCGCTTCTAAATTTGTATGATCTTAGCATAATTAGCCCAGTTTTTGTCATTCCACGACTGCTAAGTATGCAGTGGCTGTGGCATGTTATGGCTCCTCTCAGAAGCAGATGACATATCATGAAATATTTATTAAAAAAACAAGTGCAGGCTTCCTTAATTATTACCACTGACGGCTTTTCTCTCAAAGTCCAGGAGAGGTGAGGCTGTGTACTGCAGAACCGCTTGAATATGATAATGTCCTTTTGATCTTTAATTTTCCTCTTATGCATCGGAGTACATTTTACAGCTTCTCTGAAAAGCTCCACTCAGCCTCACTGGCTGCTTGTTTAAATTCCCCAATCTGTAATGCCTTTTGTTTTATACTTTGTATTTCATAGGCTGTTACAGATGAATAAATATTGCCCCAACTGCTCTAGCCTTTAAAACTATTATTGCTCATTAACTCTCTTGGCTAGAATTATCCAGAAAATACACACTGGGGTTGTTTCCTGTTTTGTGTATTAACATTAAAAGTATCATTTCTTTCTCTGGGACCGCTGAAGTGTATTCTTAGAAGTGGGGAGACAGGTCTTGGGCACAAGTTAACGACTTCTGGTCTTTGCTATGGAGTGCCTGCTTGTTGCTTAACAGAATTACCAGTTCTTGGATGAGCAAGTCAAATTAGACAGGGAAAAGTACTTTAGCTTTTCACAAGGACCCTGGAGCTCACAGGAGGGAAGTAGATTCAATAAAGACGGTTGGTCTTGCTCTTCTTCTTACCCTGGTTCCTACCTCCCTCCTGTCTTCTCTCTGTTTCTTTCCTTTTTTGCCTTTTGTCCCACAGTTCCCTTCTATGCAAATATGGGAAACTCATTTTTAATAAATTGTCACATGTAACAAAGCCCAGGGTGTCACACCTCTACAAAATTCACCCAGAGGACAAAAAGCCTATCCTGTGTGAGGATCATGAGATCATTAACTAGACAGCCACATTGCAACAGGAACACAACATCATGTCTTTTCTCCACTGTCCTAAGCCTGCTTCTTTTTGGAGAAGCTGAAGAAATTGAAATGTATGGATACTTTTTGCACTAAGATCTCAAAATACACTAGTCCCCCTTTGCCTGTGGAAGATGTCTTCCAAGACTCCCAGTGGATGCCCAAAACTAAATAGTACCAAACCTTATATAGACTATGTTTTTTCCTATATATAACTATGATAAAGTTTAATTTACAAATTAGATACAGTAAGAGATTAACAAAAACTAGGAATAAAATAGGACAGTTATAACAATACCCAGAACAGTGTGCCATTTAAAACTTATGAATTGTTTATCTCTGAAACTTTCCATTTAGTATTTTGAACCACAGTTGACCATGGGTAACTGAAACCATGGAAAGCTAAACCATGGATGAGGAGGGAACTACTGTAGTCATTTACCCTTTCCCAATGAGAGAAGTAGAAGCTAATGTAATGATCCCTACTTCATAGATGGAGAAGCTGAGAAATTGAGAAGCTAAGGTCAAAAATCAAAGTGGAAACTGAGGGTAAATAGAGGAAGTACTTAATATATACAGAAGAACACATAGGACACAGTTAGACATAAAATACTATAATAAAAAGGATACTGAAAACATGCTATCTGACTCAAGAACTAGAACAGTATTAAAACAATTCAATTTGCCTGAATATACTCTCAAGTTAACTGCACTCTTAAATTTTGTGTTTATTATTTTTGCAAAATAATATTACCCTATTTGCTTACATTTCTAAACAATACATTTTCTCATTTTGGTTGTTTTCAAGCTTTAAAAAACGGTGACATGTAATAAATGGTTCTGTGACTTAGTTTTTTTCACAAATACAACATGGCCATATCAGAAACAATACTTGGGGTCTGTTCTAGTCTGTTTTCGTACTGCTATAAAGAATTGCCTGAGACTGGGTCACTTATAAAGGAAAGAAGTTTAATTGACTCACAATTCTGCATGGATGGGGAGGCCTCAGGAAACTTACAATCATGGTGAAAGGTGAAGGGGAAGCAAGGCACCTTCTTCACAAGTTGCTACAAAGGAGAGGGGCCGAGAAAAGGGGAGAAGAGCCCTTACAAAACCATCAGATCTGAGAACTCACTCACTGTCATGAGAACAGCATGGGAGAAACTACCCCCATGATTCACTTACCTCCATCTGGTCTCTCCCTTGACACATTCGGATTATGGAGATTATAATTCAAGATGAGATTTGGGTGGGGACACAAAACCTAACCATATCAGGATCCAAAAAATTTAAGCACATAAAATGTGGGGTCACATTATTTCCAGACTAATAAAATGATAAGAGCAAGCCCGAAAAGCCAGTGGGCTAGAATTCTGGAAGTTCAGGTGCACCATTCAAATCCACCCTGGTCCTGGTTGCTCTGGTGGCAGTTGTCTGTTCCTATCAGTGGGGACAATTCTGAAGTCTGTTTCAACATTTGGATGACAGTCACCCAGCAGAGCTAACTGACCTGCACTGGTTTGTGATAAGAATATTTTAGGCCACAGAGATTTGGGGTGTTTTTTGAGTGTCTGGTTTGCATTATCCTGATCAATACAGCCCCTTTCTAGCCCAAATAACTTTTTTTCAGATTTTGCCTTATCTGTTTGTCTCTTGATCAGACTCACTAGAGATTTGTTGACTTTTCTAGTCTTTTCAAAGAACTGACTTTTGACTTAATGAATTATCTCTATTTAAACCTTATATTTTTTATTTTGCTTTAAAATTTTTTCTTCTATTTCCCTTGAGTCTATGTGGTTGTTGTTGGTTTTAGTTCTTTAACTAATTGCTTAGCTCATTAATTTTCAGCCTTTCTTTTTTTTTCTTATATATATATCTAGAGCCATAAATTTTTTTTTTATTATTATACTTAAAGTTTTAGGGTACATGTGCACAATGTGCAGGTTAGTTACATATGTATACATGTGCCATGCTGGTGTGCTGCACCCATTAACTCGTCATTTAGCATTAGGTATATCTCCTAATGCTATCCCTCCCCCCTCCCCCCACCCCACAACAGTCCCCAGAGTGTGATGTTCCCCTTCCTGTGTCCATGTGTTCTCACTGTTCAATTCTCACCGGTAAGTGAGAACATGCGGTGTTTGGTTTTTTGTTCTTGCGATAGTTTACTGGGAATGATGATTTCCAATTTCATCCATGCCCCTACAAAGGACATGAACTCATCCTTTTTTATGGCTGCATAGTATTCCATGGTGTATATGTGCCACATTTTCTTAATCCAGTCTATCATTATTGGACATTTGGGTTGGTTCCAAGTCTTTGCTATTGTGAATAGTGCTGCAATAAACATACGTGTGCATGTGTCTTTATAGCAGCACGATTTATAATCCTTTGGGTATATACCCAGTAATGGGATGGCTGGGTCAAATGGTATTTCTAGTTCTAGATCCCTGAGGAATCGTCACACTGACTTCCACAAGGGTTGAGGTAGTTTACAGTCCCACCAACAGTGTCAAAGTGTTCCTATTTCTCCACATCCTCTCCGGCACCTGTTGTTTCCTGACTTTTTAATGATTGCCATTCTAACTGGTGTGAGATGGTATCTCATTGTGGTTTTGATTTGCATTTCTCTGATGGCCAGTGATGATGAGCATTTTTTCATGTGTCTTTTGGCTGCATAAATGTTTGAAGCACTAGTTTTGGTCCATGTCACAAGTCTCGATTTGTAGTTATATCAGTTAGAATAGTATACACAAGCTGCAGTAATAAACATCTCCAAATTCTTGTTTGGTTAAAACAACTAAGGTTGTTTCTAACAAGTTCACAGTTGATGCAGATGATGTTGGTTCACGGACCACCCTTTGAAATACACAGCTTTAAATTCATCTTTCCTCCTTACTAAATGGTACCTTAAGCTTAGTAATAGCTATGAAATAAGCTATGTACCTTAATTTATGAAATAGATAAGTATCCTCTATCCTGGAAGTCACTTATTCCTTTTTGTTATCTGGTCAGACATCCTCTGAGGACTTATCTTGAAGGTATTAATCCTCCCTTCTGGGTAGGGAATTTGAGGCAGAAAGAAGTTTCCTACCAAGGCAGTAGCAGGTATTTAGCCCTGGATGCTGACCTGACATGGCCTTGTTCAATCATCCAAGCCACATGTAAAGGCATTTCACAGAGCTCATGGAGTGTGCCACTCCAGACCCCATCCTTTTCCCTGACCTGCCCACCTTGAAAGGCACCCAACAAATTGAAACTCTGTTGGGTAGGTTAAATCTTACTATATCTACCAAACCTGCATTCCACTTAGACGAGGGTCCTTCCTCATAAATCAACATCGGAGCACCCTATGAACCTATCCCACCACTGATTGGGTCAGAGGCAAACAGCCAAGTGGGAAATCTCCATGCAACAAGAATAATGAGGATTAACTGGACAGCTCAGGTTCTTATTCCCATGAAGCCAGAGGTATTATAGTTCCTGTTCTTTGCATGATACCAGATTATAAAGTTCTTCATGTACAAAAAGTTGAAATTTTAATTTTTGTGCACCTGTGGTGCCAGCTACTCTGGAGGCTGAGGTGGGAGGATCACCTGAGCCCAGGTGGTCAAGGATACAGTGAGCCATGATTGGACCACTGCTCTCCAGCGTGGGTGACAGAGACCTTCTCTCAAAAAAAAAAAAAAAAAAAGAAAGAGAGGGAGAGAGACACAGAGAGACTTTTTTCCAACTCTAGGCTCATAAGAACATAATTCTTGACTGTTCAAAAGGCAGTGGCCATACCAAGGATGAGAAGTAGGAATGGTCTGCCGCTGGGCAGAAATGAGCACTTTAAAATTGCCTGCAAGGTGATAATTAAAAAAAAAAAAAAAAACAGACTTGTGGGTTTTATTATTGTTTACACATTTTCTATAGGTAAGACACCATCTTATTATCTGTATCTGAGACTGAGTACTCTCACCAGCTACCGCCACTGTCAAAAGGACAGGCTTCTAGGGGTTGAGGGCAGGGGGTGATGAGCAAGAGTTGGGCTTTCCATAATTGGGATTAGAAGGGAGGGTGTATATCCCTCCATGCAGCACCTAGGGGAGGCAGCCCTATGACAGTGGTGGCATGTGCGTGTCTGGAGCGTGAGGACTATATGCTGTGACTTTGGGAGCCAAATCCTAAAGTGAGTGGATGCCATGAGCATATCTGAATGAATTTGGGGGAATTTAGTCAAGGAACATTCTAGCTGCTGTCCATTATGAATTATGAATATTGGAATCTCTTCCCCAACCTCACTGGACTTCCATAGGTTCCAAGGTTCTTGTTTATCCATTTCTCTGAAATGACTAAGATTAGATTTTTACCAATGTGGTAATGGGGGGTGGTGATATTAGATTTGATCTAATTTAGAAAAATTAGGGAATGTGATGTTTCCTGTGTTTGTGTGTCAAGAAGCAGTCATAGCTCTTATGCTATCTTGCTTATTTCCTTATTTGTTCTTCTAATAACTCCCATGGCTTGAGGAAACCTGAGTGATCCTTTATTCCTTGGAGATAAAAGGGGTCAGCCTGACTTGGAAACATATCTCAAAATGCATCTTCCCCCAAATAGCTGTTTGCTGTGTTCAAGTTAAAGGGAGAAATACCCCAGTTTCAGGTAGAAGTTAGAGTCTCGGGAAATTAATCACCAGCACCAATTTTTTCCTTCCAGTGGTATCTAGCAGGCCCCCTTTCGTGTTCACTGAGACATTCTGGGCAGTAATAAGCAGGAACCTGAGTGTCCTGAGGAGGAAGAGGAAAACTGTTTCTCTACAAATATAGGGCATCTTGTCCTCCCGTTCCTACTGAAGCTTATTCGGCAGGTCATCATTTTTCCATAGGCTGTCTGATCCCTCTGGACAGTATGCCACAGCCCTCCTTCAGTGACTGTTGATGTTGCCAGCCCAGCCTGTGTCCCTGCAAAGCAAGATCAGTGCCTCCCTGACCTTGAAGTCACCATCAGATTATTGTTGGGTTCTCAAATTCTTTAATAGTAGGCTTTCAGAAGCCCACATTGGCTCATGCCTGGGAATGAATTTTTCCCCCAATACAGAAGAAAATTCAGAGACTGTTAATGTTATTATCCTGAATGATACAGAGTTCATTTGGGGCTTTAATTAGAAAGATTTGAATTCTCACCCCATGATCAAATATTCTTTATCATCCAGAGAATTAGGACTTGGCCACAGCAACTATATCAATTCAGGGTCTCAGAAAAGGCTGAAAAGTAAAAGTAGTCTATTTTCTGAATTCACTCATCTTTTGAGGGCATTTTCTCTGGTCCCAGTGCTCCCTATTTCTTTTGGGGCAATAAGAGAACCCCACCCCACCTCCATTCTGGCCTTAATTTTTTTGAAACTCTTCCTTCCCTGAAAGATACATTAAAATTCATCTGAATTGATGTAATGCTGGGATAAATTTAAGATTAGGTTAGAATAGCTAGTATATTGATGTATTGCTGCAAAAAAATCAGCCCACAATTTGGTGGCTTAAAACAGCAATATTGATATATTATTACTTCCAGTTTCTATTGCTCAGTTCTTGCTTTAGTCCTTGCACAGTTGCGGTCCTATGTTGGCCAGGGCTACAGTCATTTGAAGGCTTGAGTGGGGTGGAAGGACCTACATCCTACATGACTCATTTACATGCCTGACAATGTGATGCTGGCTGTTGGTTGGAGCTACCATTCCTCTCTACTATGTCGCGTGAGAGTTCTCAATGCATGGCAGCTGGCTTTCCCAGTGTGAGTGACCCAAGACCAAGGTAGAAATTGTGATGCCTTTTATGTCCTAGCCTTGGAAATCACTGCCACTTTCCCTGTATTCTATTGGTAGAGACAAAAGTATGCCCAGGTTCAAAGGGAGAGAACATTGACCCTAATGCCTGATGGAGGAGTGTCAAGGTCACACTGTAAGAAGAGCATGTGGAATGGGATATGTATCATTGCAGCCATTTCTGGAAAACATAATCTGCCATAATGGCTAATAAAAAGTGCCATGAGTGTCCCAGGGGTAATTATTGAAAACGGGTTACTTAGGATTTTTAGGGTACAAAGTCTTATCACAAAGCCCGAAGAGATAATGTTGGAAATAGGGTAGTTGCTTGCGATGTAATGTAGGATAGCAACCAGAAACCATATATGAAAGATTCAGAAATGAGTGAGATTTAGAATCTGAGTTAGGAGATCTCACAAGTGTAAAAAAAAAAAAGGCAAAATATTAGGATTTACAATTTGAGAATGCTCCACTCTTCTCTCCTCCCCACATTTGCTTAAAATAAAATGTTCTCAGACACTTTTGGCTTAGGGAAGCTCTGACTTCAGAAGACAGGTTCTTGGGGCTTTGGGAATGCAGAGTTAAGAAAAAGGGGCTGGGAGAGTGGGGGGAGAGTGGAGAGTAAAATGGAAAGAATGGAGGGAAAGGTAAAGGATTTAGGCCTACAGTAGTAAGCTGATCTACTAGTGGCCTGAGATGAAGGAGGAGTTGGGAGTATAGTCTGACATTTGTTACAGAGCAGTTGGCTGTGAAGGTAGGTGAGGAAAGAGGATTTCAGGTGTTTGGACTGTGCATTTGATATGTTTTAGAGTTCTTGATGGATTTGGCCAAAGAAAGGGATTCCCTTTAGGTTAATTTTGCCCCCTGAACTGTACTTCTGTACTTTTGGAAAGGGATTCATCTCAAAAACAATCACTTGGGTGTTGGGGTTCAAGAGCTCAGAAATGAAAAGTGTCATTAACAGTGTGGTCTCTGAAGTCCCATAGATCTAGGTACAAATCCTGGCTTATCACAAACTAGCTTTGGGGCTTGGGACAAATTCTCTACATGCCTACGTCCAGTCAAATGAGGTAGTATGTTTCTAAGTCTTCTCTATTAAAATGTTTTCTCCAGCATTTTAAATACTAGACCTTGTGCAGTAGATTCAGCCCCAAATCATATGACTTCCTACAGTTTGGCATACAGGCAAAATCAGGGCTTTGAAACACAGTCTCTGAGACAGAATAATAAGAAGAGCCACTTAAAATAGAGATTATCCAGCAAATCCAGGGCAAAGGACTCTTCGTTGAAGACAATTAAAGTTTTTCAGCCTTTGCTGAAACTGGGGCATGCTACCTGGCTCTTCAGCTTCTATGTGGCATAACATTCGCATCAGGGAGGAAAAAAAGTTGTAAAATAATTAAGAAAAATCGTGCTAAAATCTTAATTCTTTCAAAAACACCCAAACTCTAATATGTTCTGATTAGATTTTAACTTTTCTTCCAGGCTATTTAAAGTGAAAGTGAAGGTGGAAACTGAGACCAAATATCCACTTTCCCCTCAAACTTACAGTTTTATTCTGGAAACATGTTCAGACTTTTTTTTTTTTCATTGGAAGCTTAGATGGTGTTTTCCCTCTCTGGTATAAAAAGGAAGAGTTTCAATATGACTCACATGTAATTTGAAATTATTTTGTAAAGATTTTACTTTTTTTTCTATCCTTTTTTCTAAGCTGTAGGATTATACTGGTTATAATCTAGGGTCTTATGTTGCTGAAGGTAATAATGACAGTAACTGAATATGAAAAACCTGTAATATTCTGAAGCCTTCATCTGCCCTGAAATTGGTTATTTCTTCCTTCCTTTTTTCCTTTCCTCTCCTCCTCTTTCTCTGAGCATCATCTACATGGTTACATCTCTGCCATTTTTTGAGCCAGTCGCAAGGCCCAGAACTTTTCACATATTCTCTCATTTAATTTTTATGACAACTCTCTAAGTCTCATTTTATTATCTCTAGCTTAGATGTGGAAAAATATGAACCAATATTGACACATTATTAAATGGAATTCATAGTTTGTGTTAAGGTTCGGCGTTGTACGTTCTATGGATTTTGACAAATGCATAATGTCGTGTATCCACCATTACAGTATCATTTAGAAGAGTTTTCTGACCTAATAAATAGTTTCTGTGTTCTACCTATTCATCCTTGCCCCCACCTCTCTGAGCCCCTGGCAACTGCTTCTATTTTCACTGTCAAATTGTTTTGCCTTTTCCAGAATGTCACATGGTTAGAATCATACAGTACAATCTGCAGGGTAAGTTGGCTGGCTGGAGATCCAGGGAAGGGCTGATGCTGCAGTTTGACTTTGAAGGCAGTCTCCTGGCAAAATTCCTTCTTCATCAGGGAACCTCAGTCTTTTTCTATTAAGGCCTTCAGCTGATTGGAGGAGATCCACCCACATTATAAAGGGTAATCTGCTTTACTCAAAGTCTACTGATTTAAATGTTAATCTCAGCTAAAAAAAAATACATTCACAGAAACATTTTGAATAATGTTTATCCAAATACCGGGGTCCCATGACCTAGCCAAGTTGACACATTAACCATCATACTTAGCGTGTGAATTTAAAGTCTCCTCAATGTTTGTTTGTGACTTCATAGCTCATTTCTTTTTACAGCTGAATAATACTCCATCGTATGGATGTACCACAGTTGTTGATGAACATCTTGGTTGCCTCCAGTTTTTGGCAATTATGAATAAAGCCGCTATAAACATTCATGTGCGGGTTTTTGTGTGGACATAATGCTGGATGATGTGGTAAGACTACGTGTATCTTTGTAAGAAACTGCCAGTTCTGGAGTGGCTGTACCATGTTGTATTTCCACTAGCAATGAATGAAGGTTCCTATTGTTCCATATCTTCAGCAGCATTTGCTATTGTCAATATTTTTTAGCCGTTCTGATAGATGTGTAGTGATATTTCACTGTTGCTTTAACTTGCAATTCTCTAATGACATTTGATGTTCATCATCTTTTTCTATGCTTATTTGCCAATTGTATGTCTTATTTGGTGAGACATCTATTCAGATCTTTTGGCCATTATTTGAGTTTTGTTTTTCTATTGTTGAGTTTTATGAGTTCTTTGTATATTGTAGATGCAAGTTCTTTATCAGATATGTGTACTGCAAATATTTTATCCATCTGTGGGCTTGTCTTTTCTTTTTCCTAAGTTTTATTGCTTTTTAAAAAGACAGTCTTTTTGTAATCCCAGCACTTTGAGAGGCCAAGGTGGGCAGATCACCTAAGGTCAGGAATTCGAGACAAGCCTGGCCAACAGGGTGAAACCCTGTCTCTACTAAAAATACAAAAATTAGCTGGGTGGTGGCAGACGCCTGTAATCCCAGCTACTTGGGAGGCTGAGGCAGGAGAATTGCTTGAACCCAGGAGGTGGAGGTTGCAGTGAGCCAAGACCATGCCATTGCACTCCAGCCTGGGTGACAGAGCAAGACTCCATCTCAGTAAATAAATAAATAAATAAATAAATAAATAAATAAATAGACAGTCTTTCTAAATTATCAAAATTTTGAAATTTCCCATTTCTGCAACTTTATCAAATGTTGCCAGTTGAAGGAAACAAAACAACACCAAACTCTTCAATAAGGGAAATAAATTGTTTCCATTGTTCATATTTACATAAACTGTTATTGAGTTTCCAAACACGTGCATCTCTCCTCCACTGGCATTCACTCTACTTTAACCAGAATATCCACAGTATGGGACCACATGCCACAGTTATGCAAATACATGAGAAATTTGATGACTGCTAATAAAAGTAGTCATTGGGATTGTTCCTTATCTTCTCTAGACAAATGCAATGTGCTCCCCTTCTCGGTGATTCTCAGGTCTTTTAAGATTAGGCAGGTTTATGACACTCTTCCTACTCATTGTGTATTCACTCCACTGAACTGGGTGGATTGTCTTTGAGAATTCTTTTTCAGTGTTTACACTTCCACTCATCCCTTTGTATTCAGCCTAGTCTAGATTATGCTGCAGTGACAGTCCAAAAGTCTTGGATCAAAACCTCCACATTGCACTTCATGTCCATCAAAGGTATTCTCAGCAATCCAATCTGATGGAGGCTGGACCATCTGGAACATTGCTACTGGCTTGCTAGAGACAGGAAAACAGGAATGTGAGGATGGCCCAGTGGGTCCTAAATTTCTCAGCCCAGAACTGACACATGTTTCTTAGGTCCTATCAAGTCTCATGACCAAATCAAATTTAAAAGGGGCAAGGAAAGACAATCCCAACATGTACTTAAAGGAAGAGACAAGATATATCAGTGAATAGCCCTAGTAACAACCACAACCTTACATCTGGGGAATCCTGAGACATCCAGGCTATGATTGATAATTACCATGTAAGAGCTCCTAAGGGGTCCTGTGTGGGACTTTTCAATTTTTGAGGAATTGGTAATAACCTTTACCTGAGATCAAAACACACCCTGTTACTCTCACATTCAGCCAAATGACTCTCACCTATTATGGGATTTGCTGAGAAATGCCAGTTTAATGGAACTACACTTGAATATATCCTTTCTTCTCTTTGGGGAGTGGGGATAGGGTGAGATGGGACTCATTTTGTTTCCGTTCCTGGGGGGGTGGACGTGGATGAGAAAATCACTTTAGAAAGCTTAGTGGTTTTACTCCTATTCAACATAGTGTTGGAAGTTCTGGCCAGGGCAGTTAGGCGGGAGAAGGAAATAAAGGGTATTCAATTAGGAAAAGAGGAAGTCAAATTGTCCCTGTTTGCAGATGACATGATTGTATATCTAGAAAACCCCATTGTCTCAGCCCAAAATCTCCTTAAGCTGATAAGCAACTTCAGCAAAGTCTCAGGATACAAAATCAATGTGCAAAAATCACAAGCATTCTTATACATCAATAACAGACAAACAGAGAGCCAAATCATGAGTGAACTCCCATTCACAATTGCTTCAAAGGGAATAACATACCTAGGAATCCAACTTACAAGGGACATGAAGGACCTCTTCAAGGAGAACTACAAACCACTGCTCAATGAAATAAAAGAGGATACAAAGAAATGGAAGAACATTCCATGCTCATGGGTAGGAAGAATCAATATTGTGATAATGGCCATACTGCCCAAGGTAATTTATAGATTCAATGCCATCCCCATCAAGCTACCAATGACTTTCTTCACAGAATTGGAAAAAACTACTTTAAAGTTCATATGGAATCAAAAAAGAGCCCTCATCACCAAGTCAATCTTAAGCCAAAAGAACAAAGCTGGAGGCATCACACTACCTGACTTCAAACTATACTACAAGGCTACAGAAACCAAAACAGCATGGTACTGGTACCAAAACAGAGATGTAGGTCAATGGAACAGAACATAGCCCTCAGAAATAACACCACATATCTACAACTATCTGATCTTTGACAAACCTGAGAAAAACAGGCAATGGGGAAAGGATTCCCTATTTAATAAATGGTGCTGGGAAAACTGGCTAGCCATATGTAGAAAGCTGAAACTGGATCCCTTCCTTACACCTTATACAAAAATTAATTCAAGATGGATTAAAGACTTAAACATTAGACCTAAAACCATAAAAACCCTAGAAAAAAACCTAGGCATTACCATTCAGGACATAGGCATGGGCAAGGACTTCATGTCTAAAACACCAAAAGCACTGGCAACAAAAGCCAAAATTGACAAATGGGATCTCATTAAACTAAAGAGCTTCTGCACAGCAAAAGAAACTACCATCAGAGTGAACAGGCAACCTACAGAATGGGAGAAAATTTTCACAGCCTACTCATCTGACAAAGGGCTAATATCCAGAATCTACAATGAACTCAAACAAATTTACAAGAAAAAAACAAACAACCCCATCAAAAAGTGGGCGAAGGACATGAACAGACACTTCTCAAAAGAAGACATTTATGCAGCCAAAAGACACATGAAAAAATGCTCATCATCACTGGCCATCAGAGAAATGCAACTCAAAACCACAATGAGATACCATCTCACACCAGTTAGAATGGCAATCATTAAAAAGTCAGGAAACAACAGGTGCTGGAGAGGATGTGGAGAAATAGGAACACTTTGACACTGTTGGTGGGACTGTAAACTAGTTCAACCCTTGTGGAAGTCAGTGTGGCGATTCCTCAGGGATCTAGAACTAGAAATACCATTTGACCCAGCCATCCCATTACTGGGTATATACCCAAAGGACTATAAATCATGCTGCTATAAAGACACATGCACACGTATGTTTATTGTGGCACTATTCACAATAGCAAAGACTTGGAACCAACCCAAATGTCCAACAATGATAGACTGGATTAAGAAAATGTAGCACATATACACCATGGAATACTATGCAGCCATAAAAAATGATGAGTTCATGTCCTTTGTAGGGACATGGATGAAATTGGAAATCATCATTCTCAGTAAACTATCGCAAGAACAAAAAACCAAACACCGCATATTCTCACTCGTAGGTGGGAATTGAACAATGAGAACACATGGACACAGGAAGGGGAACATCACACTCTAGGGACTGTTGTGGGGTGGGGGGAAGGGGGAGGGATAGCATTAGGAGATACACCTAATGCTAAATGACGAGTTAATGGGTGCAGCACACCAGCATGGCACATGTATACATATGTAACTAACCTGCACATTGTGCACATGTACCCTAAAACTTAAAGTATAATAATAATAAGAAAAGAAAAGAAAAGAAAAGAAAGCTTAGTGGTTTTTCAAGGAGGAAAGATGAGCATCATCCTTCACCACTTGCTTGTTCACTGAGCAGTCAGACTCACTGCCTACCTTTGAGTTCCCAATGTGGGGGAAAAGGCATTGCTGAATAGATTGATGGTATGACCCTAAAATGGATCCAATCTATGCCCATAGTGAAACAGCTTCGTTGTCTGGACAAGCACCGGAGATTCACTGTCTCATGGCCATGGAGAACAAGGACACGGACACAAAAAGAGTGAGGTTAAGAGTGGTTTAAAGAAAGATAATAGCTCTCTACTGCAGAGAGGGGTCCTGGAGAAATGAGTTGCTGGACCCATGGTGAAATGCAGGGCATTTTATAGATGAGCTGATGGGGAGGCAGTGCCTGATTTACATAGGGTGCGAAAAACTGGTTGGACCAGGTGTGTTTGCATAGGGCAGGAATCTCTGGCTGCCCCTACCCCAGTCTTTTATTATGCAGGCAGGTTCTCTGTCTGAGCTGTGTCATGATGCCCATGTATCTATTACTGTACACGTGGTAACAAAAAAAGGGAAGACCAAGCCTCCATGTTGGACATGCCTGGCCCCAGACAGCCCTTTTCTATTGGCGCTTCTTCCAGCATTCCCCCATGCAAGCATCTTGCTTCCTTATTTATGTTTGCAGCTGAATTTTTCAGGCTGTTCAGTCAGAAAAGTAATAATTTGGGGGGCTGCTTTTGGTTAGAAGGAAAAAATCCACTGAGGACACTTTTGCCCTCACTATCTGCCTAAATAATTCATTTCTACCTCCTATATCAATAGGGCACGAGAACTGGGGTGGAGAGAAATGATAAGAGTTAGGGCCTCAGGTTTGTGTGAGACCCATCTAGGTATGAAGCAAATGGGCTGGAGTCAAGGTGATGTGGCTCAGTGCTACCAGCAGGAACATGGGAGCAAATCCGTTGAGAAGTAATTGATACTAGGGAAGCTGGTTGGGATGGAGCTTCTCACCTGGTTTGTCTTTTCGGGGGTCTGCAAAAGCCTACAACTGTAGACCATGAGCTATCAACTTTCATGACAAAGAAAAATAAAAGAGCCACATAGTCAATGTTACACAGGGTAGTTCACACAAGGAAGTGGCCATTACCACCCATAAAGAGAACAGCCAGTGCATCATGGTGCTGTGATCTAAGGACATAGAACACATTACTTTTTCCTCCCTCCCTGTTGAAGGAAGAGGAGCAAGAGCAGGGTTTGGGATAGAAGATGAGGTGTTGGCACACATACCCCCTTCCCTCTGTGCTGCTGGTTCCATAAATCTAGTCTGTGCAGAGTAAGGGAGAAGAAAAACCTGTTTGGGCTGAGTGTGAAATTGAAGATGGGCAAAACTAAGACTTGACCAAAATAAGACTGGTTTAATAACCAATAATGACTGAAAAGTCATGGGATTGAAATGAGATATATTAAAAGAGCTTGCTCTATAGTGATAAAGATGAGCTTTGACAACACCACACAGATACCATCAGGTAAGGAAAAATAAAACCCTTCCATTTTATACCTCAGTTGAGATTGTAATCAAACAGGCCCCATATAATAATAACTCACATTGGTATAGTGCCTTGTAGTTTAAAAATGCTTTTATACCCTTTTCCTCCATTGATGCTTTTAGTAACCCAAGAGGTGTATAGGACAAATATTATTATCTCACTCTAGATGACAAAACTAAGGTTTCAAGCGATGAAGAGACTTATTCAAAGCTATCTGGTCAGTAAGTGGCTTAACCACTACCCATGTCCAGGTTGCCAGAGTTGGCAGAGTGCAGATGATGCACTGAGAAAACATTAGAATTTAGATAAATCATGAAGGTAAAGGAAATAGTGGATTTAAAGGAAATTTTGCAAATAGATAAAGAATGAAGTAACAAATGAAAGTGTTTCTCATAATGGGATCTTTGTTCTACATGCATTCAAATCCTGGGTATAAATGTATTAAAAATGCACATTTTAAGGATACACCTCCAGACCTCTTGAATCAGAATTTCAGGGAGCAGAGCATAATATCCCACATTCTTAACAAACTCCTCCAGTAATTCTTACTCATTTGAGTGGTTAAGAGTCACTAATGCTAAGCCTTCAAGTTTCTTCAGCTCTTTACTTTCTTAGCTCTTCCTGAGAACAGAGAAGAGTATTCTAATAATACTTTACAAAAGGTATCTCTTTAAATCCTCATAACTATCCAAAGAGGTAGATGCTATTATCCTCATTTTAAAGCTCGGAAAACTGAGGCATAGAGATTTAGGTTAGGTCACCCAGCAAAGTCACAAAGCTAGTAGGCAGAATAGCTGGGATTCAAACCCAGTCCTGTTGGATTCATAAGCCTACAAGTTTACTTCTAGACTCTACTGTTTTGTCCATGTTCTGAATTATTGTTGCCTGAGTGTTCTAAGTCCATTGAATTTAGTAAAAGGTGTTGTTGTCTCCTGTCCAAAAAAAATCAGACATATGCTAGAGTCAGGCAATTTAACTGAAGTTAGATAAGCTCATTTTTCCATCCTACACGAGGCATCAAAAGATTGCTTTTAAAGTATGTTGTTTAAACACTGATTTAGCTCTCAGTAATTTATTAATATATTAATATCTCTTTTTTTCAATTTTATTCTCAGAGGAAGCAGCCAAGTTTTCTCTTAGGGCATGTTTGGTGTAAGGATATGGAGAATAGGAGTGTTAATGGGTTGTCCATTTTTCCTTGAGACAGTGCTCTGAGAATGTTCATATTGAAAGCTGGAGAAGGGGATGGGGCAGGAGGAGATAAAAGAGCCCATTCAGAGCTTTGTCTCATCTTTCTTCTGAAATATCCATTCAGCAAAAATCCTCTTAGAGTCGTACTTTCTTCCCCACCACAGCCTGACTGCAGAATCTTGTCCCTTAGTGTCTGTGCCACTGATTCATCCTTATAGATTTCAATATCCCCTTGAAGCCATCTTGCAGACTACAGTCCCGCTTTCTGGACTATATAGAGGATCCTTTCCAAGGTACCACTGTAAATGGGGTTTAATATGGGGATCTAGTCACAGAGGTGTTGGAGGAGCTGAGAGTGAATAGGGAAAGGTAAGCCACCTCAGAGTTTAACAATGGTAACAGGGTGCTATTACTGCTAGAACTGGGGGGACCAAGAGAACAGGCACATTATCAGTGCCCAGGAGTTAGGGATGCTTGGAGGGAGATGAAACCTGGGAGGAGGAGCTGGCCCAGGGACCATGTATCTTGGACTGTCAGGCAAAAGCTGGAATCCTGGGAGTGTAGCTACTCAGTGGGAACTGGAGCTAAAGGAGAGGCTGTCCAGAGAAAATGAGGAACACAGAGGAAGTGTATATCCAGTAGGAGCTGGGAACATGCAGGGAATGCAGCTGCAGACAAGATGCTATCTGAAAGGGAGAGAGAGGAACAGTAATATCCTGGCTGCTCCTTTCTTTCTGCCCTCCACTTTTCCAACATCACCTCCCATTGGTTGAACCTGGTTAGCCACTAGTTTGCAAAGGAGGCTGGGAATTATGGTTTTTGGAATTTCACTTTCTATGAACAGAGATAAGAAATGGATCCTAGAATGACCATCCTTGAACATGATCCACACAGATGTTAAAGGAAAATGACATCTGAGTGACATTGCAATTATTATAGCTTACAAACAGGGACCACAAAGTCTAGAAACACAGAAGAATATATACAATATGTGGTTTATTAATATTACATTATAATACATACATGTACAGTGACATTAAAGGATACATTCAATATTTTGACTTTCATTAGTAGTACATGGTTTAATGCACTGTGAAAATTGCTTCAGTAATGGTAGACTAATGGATTTCCATCCATCTCTGCACAAGCATCTGAGATCTCCTCTAATTTTGTCCTCTGTCTGCCATAATTTGTATCTTTAGCATTACCAAAAGAATTGTGTTCAATCTGTTAAAAAAATCCATGTTTCTATCAGTTTCATATATATTAATTTATTTAAATAACTAATGTCAAACATTAAATTCCGTCTCCAATTTATTCCAGAGAGAAGATCTGAACTAAACTGTGGCAACCTGAACTTCCATTTTCACATGCCCAATTTTATGACAAAACCCTGAGGCCCTAGTAGTCAGTATGGACTGAAGAAATAAATCAGATATAGACCCCATCATGTGCCACAACTCATTTCAAAATGGCATCTTGTATAGTGAAAATCTGGGAATGCTATCCACTTGGCACTTAAATTTCTGGAGGATCACAATTTGAACAGAGAAGAGGACTTGAAGTTTATTCCTTACTGATCCAAGAAGCAAGAAATGTAGGCAGGGTATTAGGTCAAAAGTTAATCTCAGAATTTTCAGAGACCATGCATGATGGACAAGGCCTATGTACTATTGTCTCCTCTACATTCCTAACAAAATGATTAGTCTTAACACCCACTTAGCTGTCCAAGCTGTAAATCTCAGGCTTCCTCCAAGTCCTGTAAATTCTACTTCTTAGGTTATTTTCTTTCAATCTAGTTTGTCTTGCTCATTCCCATGAACACTGCATTATTTCAAATCCACATCTACTCGTGCCTTGTTCACTGCAGTAACTTCCTAATTGGCCTCCCATTTCAACATGTTCGCTCATTCAATAAATCATCCAGTATTTCCATATGGTAGCTAGAGTGACATTTCTAAAATACCGATCTAATCAAGTGATCCCTTGGCTAAGAACTATAGTGGTCCCTTTTTCTATTGAATTAAGTCCATTAAGACTTTCCATTGAACACAGAAAAAATCATAAACTCTTTAGCAAAACATACAAGACTCTTCATAATCTGACTCCAGTCTAATTTTGAAGTCCCTCTCCAGCAATTTTTCTATACTTAAGCTTTTTTGTAATTCTAAAGAAAAGAATCTTATTTCAATTTGTTCAGGTGTGGATATAACAAAAAATTCTCAGAGACCTGTTTTAGTTGTTAGTGCTATTTGTCAAGTATTTCTGGTTCTTTGCCTTCCTAGTACATAGTGGGACTGTACTTCTCTTTTTTTGGTAGGGCTGAGTGACTATTTCCAGCCAGTGAGTTTTGATGGTAGCTTCCAAGCTGGAGCATTAAATTGCTAATGCAAGACTCTCTGGAGCCCTTTTCCTCTGCCACAATGTGTGACAGTGTTCAGCATTGTGACTACTCTATCAGCCTCCTTTCCAGACTAAGAAGACTTGGAGTAAAGACCCAAGATGGTAGGTGGTGTATTAGTCTGTTCTCACGTTCCTAATAAAGACATACCTGAGACTGGGTAATTTATAAAGAAAAAGAGGTTTAATGGACTCACACTTCCACATGGCTGGGGAGGCCTCACAATCATGGCAGAAGGTGAAGACGTAGCAAAGGCATGTTTTACACGGCAGCAGGCAAGCGAGAGCTTGTGCAGGGGAACTCCCATTTATACAACCTTCAGATCTCATGAGACTTATTTACTACCACAAGGACAGTATGGGAGAAACCACTCCCATGATTCTATTATCTCCACCTGGCCCCTCCCATGACATGTGGGGATTATTACAATTCAAGGTGAGATTTGGGTAGGGACATAGCAGGTGGCATACATGAGAAGTAAACCTTTTTTCTTACAAGCTGCAAGCTTCTGAGATTTGGGGTTAGTTCCCCACCCCCCAGTTTTATTGAGGTATAATTGACACATACAAATTGCATATATTTAGGGTATACAACACGATGTTTTGATATGTGTCTACATAGAAAAATGGTTACCACAATCAAGTTAACTTACCCATCATCTCACTGTTACTGTGTGGTGTGTGTGTATGTGTGTGTGTGTGTGTGTGTGTGTGTGTGTGGTGTGAACACTTGAGATCTACTCTCTTAGCAGATTCCACGTATACAATACATGATTATTAACTATAGTCACCATGCTTTATATTAGGTGTCCTATCTTATAACTAAATATTTGTGCCCTTTGACCGGTATCCTCCCTTTCTTCCCCATCCCTCAGCCTGTTCTATACTCTGTTACTGAGGTCAGTGTTGTTTCAGATTTCACATATTTCACATATAAGTGAGATCATGCAGTATTTGTCTTTCTGTGTCTGGCTTATTTCACTTAGCCGAATGTCCTTCAGGCTCATCCATGTTATTGCAAATGGCAAGATTTTCTTCTTTTTAAAAGCTTTTAAAAATATGTAATAATATTCCAATACACACACACACACATACATACATGCAAACACACACACACACACACACACACACACACACACATCTCTCTTACATTTTCTTTATCCAATCATCTTCCAATAGACACTTAGGTTGATCCCATATCTTGGCTATTATGAGTAATGCTGCAATGAACATGACAGTGCAGGTATCTCTTCAAAATAATGATTTTATTTCCTTTGAATATACCTAGAACTGAGATTGCTGGATCATATAGTAGTTCTATTTTTAATTTTTTGAGGAAGCTCCATACTGTTTTCCATAATGACTATATCAATTTACATTTCCACCAACAGTATACAGATTCCCTTTTCTCTACATCCTCACTAACACTTCTGACTTTTTTTAATAGCCATCCTAACAGGTATGAGGTAATATCCCATTGTGGTTTTGATTTGCATTTCCCTGATGATTAGTGATGTTGAGTATCTTTTCATATACCTGTTGGCCATTTGTATGTCTTCTTTTGAAAAAAATGTCTATTCAGGTCCTTTTCCCATTTTTTAATCAGTTTATTATTATAATTGATATTGAGTTGTATTAGTTACTTATATATATTTTATTTTAACCCCTTACCAGATATATAGTTGACAAATATTTTCTCCCATTTTATAGGTTGTTTTTTTATTTTGTTGGTTCTTTCCTTTGCTGTGCAGAAACTTTTCAGTTTGATGTAGTCCTACTTGTTTAATTTTACTTTTGTTACCTGTCTTTTGGTATCAAATTCCAATGGCATTTTTCACAGAAATAGAAAAACACTCTCAAACTCATTTGGAACTATCAAAAACTCCAGTAGCTAAAGCAATATTGATTAAGAAGAACAAAGGTGGAGGTATCACACTTCCTGATTTCAAGCTATATTCCAAAGCTGTAGTATTTAAAACAGTATGGTGCTGGCATAAAACAGACACACAGACAATTGGGACAGAATAGTAAACTCAGAAATAAACTCAAACATATACAGTCAACTAATTTTTGACAAAGGTGCCAAAAATACACAATAGAGATCAGACAGACTCTTCAATAAATTATGTTGGGATAATTCAATATTTCCATGCAAAAAAAAATGAAATTGGACCCTTCTTTTATACCATACACAAAAATTACTTCAAAATAGACTACAGACTTAAATGTAAGACATGAAACCAAAAAACTCCTAAAAGAAAACATAGAAGAAAACCACTTTGACATTGGCATTAGTGGTTACTATAGTGCAGGGGTTGCTAAACTTTTTCTCAAAAGGGCTTTGAAGGCCATATAGGGGTCTGATATCCTCCTCGTCCTTCTACACCTCCTCCACCTCCTGCTCCTCCTTTGCTATGGCTCTTAAAACTGTATAAACAAATCTTAGTTTAAAACTGCACTTGATAATCTGAAAGGCCACAGTTTACCATCTCCTGCTGTAATATAGCCTAGTGTATTTTGACTATTATGACATTAAAAGTCAGGAAACAAATTACAGGTGGTGTATTAGTCTGTTTTCATACTGCTATAAAGAACTACCTGAGACTGGATAATAAAGAAAAGAGGTTTAATTTACCCACAATTCCACATGGCTGGGGAGACCTCAGGAACTTACAATCATGGTAGAAGGCAAAGGGGAAGCAAGGCACGTCTTACATGGTGGGAGAGAGAGAGAGAAGGGGAAACTTCCACACACTTTAAAACCATCAGATCTCTTTTCTTCCCCCACAAAAAAGAGCATAGCAGTTTTACTTAAGGATTTTTCTTTTTTTAAAAAAATTTTACTTTAAGTTCTGGGATACATGTGCAGAAAGTACGAGTTTGTTACATACGTATACATGTGCCATGGTGGTTTCCTGCACCTATCAACCCATGATCTAGGTTTTAAGCCCTGCATGCATTAAGTATTTGTCCTAATGCTCTCCCTCTCCTTGCCCCCACCCCCTGACAGACCCTGGTGTGTGATGTTCCCCTCCGTGTGTCCATGTGTTCTCTCACTTATGAGTCAGAACATGCAGTGTTTGGTTTTCTGTTCCTGTGGTAGTTTGCTGAGAATGATGGCGTCCAGCTTCATCCATGTCCCTGCAAAGGATATGAACTAATTATTTTTTATTGCTGCATAGTATTCCATGGTGTATATGTGTCGCATTTTCTTTATCCAGTCTATTATTGATGGGCATTTGGGTTGGTTCCAAGTCTTTGCTATTGTAAATAGTGCTGCAATAAACATATGTGTGCATGTCTCTTTATAGTAGAATAATTTATAATCCTTTGGGTATATACCCAGTAATGGGATTGCTGGGTCAAATGGTATTTCTTGTTCTAGATACTTGAAGCATTACCACACCGTCTTACAATGGTTGAACTAATTTACTCTCCCACCAACAGTGTAAAAGCATTCCTATTTCTGCACATCCTCTCCAGTGTCTGTTGTTTCCTGACTTTTTAATGATTGCCATTCTAACACATAAGATGGTATCTCATTGTGGTTTTGATTTGCATTTCTCTAATGACCAGTGATGATGAGTTTTTTTTTTTTGTACATTTATTGGGTGCATAAATGTCTTCTTTTGAGAAGTGTCTGTTCATATCCTTTGCCCACTTTTTGATGCGGTTGTTTTTTCTTGTAAATTTGTTTAAGTTCCTTGTAGATTCTGGATGTTAGACCTTTGTCAGATGGGTAGCTTGCAAAAATTTTCTCACATTCTGTATGTTGCCTGATCACTCTGATGATAGTTTATTTTGCTGTGCTGAGGCTCTTTAGTTTGATTAGTCCCCATTTGTCTATTTTGGCTTTTGTTGCAATTGCTTTTGGTGTTTTAGTCATGAAGTCTTTGTCCATGCCTATGTCCTGAATGGTATTGTGTAGGTTTTCTTCTAGAGTTTTTATGGTTTTGGGTTTTACATTTAAGTCTCTAATCCATCTTGAGTTAATTTTTGTATAAGGTGTAAGAAAGGGGTCCAGTTTCAGTCTTCTGCATATGGCTAGCTAGTTCACCCAGCACCATCTATTAAATAGACAATTATTTCCCCATTGCTTATTTTTGTCTGGTTTGTCAAAGATCAGATGGTTGTAAATGTGTGGTGTTATTTCTGAGGGCTATGTTCTGTTCCATTGACCTACATCTCTGTTTTGGTACCAGTACCATGCTGTTTTGGTTACTGTAGCCTTGTAGTATAGTTTGAAGTCAGGTAGCATGATGCCTCCAGCTTTGTTCTTTTGGCTTAGGATTGTCTTGGCAATGAGGGCTCTTTTTTGGCTCCATATGAACTTTAAAGTGGATTTTTCCAATTCTGTGAAGAAAGTCATTGGTAGCTTGATGGGGATGGCATTGAATCTATAAATTACCTTGGGCAGTATGGCCATTTTCACAATATTGATTCTTCTTATCCATGAGCATGGAATGTTTTTCCATTTGTTTGTGTCCTCTTTATTTCCTTGAGCAGTGGTTTATAGTTCTGCTTGAAGAGGTTCTTCACATCCCTTGTAAGTTGTATTGCTGAGTATTTTATTTCCTTTGTAGCAATTGTGAATGGGAGTTCACTCATGATTTGGCTCTCTGCTTGTCTATTGTTGGTGTATAGGACTGGTTGTGATTTGTGTACACCAATTTTGTATCCTGAGACTTTGTTGAAGTTGCTTATCACCTTAAGTTTTGGGACTGAGACAATAAACCATCATATCTCTTGAGAACTCACTCACTATCATGAGAACAGCATGGAGGAAACTGTCCCCATGGTCCTATTACCTGCCACCTGGTCCCTCCCTCAACATGTGGTGATTACAATTTGTGATGAAATTTTGGTGGGAACACAGAGCCAAACTACATCATCCCACCCCAGGTCCCTCCCAAATCTCATGTTCTTCTCACATTTCAAAACACAATCATGCCTTCTCAGCAATCCCCCAAAATCTTAACTCATTCCAGCATTAACCCAGAAGTCCAATTCCAAAGTCTCATCTGAGAAAAGGCAAGTTCCTTCCCCCTATGAGCCTGTAAAATCAAAAGCAAGTTAGTTACTTCCTAGATACAATGGGGGTACAGTCATTGGGTAAATGCTTCCTTTTCAAAAAGAAGAAATTGGCCAAAGCAAAGGGGCTAGAAGTCCCATGGAAGTCCAAAACCCTTCAGGGCAGTCATTAAATCTTAAAGCTCCAAAATAAACTCCTTTGACTCCATGTCTCCTATCCATGGCACACTGATGCAAGGGGTGGGCTCCCAAGGCATTGGGCAGCTCTGCCCCTGTAGATCTGAGGGTACAGCCCCCATAGTTGCTTCACAAGCTGGCATTGAGTGCCTGCAACTTTTCCAGGTACAGAGTGCAAGTCATTGGTGGCTCTACCATTCTGGGGTCTGGAGGATGGTGGCCCTCTTCTCACAGCTCCACTAGGCAGTGCCCCAGTGGGGCCTCTGTGTGGGGGCTTCAACCCCACATTTCCCCTCTGCATTGCCCTAAGTAGAGGTTCTCCATGAGGGCTTCACCCCTGCAGCAGACTTATGCCTCTACATCCAGGCATTTCCATACATTCTCTGAAATCTAGG
This sequence comes from Homo sapiens, assembly GCF_000001405.40. Classification (NCBI taxonomy): domain Eukaryota; kingdom Metazoa; phylum Chordata; class Mammalia; order Primates; family Hominidae; genus Homo; species Homo sapiens. Next base: position 67,253,782 of record NC_000003.12, on the reverse strand, counting down.
TGGAGGCTCCCAAAGTTCAGCTATTGCCTTCTGTGTACCCACAGACCCTACAACACATGGAAGCTGGCAATGCTTGGGCCTTGCACCCTCTGAAGCAACAGCCTGAGCTATATGTTGGTCCCTTTTAGCCATGGCTGGAGTTGGTCTCTGTCCCAAGGCTGCACAGGACAGCAGTACCTCAGCCCATGAAACCATTTTTTCCTCCCAGGCCTCTGGATCTATGATGGGAGGGGCTGCAGTGAACTCTGAAATGCCCTGGAGACATTTTCCTGATTTTCTCGGCTATTAACATTCAGCTCCTCATTACTTAATGCAAATTTCAGCAGCTGGCTTGAATTTCTCCCCAGAAAATGGGTTTTTCTTTTCGACTGTATGGTCAGGCTACAAATTTTTCAAACTTTTATGTTCTGCTTCCCTTTCAAGCATAAGTTCCAATTTCAGATCATCTCTTTGTGAATGCAGAAAAAGCCAGGTCACATATTGAATGGTTTGCTGCTTGGAAATTTCTTCTGCCAGATACCCTAAGTCATCTCTCTCAAGTTCAAAGTTCCACAGATCTTTAGAGCAGGGCCAAAATGCTGCCAGTCTTTTTGCTAAAGCATAGCAAGAGTGACCTTTGCTCCAGTTCCCAATAAGTTCCTCATCTCCATCTCAGACCATTTCAGCCTGGCACGATCAGCATTTTGGTCAAAACCATTCTGCAAGTCTCTAAGAAGTTACAAACTTTCTCACATCTTCCTGTTTTCTTCTGAGTCCTCCAAATTGTTCCAACTTCTGCCCATTATCCACTTCCAAAGTTGCTTCCACATTTTCAGGTCTCTCTACAGCAATGCCCCACTTCTCTTGGCAGCAATTTTCTGTATTAACCCATTTTCACACTCCTATAAAGAACTACCTGAGACTGGGTAATTTATAAAGAAAAGGGGTTTAATTGACTCACAGTTCCACATGGCTGGGGAGGCTTTAGGAAACTTGCAATCATGGTGGATGGTGAAGGGGAAACAAGGCACGTCTTACCATGGCGGAGCAGGAGAGAGAGAGAGACAGCAGTGGATGAACTGCCAAACACTTTTAAACCATCAGATCCAGATCTCAGGCCAGGTGCGGTGGCTCACTCCTGTAATCCCAGCACTTTGGGAGGCCAAGGTAGGCGGATCATGAGTTCAGGAGATCAAGACCATCCTGGCTAAGACGTTGAAACCCCCTCTCTACTAAAAATACAAAATAAATTAGCCGGGTGTGGTGGCAGGCGCCTGTAGTCCCAGCTACTTGGGAGGCTGAGGCAGGAGAATGGCATGACTCCGGGAGGCAGCAGAGCTTGCAGTGAGTGGAGATCACACCACTGCACTCCAGCCTGGGCAACAGAGCAAGACTCCATCCAAAAGAAAAAGAAAAACAAAAACATCAGATCTCATGAGAACTCACTATCATGAGACCAATATGGGGGAAACCACCTCAATGATCCAATCACCTCCCACCAGATCCCCTTCTCGACACATGGGAATCACTATTTGAGATGAGATTTGGGTGGGGACACAGAGACAAACCATATTATGTGGTTTCTTTTACTGCCACGTTTTTTTTGGTGAGCCTGTTCATTTCCTATTTATCTCTGGGCCCAGTTTTCTCTGCCTTTTGGCCCTGCACATGTCCTAATATAGCCATGACCACATGTAATATGGCTGCCCTTATCTCAACTTTTTAGCTTAAGTACCTCTGGTCTGTTACTTCAGATTCTCTAGAGACAATATGATTGGTTACTTAACAACGAATGGATTGAGTCAGATATTCATCTTTGACCCAATCAGTAATAGTTGAGCAGGTAGTAGGTAAGAAGTATAGCCCCACCCAGCGTCTGCGAATAGGACAAACTCTTCAGATGGGACCAGGAATCAGCAAAGTTTAAAGACTTTTAAAGTGTAGTATCTTAACACTTTGTACATACTCTCTCCAATCCCTTTGTTTTGTACATGATGCACTTGTCTCTGCTCTTCACCTGGCAGCCTCCAATCCATATTTCAAGACTCAGTCTAAATACCACCTCTTCTTCAATGCCATTTATTAACCATGAATATCATCTCATATCTACTGTCCAACTATACACAAAGTTAGTTGCTTCTCCTCTTCAATGCCATTTATTAACCATGAACATCATCTCATGTCTACTGTCCAACTATACACAAAGTTAGTTGCTTCTCCTCTGTAATTCCATAGTACCTTATATAAACATATTTCATTTATATAATGTAATGATCAGATGCCTATCTCTCTTGAAAAGGGGCTCAACTTGAAGGAAGAGACAGTATTACATTCACCATATTGAGAGCTTTTCTTGCTGCTTGGATGCTACCTCCTCGGTCCCTTAGGGACAGTCTCATCATCATTTCTATTATTCTATATTCAGATTTGTCTTTGGCATCCCTATATGAGGTCCTTAGTAACAACAACTGCTACAAAATTAGAGATTCAATGAATTTACGTATTTCTTTAGCAGATCAGAATCTTATTTTTATTAGAAATCGGTTTTTAGAAGTGCAGAAATTGCAAAGTCTATAAGGAACCATGTATAAAACTTAGCCCCCAGAATAAATTTGTAGCCTGAAGGGTAACAGGAGTTAGGTAACTGTTGCTCATAGCCTAAATTCACATGCTGGCTTTTTTTCCTCCAGTGCAGTGCAACCATACAGACGTTTTAGCAAGTTGGGCTATAGCTTCAGTTACCAAATCTCCACCAGCTGGTTTTACTTTAATAAAACATTAAGCTACTGAATATGTCATGCCTTTTTGGTTCCAGCATTTAATATGTATACTGATGTGTGTTGTTCATGGGATATAAAGTAAATAGAGCAATGTATGCAAAATATTTATTTTGAATAATTATGTGGCAACATTTGGATTCTGTAATGTCATTTTTGAAAAACATTCAAGAACATTTTTAGCACATAATGACATTTTAAAAATAGCATTTTTACTATTAAAAGGTCATTGAAAATTGGAAAATGCTAGCGTTTGTGACTGGGAACTCCCTTTTAATTGTTTCAATCAGAAAATAGTCAATGTTGGTTGATGGTTAGCTCATTCTATACACAGATTAGCACATCCTTTCTCTGAGCTCTCAAGTGAGCAGTAAAATGTTCTATTTGAGTGCTCCACTGTTATTTTTTGGGAGGAAAGAAACTTGGATGGTGGTTAGCAGTGGTGTAGAGGCTGAAAGGTAGGGAGTGATAAAGAGAAAATAAATATGGAATAGCCAGGAGGTAGCGGCGGGTAGGAAAAGTAGGGTACACACTGCTGGAGGAGTAAATGAAGAAGGACAAAGCCAGTGTTAGAGGCAAAGGAAACAAGAAGCAGTCCCAAGAGAAAGAATGGAGGCTAAAGGAAAAACAAGCCATATTTACGTAGGAATTGACCGTCACCTACACAATGGACCTCATTGTGTGGCTGTTGGACATTGGGATAAGCCTGAGCTATTACCTGTTGTTCTCATAACAAAGGAACATATAAATTCTGCATTGGGCCAGTCATCCATTTTCCCTATGAGGTCCTTGTGAGAGATACATTCCTAGGAACAATCACTGGTGACTAGATAACTAGATGTCATTTTGGTTGAACCTAAACATCAAACCTGAACCTAAACATCAAACCTAAACATTAAACCTAAACATCAGAGTTGTCAAATGATAGCTTGACCCAGCTGAAGCTTCCTTTCTCCAAAGCCAGTTAGGCTAAATCAGCTTCAGATAAAGCAGGTTGGGAAGATGGCTCTGACTGTCCCTCAACTTCCTACAGTGCTCAAGCCTAAGGCCCTGGTTCCATCACCAGGAAACAAGGGATGTCCAATGTCTACCAACAATGGGACAACAGAGCTAGAACAAGCTGTCCTGGGTTCTCTTCCCAAGCTACCTTACAGGAAGGAAAGACAGCATCTCTAGAGAGAAAGAATAATGTTAGGCCCTTCTGGAACAGCCTTAGGCTCTTGCCATTCCCTGGAGGAGCAAGGAAGAAAGCAAAGATAGGCCGTGCCCACATATGACATGACCTTGATCCCCTCTGAAAGTCCTGACCATCAACGTCCTTAAATTTCAGCAATTCTTCTCTTTATGGGAGTCCAATTTACTTGCTATTGATCCTAGAGAGGTAAGAATCAGGTTAGGGATGAGAAAGGAAGGAAACAGTCTCAACTCCCCCTAGAAACCAGTAGTGCCTCATTTTTAAGTGTTATATAAATATTCTGTGGCCAAAATAAAATGAGGTCTAACAGGTGCAATATTCAGGTCATCCTCGAGTTTTGTAAAGTTTCATTGAACAATATTAATAATTTATGAACTCTTGATCTTTGGATCCAAAGTATTACCAATATTTCAGACTTTGACAGAACTCCTGGATCTGATATGACCATTCTTATTATCTCTGACCCCTTTACCTTCATGATTTTCTTTCTAAATGCTACCTGCCTGCCTGATCACCTTGAAGACCCCCCTGACTCCACTTGGAGGGACCTCACATCTCTAACTCAAGATAAGATTCTTATTGTAAACTTTTAGAGAATTGGCATTTGACTGGCCCACATTTTCTAGTAGAAAAGCTTTTAAATGTTTTCTAAACAACAAAAGAACTATTTACAAGGGACCAATTTAGCAACATTCATTTCCGAAGTCGTTTTCTTTTCATAGGCTGTAAATAAATTTGCAAAATCATGTAGCTTCATGGTAATAACATGACCTGGAAATTACAAGGTAATTAAACTCAAAGCATCTAAGTATAGTACTCCAAGAATAATTTACTTCTGGTGCCAGGAGTCAAGATTTTTTGCTGCTAAGCACTTATGCAAATGAACTAGCACTGAGAGTTTCAAGCTGCCATACCCCAGGAATAATGAGGGTCTGCCTTTGTAGTTGCTGGGTAAAATTGATGACCATGGTGACCACGTGGAATGGAGGCAGTGGTGTTGTAACGATGTTTGGAGATGACTTGTTACAGATGTTTAGTGTGATTTTAAAGCACCTTCCTGGTGGAAGGTTAATACAGGCATCTGAGTGACCTATATAAGTAACTATTGCCCTAAAAGTCAGGGTTGAATCAAACCTGGATGTATTCAAAGGTTTGAAAATGAAGGTGATAGTCTGATGTGTAGCTTGAGTCTTAGTTGGTACTATAGGAAAGGCCTGGAGAGTATTTTTTTCCAAGGTAAAAATAAAAAGTGTTCATATCATACTTTGGACTATCCAATCCCAGTGGGCAAGAACCTGAAGCAAAGCATTCCTCCTAAACCCAAAGGCCAACTGCCTGCTCCAGATCAGCTGGTCAAGAGAACTGTAGTGACTCTTTTGATATAGGCACTATTCTCTTGGACTGTTCGTGTCTTTCTCTCAAGAAGGCTGAAGGGGCTTCTCTTTCTGCTGAAAAGAAAAAAAAAGAGAATACTTAATACCTTTTCATTGTCTGCTCTGGTCTCTTATAAAGACAATAAATAGACATACTCCTTTCCAGCCTACTAAAGGGTTGGTGTTTTCCATGGTGTACTGTGACTTTGTAGTTGAAGTGGCTGTAAATATACTAGGAATAGAGTCAAACGTTGCTGTCTCTTTGGGGCCTCAGGATGGCTGTACTCTCAACCTAAGGTCTCTTCTCTTTTCCAAGTGGTCTCCTCACAGTACTTCTTTCTTCTAAGCTTTGGCTACCTTTTTGCATCTTTCCTCTTCAGGCTTTGGGATAGTAATTGCTCCACTCTTACTCACCTTGGAGAACTACACTATTCCTTGAGGTTTCCCTAAGTCTGCCCCCATCTTTTAAATATCTCCCTCATTTAACCCTCCTTACTAATTTGTAGGGGGGGATTTTTAAGCTAAGTATTTGTTATCGATAACTATTTTAATTATTAAGAGCAGGCGATCTGAGGAATACTAATTCTTTGTGGTTTTTAAAATTTTATTTTCTGTAATTTGTAAGCTAAAATATGGTCCATTTTAATAAAAGATCCATGAATGTTTAAAAACAAGTCATTTTCTGTATATGAAATGCAGGGTTCTACATACATTCATTATATAAAACTTTTACAAAAAATAATAATTGCCAACATTCTATTGAAAATATCCAAATTTGAAGCACTCCCAGAACATAAAAAATTCTCCAATAAAATGCAGTAATGTGTGATTAAAAAATGTAGTCAGCCCCCTAAGTTCCTAAAGAGAAAGAGATGATAAGCTCTGTTGAGTAGAAAATTAAGCCAGTGGACAGATGAATCCTGGACAATCTGTGAAGTTTGCTTACAGGCTCAGTGACTAACTAGTTCACCTGGGTCAGACCCTCAGAACTCCAGAATTCAGAAAAATTGCATATAGCTACATGCCATAGATGTTTGGTGCACTCATGAGTAATCAGACCTGCAAGTGTCCAATCCATGAATATCAAGTGACCTATATCTTGTGAATCTAGTTGCATGTGCCACTGGCCTAGGCACACAGAGCTGTGATAACAGGCACAGTCACAGCTGCTCAAGGACTGGTGTGAATGTACATTTATGGGGCATGGAGATAAGAGTATCTGGCATGTGGACCACAAGTCGCATGCATGCTATGGCTGCAGCAGGCCTACGGGGACAGAACAGATGTGTTTATATAAACCACAGAGAGCAGACAGAGAAAGGTGAACAACTCCCAGGTGTCTACATTTCTAGTTATTTAGGTCTTCACTTTTGAAGGCTGTTGTTGTAAGGCTAGTATCTATTTAAAGAATCAAGCTAGATTAAACTTTTAATTATGTTCAAAGCTTTTATATATTTTTAATAATTTTGTCTGCTTGATTTACTAGTGACTAAAAGAGATATAATCAAACTACCACTCGGATGAGCAATCCCATTATTGGGTATATACCTGAAGGAATATAAATTGTTCTATCATAAAGACATAGCACATGTATGTTCACTGCAGCACTATTCACAATAGCAAAGACATAGAATCCACCTAAATACCCATCAATGGTAGACTGTATAAAGAAAATGTGGTACATATATACCATGGAATACTATGCAGCCATATAAGGAAACAAGATCATATCCTTTGCGGGGACATGGATAGAGCTGGAGGCCATTATCCTTAGCAAATGAACACGGGAACAGAAAACCAAATACCACATGTTATCACTTACAAGTGGGAGCTAAGTGAGAATACATGACAAAGAGAGAGAAACAACACACACTGGGGCCTATCAGAGGATGGAGGGTGGGTGGAGGGAGAGGATCAGGAAAAATAACTAATGGATACTAGGCTTAATACCTGGGTGACAAAACAATCTGTATAACAAGCCCTATGACACAAATTTACCTACATAACAAAGTTGCACATGTACCCATGAACTTAAGAGTTAAAAAATTCATTATGACTGTGTTTGTCAATTTCTGCCTGGAGCCTCTTTTCTTCATCAATATAACTTATCTGTCATGTATCCCATTTCCTGATCTTGGTTTTCCAAAGTGACAGTTACCTTTTCAGTCGACTTACCCTAAAATGTTATTGATTTAAAAGGAATTAATAGGTTGTCTGAATCCACAGGCTATATCTAGAAACACCCTCAACTTACAAACAGGTTCAGTTCTGAAAGATTCTATTCGTAAGTGTAAGAGACCACTAATCCCTTTTGTGGCCATATTTAATGTGCTTTTGGTCTGTTGTGTATCTCTGCTCATATTTATAGCCAATGGCATCAATGAGAGTTCCAGTGTTGAGACTGTAATTAAGGGACCTTCTCAAATTGTATGTCTCCTCCGCTATGAGGAATAGATGAAAGGTATGTTGAGTCCTGGCAGACACATACATGCAAATCTCCATTTAAGAAAGGTGTCCTTGCTTGGCAATGAGAAGTATGGATAGCTGATAGCCCCCAGCTATTATCTCCTTCCAGTCAACTCTAGCTTTTGAGCCAAAGTTGTGCTTTTTCTGGGGTGGCACTGACCAAAAACTGAGCAGCACAGTGGTACAAGGGCTTTCTGCCCAATGCGGGACACCCCTAAAGGGCAATCTGTACTCTGCAGTACCCAACTGAACCACCAGATCTGTGTATTGTCTGAAGGCTCTCCCTACCCAATTCTACTTTCCCCCTCTTCCTTTCACACGTTTTACTTTACAATGCATCTTCTACATTGCTGACTCAGTCTTTGCATCTACTTCCCAGAGGACTCAGCTGATACCGGAACTAACTAAAAATGTCCATTCCAGTCTAATTCTCTTACTTCCTCTCCATGCTGTGTCAGTAATCCTTCTGTAAGATTGAAGATTTTGTTTCAACATTGGAATCAGTTTGTATCTCAACCTGTGAAGTGATGCACCTAATAGATTTGTCAACAGGGTCAAGAAACCGTGGGTTCAGAATACTCGTGCAAACCTTACTCAGTCTCATGGTATTCTCCCTGAGTAAACTCAATAGCAATGAGGCACAAGTGTTATATTACAGATGCCATTGATCTCTTATAAGGTACTGGAAGGAAATGATTCATTGATTCCATTCAGGAATGCCACTCCACATCCCTAGGAGGAGAATCTGTGCAGGGAGAAGCAGATTTTTAATCAGTTTTGATTCCGAATGGGAAGTGTTTGTTTTGAGATCTTGGACTCCATCTATATCTTTACTATTCTTAAAATTGTTATGAATAAAAAAGGAAGATTAGGAAACTGTGTTTGGGTAGAAAAGGAGAGGCAGAGTGAAGTGGTGTTAATTCCAAGGCAAGAGGCACCTGGATTGCTAAGAAGCTTGAAGGAAGAAATGAGGATAACAGCAAAATCTGCCCTTAGATTACCTGCATCATTCATAGGAATGACATCATGTGACCTAAATGCACATAAAGATGTTCTCACCATCCACTTCATAGGAATGTATAGACTTTTAGAATTCTAGCTTCACTCCAGTAGCAATATCCCAACATAATTGTGGATATACCACGAATACACAGGGTAAGTAAATATTATGAGATGGAGGTAAGTGATGTTATCAGGCTAGTGCTGATGGCTTGGTGGGAAACATCCAATATGGCGTTTCTAAAGAGTGGATCAAATATGCCATTCATCACAACCTTTTCCTTTGGTAATGCTCAAATGAAGCTGGCCAGACTCATACCTTTAAGCTATTTTAGTCTCCATGTTAAGCTAGAAACAGCTAGACTGTGATTCCCCCTGATTAGGAGAAAAGTGTGTGTGTGTGTATGGGGGTGGGTGGTGCTGGGGGGGTAGTGATGGTGCTAGTAGCAGAAAGTGAGGAATTCAATAAGCAAGGATTCATTTACCACCTTGGGGTCTCTATTAAGTCTATTAAAGTGATCATAGACTTAATAGTTATTTGGAACCAGTCTCCTTCCCCCACTCTCCATATGTCCTGGAGGTAATTCTAGATGCCCAGGTAGAGAAGTGCCTGAGAAGGGTCAGTGGGTCACCTTGCTGTTATTAATCACTTGCAGAGACTAGTTCCCCAGAGCTCTCTCAGCCCTGACCCAGCATGATCTATAGTATCTTACAGCAACAAGGCATGTGAAGCTTTAGTTCCTCCTTGCACATCTTTCTTCTCCAAATGTCAGCCTCAGAGAACCATCCTGGAGAGAGGAAAAAAACTATGTCTCTTACATTTTCGTCAAAACAAAAGCAACATTTATACGTGCATTTTTAAAAAGAGGATTGCAATACCCCTTTTTTAATTTGGGTAGGTAGGTAGTATATAAAATGGAGATCATGTATAAATAACATTAGGGTATACTTTTATATTTCTCTCCCATACCTCAAAAGATTGTTTAATGAGCCCTTAATTGGCATGTCATTGCTACTTATCTGTCACGACTTATGTATGAGCACTTGCCAAAATGTATTCCCTGGAACCCAAGTCCTTTGAGATGCTCATGAAGAAACAATTTGGTTTCAGTTTGGTCTTGGAATTTGCTGAACACCATCCCTCATTTGTTAAAGGGTCTGAGGAGTCCTGCAGTCAAGACGCCTAGTTAACTTGGTTGAATCTAGTGTTTCCTAACCTTGTTTGATGATGGAATCCTTTGTGCATGTGTGTGTTACATTTATTAATATTCCTAATACTTACTATAGCTGTGTGCTGAGGACATACAGTATAGTGACAAGAGCCTGTGCACTTAGCACTTGGGTTTGAATCTCAGCTATGCCATTTACTGACTATGTGACGTTGGACAAGTTTATTATCCTTTCTCTGCCTCAGGCTTTTCATTTGAAAAATGAGAAGAATAATTCTGCATTAGGGTTGCTGTGAGGTTCAAATGAATCCATATATTTAAAGTGCTTAATAGAATTCTTGTCACCATGAAGTTTCCTGTTATTCTTGTGGCTTTCTGTGTTCATAATCAGAAAAAAAACTTGGGCCTAATAATAGCAATAAATAAGAAGTGAATGTAATTTTACAGTTGACAGATTTTTCTCAAATATGCAAACTTAATCTTCAAATCAATCTTAAAAAGGAGGAATTATTATTGTTACGCTCATATTACAGATTAGGAAAGAAAGGCTAAGAAATTTGGAGTGTGTTTTACAAATGGACAGTAAAGAGGAGGGACAGGAATCAAACATGAGTTTCTTGATGTCGGATCTTGTACCTTTTCTACCAAATAGATTTGGTTTTCCTGTGATTCCAAATTAGAATGTTAAAACTGTTCATTTAGAATAGCTGAGGTCTCCCTTTCCCAAGACATACAGCTTAAATCACTTTAAATAAACTGGATTAAATACACAAGTTAAAAATTAAAGGCATTAGAGCAGGTGAAGTGTAAGAAAAGCAAATAAGATAAGTACTTTCTAAGAGTGATAAAGCTCCTAGCTAGTATTACAGGAGGATGAAGAGCACTTACATGGGATGTACATACAATCATCAGGTTATAAACTGAAAATCAGCACATATAATCTGAGTAAGAATCATTATGCTTCTTTCACATGCAAAAGATAACTCTAGATGTTGACATACTCAATTTCTATGACAGTTTGATAGTTATGGGGACAATGAAACTGAAATCTAGATTTCAGTTGAAAAGAACTGATTGATCCTCATTTAGTATAATTTATGATCTCCTTTAGAGCCATGCAGAATCAAAAATTCAGAGAGATCAAACGTCAGGCACTTAATGTTACCTAGAAAACGTAAACTCTTGTCCTGGAGCTCCTTACACTAGTATGGTGCTATCATTGGTAACTCATATTTGGGTCTCCAATTAATTCTGGGATACCTAGGTGATCTTTGGAACATGCTTAGGGATTGATTTCAGGGGTGCTCTGCCAAACTAGCCTAAATGTTTGTACAACACATTTTTAAAAGGTAGAACTAATGGAGGGTGGGAGTAGAACCATAATTCTATTAATTTGCCTTTTGTCATCTTATAACCAAACGATCTCATCATGGGTTAGATCTGTGGTGGTAAAACATTAACAAAATCAAGTAAAATGCCTGTGTGGAGGTGTGGGCAAGAAAAGGGGAAAAAATTCCTTCTGCCGACATGACAGTGTCCAATGATGTGACACTAGATTGGTCCAATGCCACAAATGAAGAGTCACATGACCCTTTTCCTTTAAGTCACTGTAATTAGATTTTCATGTCCCTTTCCTCCACCCTCCTTCCCACCAAAAAGAAAGTTTGTCTTTCCTTGTGAACTACTTTGCTTCTTTTGATTAAAACATGGGATCTATTTCTTGTTTTGCTTTGCCTGCCAGGGATCTCAGAGCTAAACTTGGTGCCAAATAAGAGTCATGATTGCACACATGTGAAACCTGGTGCTGTTCCTACCCCCTTTGCAGCCATGATTCCTTATATTGATTTCTTTCTATATTAATTTGGATATTTGTGTAATGATACTGATTTGTTTTTTTTTCTGTTGGTAGAAATGAGAGTGAAATGAATGAAGAAAAGACAGATGAAAAGCATAAATATTTTCAACAATGAGAATTGAAAAATTAAAGCTATCTTCTCTTCTTTAGGACTCAATTAACCAGAGCCCTTCTCCTCCAAACATGTCACTTAATGAGACTGTTACTACAATAATTACACTTAAACATAGGCATCGTGAGAAAAATGAAAATTATGTTCAGATGGGGACATGGAAGAATGAGAAGACTGAACCAAATCAATACCTGTTGACTTTTAAGAAACAGAGAAAACAATTAAGGTAACCAATTTGCCAAATAGAGGCACCTTGATACCTTCATCTGAGAGCAACCAAAAAGACAAAGAGAACTGAAAAGTGAATAAAGGGAGAAAGTATCTACATTACACAGGTTCATGTAGAGGGCACTCTCTTAATTACAACTTTCTGAGACATTTCACCTGACTCTCAGGTCTTTGTATTTCCAGTCACTTTTTAAATGTTTTTGTTTTGGTTTTTGTTTTGTCCCCAGAGCACAAGAAAGGAAATCTCTGGGACACCTGAGGAGACATTTCAGAGGAGAAAGAGAATCAATTTCCAAGTAATTTGGAATGGAAGCAAGTCTGGCCGCATTCTTTATCTGGGAGCTCCTCTAAAATCCTCCCACCACCACCAGGGTTTGATGGTTAGGAGACTTAGCAACAGAAAGAGTAAAAAGAGAAAATAAGCAGCGAAGCCTGTGCTTCCATCTCCCCAGGGCATGCCGAAATATTCACTCCTAGTTCTTCTTCAGGTGTCTCCTGATGCCTATGGTTTTGATATTGCTATTTTGTCATCATTGTTTAATTTCGGATCCTGGTTTGCAAACTTGCATCTTTCTGAAGACCAGTAATGATTTCTACGTTTCAACGAGCTATTAAGTGTGTATGTGGGGGGCAAGTGGAATTGCTGCTGAATGCATAAATTGATTTGCACCTACAATTTGCATTTATTCTGTGGGTATATTTGCCACTAATGTTGTGACTGAACTGCCATAATGAAGATTAATTATATAAACATTTTTTGCTGACTTTGTGAGCAGCTGAGTTGGTTGTTTTGCTTGATTTTCCAAGCTTGGTGCTTAAGAGTATGATAGGAAACATTTCTTGGATTTGCTCAGCACCTTCATAGATGACGTGCCCCAGACCAGTCTTATCTAATAAACATTTGTGGTGAGCTTTTCACTGGCTACACTGTTTCTGCTTACTTGATTACAAAAGAAGAAGTAGAAGACCACTCAGTTCTTGGAATTTTGCAAACATTTGAATTTTGGCAGGATTCCCCAGAATAAAATAAGAATTGTGCTTCTTATGTGGGCATGAATTGTACTCTACACAAAAGAAAGGACAATTTGTTCAGTTTTCCTCACTCAACCAATATTGGCCTAGACCTTCCAAACACTTGGAACTGGAGAAGGTTAGGCTCTCAGAGGCTCTATTTTCTTCTTTGTAAAATGGGGACAATTACAGTATCTGCCTCTCTGTGCTTAAGGGACTACTTGCATCAGCATTGCTGAGGTGCATGCTAAAAATGCAATGTAGGGGCCCAACTTAAGTCACACAAAATCAGAACCACTGGGGTGAAGCCTGGAATATCCAGTTATGGATCAGGGGGGCCCCTCTACTGTCCTTTGGGATTATAGAGAACTCCTGGGACATTTACACGACCCCCACAATGCTAACTAGAAAGACCTCTGGTTGTCAGCACATCGTGGTCACTGCTGTAGAATTCATTGTTCAAACCCCTCTCTGCATTCAAAGACGGCAGCTCTGCCGTCTTTGGTATGGTGGTTCATGCCTGTAATTCCAGCAATTTGGGAGGCCAAGGCAGGCAGATCACCTGAGGTCAGGATTTCAAGACCAGCCTGCCAACATGGTGAAACTCAATCTCCATTACAAATACAAAAATTAGTCAGGCATGGTGGCAGGCACCTGTAATCCCAGCAATTTGGGAGGCTGAGGCAGAAGAACTGCTTGAACCCCGGGAGGTGGAGGTTGTAGTGAGCTGAGATGGTTCCACTGTGCTCCAGTCTGGGCAACAGAGCGAGACTCCATCTCAAAAACAACAACAACAACAAAAACAAAAAAAAAACAAAAAAAACAGAAGGCAGCTCAGATATTTCTGCAATCAAGTTGGAGTGGGAACTATTTGACAAGGATCCAAAATCCCTATGGCCAGATGTTTTAGGCCTTTGACATTCATTGCTACCTTAGATGAAGTATTGGTCTAAGGAGTGCGGGTGACTTCCCAGGCTCCCTCAAACCCGTCACTACCCCCAGCACCAGCTTACCTCCCTGAGCATCTACTCCCAAACAAAGCTACTGTTTCTAGGTTGGTAGGTAACAGCTGTTTTCACTCCTGAAAAACAAACTCAGGCTTAATGAACTCTGAAAGCAAGAAAGCCCAGATTTGGCAAACAAAGCCTTATAACCTGTGTGTGCTGGGCCTAGAGAAAAATACCCCTTGTTTTTTTCAAGTCCCATATGTGAGCCAAAACAAAGCATAATGTACTATTTCCAGAAATGTTCTTGCCTTGCTTGGAGCTGAATTCACTTTCCTAATGTGTAGTTGGTGCATTAGTCAGAGTCCGGGAAACAGAGGGCAAAGGTGTGGAAGTACTGTGGAGAAACCACAGAAATATCCAGTTTCCCAAGGTTTATTAATAGGAGGGAGCAGTGATCATCCACTGGCCTGAAGGAGCAAGAAGAAGAAGCATTTATGGGGACTTAAAGACAAAGAGACTGGGTGAAAGGGAGGCTTCATGTCCATTTCGTTAAGGGGTACTGCTTGAAGGAAATAACTTCCCTGATCTCACACTGGAACCTGGAGGGGCAAGAGAACCCATGCTGGCCAACTCAGGGCAGGGAGCACAGTACAGAAGGATGGAGAATGGATGAGGAGGGGCAACGAAAGACATCCACTCTGGTTTTTTTCACATTAGCTGACGTTCCCTGGGTACTAATCATGAGTATTAAAAAATGCCAGGCACTGTTCTAGGCATTTTATATACACTATATAATTTAACCCTTACAACAGTGTTGTGGGGCAGACACGATGATTTTAGGGGTGAGAAATGGAGGCTCAGAGAAGTTAAAGAATCCATGTCTTTTGGGCTTCAAAAGTCATTTCATAATCAGGAGACTAACTTTTTCTATGGAATTGACAGATCAAACAGCCATATTTTTGCTCGTTTGCCAGTAGGTGGTATAGCTGATCCTCTAGGTCTAGACTCACAGCTGGTTGGGGAACTTCTTGTTATCGTTAGCTGTCATTAAGGAAGCTCAAATCTAGCAGGCAGTGATGCCCTGCTTTCTCTCTTTGGCCCTTATTTGCTTTATTTTTATATTTGTTTCTTAGCTTGTAAACTTTCGTTTCAGAGTATAACATGCATGCAGAAAAGTACTCAGATTTGAGTGTGAATCCTGATGAATTTCCACACTGTAAATCCACTAACCAGCACTCAGAACAAGAAACGGAATATTTCAGCCCTACATGGTCTCTGTGCCCCATTTAGTGCCCAGCTGCCCTCTGTACTCGTGATTTCTAATCACATCACATTAGTCTTTAGTCCTTGTTGAGACTCAACAAGGAGATGAACAATAGTTATTTTATACTTAATGCATAGTTATTAATGATTTATTGTGCTAGATCAGCAGTTGATAAACTATAAGCCAAACACAACCCACTGCCCATTTTTGTTAATAAACTTTTATTGGAACACAGCTACGCCCATTTGTTTACGTATTATCTGTGGCTGCTTTCATGCTGCAGCTGCAGAGGCGAGTAGTCCCAACAGAGACCGTATGGTCCACAAAGCCAAAAACATTTACTATCTGGTCCTTTAAAGTAAAAGTTTACCACCCTCTGTGCTGGAGGATGGGCACAGAATGGTGAAAAACTGACTCAGTCTGTGTCTTCAAGATGTTTATGATCTGATGGAGGAGATTAATATTAAATAAGGAAGTATACAAATAAATAATATACAGTGACAAGCGCTCTGAAAGAAAAGGTCAGAGTGCCAAGTATGAAACCAAGGAGGACCCTAGAGACCATCTACTTTGTGCAATCACATGTTTCAGAAAGTCTACCTGTCCTGGCATAAGGCAGGTTTTGTTTTACCTGAACAGGGACAGTATGAATCCTGTGGAAATATGGAGTGTATAGGTGAGGAGGCTGGTGAGAATCATTTTCCAACACTCAGCATTCCCAGGGGAGGTGAGGCGGTACAGAAGATCACATTTGAGGCACGTTACACAGTTGCCCCCAACATTATTGCCCATGTCTACTTAATAACGGGATGTCACCTCACCTGTTCACCTTTCAGCTGGACACTAGAACACGCTTCCTGTCTTTCATTACCCCGTGACCTTTCCTATCAGCAGCCCGTGGCTGTGAATTCTTTATCCCTGGGAACTTGGCTGCCACATGTGATTCTGATGGAAGATGGAATGAAGCCGTTGGCTGAGCCAGCAGGTGCAAGCTTCAAGGGAGTACGGTAGGTTCCCATTTAATATTGTTGGAAAAGGTTTTATTTCGTTTGTACCCCTGAGGGGTTTGCAAGTGAACATTTGGGCTTGCCTGTGAAGGAGGAAACTTGTACTGTCTTTCCATCCTTGCCTGGTCTGGAATTGAGAACAGAAGACCTATGGGGGCATCAAGGAGGGAAAGTAGTAGGGGCAGAGATGCTGCCACGAAGAGCCTCCAGGCCTGCCGGGGGCGATCTCTTGGGTTTTGTGGTGTGATTTGTTGAAATGTTTTCGTTTTCTTTCATTCTCCATTAGATATTTTATTGAGGAGAAAAGTACCCTCACTGGGCAGACATTTCAGTCCCCCTAAGTTGCATTAGTAGCTCTGAAAGGATCATCTTTGCAGCTGGTTATTGGAACAGGTATCCTCAAACCCTCCCTAATTGCAGGCTAGCAGCCCTTTGAGCTTTGTGTGTTCTCAGTGCATCTGCAACAGCAGAGCATGACTTTGTCTTCCTGAGCTGCCTGCTAAAAGGAAAACAAACCTGGGTATGATGATCTTGTCTCTCCCTAAACAAAAAGCCTCAGAGAGACTGAGAACATGGACAAGAGAGGCAGAAATCATGCTTACTTTACAGAACGAGGGATCCTTTAAACCAGAACGGCAAAACCTCCAGGCAAATTTTCGTGCACATAACTCAAATCCAAGTAGACATCAATAATAAATCATTGAGCTTCTTTCTGCTAAGCCTGGATATGCCTCAGACTCATTCTTTTTTTTTTAATGTTATTATTGTTATACTTTAAGTTTTAGGGTACATGTGCACAACGTGCAGGTTTGTTATATATGTATACATGTGCCATGTTGGTGTGCTGCACCCACCAACTCGTCCTTTAGCATTAGATATATCTCCTAATGCTCTCCCTCCCCCCTCCCCCCACGCCACAACAGTCCCTGGTGTGTGATGTTCCCCTTCCTGTGTCCATGTGTTCTCATTGTTCAATTCCCACCTATGAGTGAGAACATGCAGCGTTTGGTTTTTGTCCTTGCGATAGTTTTCTCAGAATGATGGTTTCCAGTTTCATCCATGTCCCTACAAAGGACATGAACTCATCACTTTTTATGGCTGCATAGTATTCCATGGTGTATATGTGCCACATTTTCTTAATCCAGTCTATCGTTGTTAGACATTTAGGTTGGTTCCAAGTCTTTGCTATTGTGAATAGTGCCACAACAAACATACGTGTGCATGTGTCTTTATAGCAGCATGATTTATAGTCCTTTGGGTATATACCCAGTAATGGGATGGCTGGGTCAAATGGTGTTTCTAGTTCTAGATCCCTGAGGAATCGCCACACTGACTTCCACAATGGTTGAACTAGTTTATAGTCCCACCAACAGTGTAAAAGTGTTCCTATTTCTCCACATCCTCTCCAGCACCTGTTGTTTCCTGACTTTTTAATGATCGCCATTCTAACTGGTGTGAGATGGTATCTCATTGTGGTTTTGATTTGCATTTCTCTGATGGCCAGTGATGATGAGCATTTTTTCATGTGTTTTTTGGCTGCATAAATGACCTCAGACTCATTCTTAGCTTTGTATTTCTGGTAGCTACTATCAGGTATAAAACACAAGCTTAAACAGATTTACCATTCCTAATTTAAGTAATCACTATTGAATAGACAATATGTTATGAATAACATAATTGCTAATATGTATTGAGTGTTTATTATGTACCAGGCTTTGTTCTAAGTGCTTAACATGGATTCTCTCATTTAATGTAAACCACATGATTACAGGCTTTGTTTGGATTATTGCTGCATTACCAGTACCTAGAAGAATTCATGATACATTGTGAGTGCTTAAAAAATACTTATCTAGGTCAGGCGCAGTGGCTCACATCTGTAATCCCAGCATGTTTGGAGGTTGAATGGGGAGGATCGCTTGAGCCTAGGAGTTTAGACCAGCCTGAGCATCATAGTGAGACCTCATCTCTACAAAAAAAATAAAAAATAAAAAATTAGCTGAGCATAGTGGTGCACGCCTGTGGTCTCAGCTATTCAGGAGGCTGAGTTGGGAGGATCGCATGAGCCCAGGAGGTTGAGACTGCAGTGACCCATGATGGCACTATTGCACTCCAGCCTGAGTGACAGAGTAAGACTGTCTCAAAAAAAAAAACTTATTTAAATTAATTCTAAAAACAAGTGTTATTCCCATATTCCAGAAGAGGAAACTGAGGCCCAGAAAGCTTAAGTAATTCTCCTAAGCCAGTACGAACTGTGGCTATGATTTGATACTGCTTTATTATTTTACTTATACTTTTAACCACTTTGCTGCTTCTCACAGTAACTGTTTGATATCTCTTTTCTTATTTCTTAATGTACAATATGTTGGTTATTGAGGCTTCTGGCTTCTTTTTAATATTCTAGCTTCCATCATTTTTGGTACTTTAGAGACTTATCTCTCTGAAACAAAAGAATTGGGAAGAGTGAGAGTTGAAATCTAAGTGCCTATGGGGTTCAGCCAGAAACATAAATGAGTGAGGCAGGCCAGGTGGACAGCCTGGGGATGTGACAAGAACTTACCCTCTGGGAAGCTGCTCTCAGGTCCAGCAATTGCAGCTGTGGAGGATGCAAATCAATGTTGTCAGGTCATCCTGTTTTTCAAGAGAAGTACAACATCTAGATTTTGATATGAAAACTGCAAATGGAAATATCCGTATGAAATATCTCAAATATAAAATGTGGACAACAAGGCAATCTAAAAAACAAAACCAAAACATAGCAAGTCAATTTAAACATCTCCATATGCTCAATCTAGCCCATTGATCTGTAGTTAGCAAGCTATAGGAGAGAGTGAAGAAATTGAAATAGAAGTATAAGTGGCTTTAGATAACTGATCCTGTAGTTCTTGTTTAAAAAAAAAAAAAAGAAAAAAGAACATGATGAAAGACAGGTTGTAACTATTTAAGATCTTATAGTAGGGATTTCTAGGAAACAGAGCTACAATAATCATAGTATCACAATACTTTTGCATAGTGCTTCATATTTTTCAACTTGCTTCTATATATGCATTTAAATCTCCCTGCAGATCATTTTGATGGCTCAATCACTCAGTCAATATTAAGCAGCAGAATTTAGGAATAGACCCCGATCTCGCGATTCTCAACCTGGTTTTCTTTTAGCTCTACACATCCTGAGCAGTGATAACTGACCATCAATATTTGCAATCCTTACAGGCTTGTGCTTTTTTATCTCATACAGACAGGAGATAAAATACTAGGATAAGGGACAGAGCTCACGCCTGATTACTGATGGAGAGAAACAGGACAATCATTTGAGGATACATATATGATTGCTAAAGCTTGTTATTCTTGGCAGATCGAGATTGTTGATTTCCATGTGGTCCTCCCTAAATAATCTCTAATTACAAAAATACGCGCCTAGCAAAGGCTGAATAAATAATGTAATTGCGGCATAATCATTGTGTACATTCCTAAACACTCACCTAATGACTAGTAGTTTTAGAATTTGGTACTCCAAGTGCAGCTATTGCCAGCCAGAGCTGAAATGTGGCATGTTTTGCATGCTCCACGGAAATCATTTTAAATTAAGTGGATTTGAAAAATCATTACATGGAGGCAGATTTTTCTGATCACTTGGCCTGTGTGGGCCTCTCAAATGTCAGTTCTGTGCAGAAAGGGCTCGTGGCATTTGATGCCTTTCTGCCAGGTTGTGTATTTGACAGCTGTTCTGGGGTGTCTTTTCCCAGCCACTGGCCTGGCTACTGTCATAAAACCAATTAAAGTTGCAGGCAATTAATGTTATTTTCCTCAAGTGCTCCTGGAAATGCTTATATCATGTAGCACTTCAGCATGAAATCCGTGACCTTTGGAAATGCATGCACAGGAAGAGCAAATAAGCTTGGCTATGCATGTACGGTGTGCCATTAAGTTACGAAGAATATGAAAACAAATTGTAGTTGCTGGGTGCAGAGATGTCCGTGGAGCACTTTATATCCTAGGATTCTTAGAAATGAAGATATGTGTTCACACCAAAACCCAGATAAACCATAAAGGGGTGGTAGGTATACCGAACAGCAAAACATTTGCATATGTTCAGCAAATTATTTAACAAAACTTATGAACTGAAACACATTCAGAAAGGGGCTCCATGACTAGTAGTTTGTACCTGTTTTACCACATTTTAAGAAGGATATTAAACTGAAAATGAAAAGGAAAACCTGCCACTTTAGGAAGGGTTAGAGACAACAGAGCTGTTTAATCTAGAAAGAGAAGATTTAGGTATAAGGACAGCAGAGTTATCCTTCATTAGGTAAAATGAACTTTCCATGAGAAAGTTTGTCTTATTCCCTAAGTTATCCCAACAGATTTTTTTGTATCCCTTGGTTGAGGAGGGGACCTGGAGCATAGTAGGTGATAAATAAAAGTGTATTAAATAAGAAAGAATGGGACACACCATATGGTTGGGTATTATTTACCCATTCAGTTAAAAAGAAATGAATATATAAAAATAGCTGTTCCATGCAATATGTGGTTTGTGAGGTATGCTCCCTGTTATCTGCATAAGCCAGAGCTACAAGCTGGTAGCTTATGGACTGTCACTTACATATGCATGGGTACTGTTTGCCTATTCAGTATTTTCTTAATCGTTGATGTTTAAAAAATTTTTAATTGAGATGCTTGCTTGTGCACTCCTGCTCTTGCTCTCGTGCATGCTCTCTCTCTCTCGCACACACAAACACACAGAAACACACACACACCCCACACTTACACACCGCCCTTATCCTGCATTTTAACAATTGCCTGGAGCTGCACAGCTGGGGCATTAGCTTTTTGGTTCTTATCAGACCTCACTACTCCCTGTTGTTTTAGACTGAGCTCCATTTCACTCACTGATCTGGCCTTCCTTGCCCCTGAAGATAGCTGAGCTTGCCAACCTTAGTTTAAGCAGAGGCAGCAGTCAACCATGTATCATGGGAGTATGTATGGCAGACACACCTGATAGCAGTAATGTAACTTAAGCATACCCTGACAGTGACCCTTATGGAAGATGCACCTGATAGCAATAACATAAGCATACCCTGAGAATGCAGACGCACCTGATCTGTATAAACTGCATGCTTTTTACAAATGGTAATGGTTCTCCTGTCCAGCCCACTGCCACTGCACCAACCTGTATGTAAGTTCCTTCAATAAATCCTAGTCTCTTTCACTGGCTCTGGGTCTCTTCTTTGGCCTCTGTAAGATGACTTCAATAGGGGCCTGGCATGACAATTTGCACACCAGCCAGGAGGTCAGAGAAAGCTACATGAGCACCAAGACAATGGGACTGGGAAAGGGGGAAATATGAGGGAGAAATCTCAGGCTGGCTGTCCATGCCTGTGTGGGACCTGATAGCCACTACTCTTGATGGACAGGATCCAGTGTGTGAGCACAGGGATGCCCTGAAAACACTGAAGGGCCTGGAAGAGTTGGTGCAGGCGTTGATCTATCTGAGTAAAAGTGAGATGCTGGAGCTGTGGCAGCCATGGTTGGCTGGCTGCTCCTGACTGCGATTTGACAGCCCCTGAAGCTAATCCTGTAGCGCAAGCAAGGGTGTGTCAGTTACAGGATGAACTATGACTAGAAAGAGGTTCCAGATTAGTTCAGGCTGAAATCTCAGAGACCTTACTATCCCACATGGAGGGTGACAAAATGGAGACCCTGGCTTGTCAGGTAGCTCATCTAAAGGATTGCCAGAAGTGATGTTAACGAGTTAGGGCTATCATGACTAGATTGTCCTGGGACCCCATGGAGGAGACTGAGGACTGGGACAAGCCTATAGAGGTTTCTGTCCTCTCTGTCCGTCTCGTAGTCACTACAAAGATAAAAGCAGGCCAGTTGCCCCCACAGGGAGCAGACCTGCAAAACTTGCTCCCACCTGAAAGATGGCAGCACATCACAGTGTGGGACTACACTGCTGTGGAATGGGTGGAACTGGGAAATAGGTTCAGACAGAAGGGGAGAGAGTCGACTGAGGGATGGCTTCTCCGTCTGTGGGACATGGAAATGGAGGGTGTTATCCTGTCAATACTGGAGATAAGTAAAATGGCATCCATCCCAAACCACCTGGCCCTGAGGCAGTGCCTCTATGGCACCAATAATGAAGATTGGGCCAATTCCTTCCTTGACTGTGTGGTTGCCGGCTGCCAAGCAGCCTGGCCAAGGAAGAAGACATCCTCACGTTTCCTTTGCAATGGTAGACTATGAAGGAATGGCAGGACATCCTCCGGGAATAAGGGATGAAGCGTGCTGTCTGTGTTAAGCATTACTGAGGTACTGATCATGAGATTTTCACTGCCAGCAGGAAAGGCATCATCTTACGGTTGGCACCCAGCCAATGGTATGGCACACTGGCATGTATCCTGAGTTCCTTGGTAGGACAGCCAGTGTCTTGAGCTGCTGACTTAGGGGAAATGCAGAAACTGCATAGGCAAAGGAGGGCGTGCTGTCAGGACGAAAGGCAAGGGAGCTAAAGGAAAGCAGACAGCCCAGGGGCCCATCAGGGTGACCCCTGACAAATGTTGCACAACTCTAGTCACTTTGAAATATACAAAATATTGTTGCTAAGTATAGTCATCCTGATTCTGCTATCAAGCATTAGAACAATGGATCTTTACCATCTTACCCCAGGGACACCACCGTGGAGTGGGTACATGTTTTCCATTAACTTCTGAGTCTTTTTCCAGTTTACAAACTGCAGCCCCCACCTTGCTGTCTCACTTGGTGAACAGAGGATGGGTGGTCAATGCAGGCAAAGTCCAGGGTCCAGGCTTATCAATCAAATAATTGGGTGTCATCTTGTCGGGTAAGACTAAAGTTGTTCCGGCTGCTGTTATGGATAAGGTGCAGGCCTACTCATGTCCCAGGACACCAAAGCCGTTGCAAACCTCCTTCTTAGGCCTTCTAGGGTATGGGCATCCTTTTAGTTCCCATTTGGCCCAACTCCTTCAGCCCCCATACTGCTTAGTCAAGAAGGGGGCCCAATGGGACTGGTCCATAAATCAGGATGAGGCCTTTGAACAAGCTAAAGTCTCAGTGAAACAAATAAAAACCTTGGGAGTTCTAGTGCAGGGACAGCCTTGTGAATTGGATGTAGCCCGTCCCCCTGAGGGATTTGAGTGGGGCCTATGGCAAAGGAAAGAACATAAACAGGTGACTTTAAGGTTCTGGTCCCAACTATGGAAGAGGGCTGGAGTTAGAAAAATGTCACTTTGGAGGCAACAACTCTGTGCTGTATATGCGTTACAACAAGTGGAGGACATTACAAAGGGGGTCATGGTACATGCTCAGTACTCCTTAGCAGGTTGGCTAAGAGATAACTTCCAGGAACCAAAGTCTGGGAATGCCCAGACACAGACTGGCCAAATGGCATGCATGACTGCCACAGAGGAGTGCACTAACTAATAGCCCCTTGAGCAGAGCCCCATTTTGTGCTTGGCCCTGTCACCTATGTGACAACTGAAGGACAGTTTTTGACGGAGGCTACTGACCCTCCACGGATTCCTTCCTTTGTACAGGCCTGGCACACAGCTTGTCTCAAGGCAATCCTTGCGCTTGGACAGTTGTGGCCATCTGGCCATCCACTGATAGGATCTGGTTTGATACAGGCAAAGGACATGGTAGCCAATGGGCTGAACCACGAGCCACCTGGATGATTCTTCTCCATTAGTGGACCTGATAGTCCTGTGAACCAATGGCTGGGTGGTCTCTAAGGGACTCATGATGTGGCCACTGCAATGGGAAGTGCAGGAACACCCCAGATCCTTGCTGCATGATGCTGAACAGATCACCTGGAGCAGAAGCCCAGCACTACAGTGACAGGTGACTACATAGGACCTTTGCTTCTGTCTGAGGGCTGCCTCTATACCTTGGCTTATACAGTCACCTGTGCAGGGCTACTGCAGGCATGTTCCATTAGTTGTGCCACCCAGAAAGCCACCATATGAGGACTGGGGCAGCTGTATGTGGTCTACTGTGTCTCCACTGATATCAGCAGTGACCAGGGCTCTCATTTTACCAGTCATGAAATGCAGCAATGGGTGGAGACCCTGGATATCCACTGGCATTCCCACCTGCCATGCAACCCTACAGCAGCAGAGCTGATTGAGTGGATGAATGGACTGTTGAAGCAATAACTTGCTGTCTGGTTCTGTGGACTTGCAGCTTACCAGCAGCCCTTTGCACCTTGAATGAACACATGCATTCTCATCACCCCAGGGCATACACTCTTCTGATGCAGGGACCTGATACCACCATCAGGATCCAGGTAGACAGTGTCAGGGACAGTACACCTTTGTCCCAACCTGGGACTCAAGCTGCTGTTGCCCTTGCCACACCACCTACCCACTGGGGAGCACATCATTACATGGCCCTGGACATGGCAAACCAGCCACCGATAGTTTAGTTTTTCCACTCCATGGAGGGAGGGCCTAGAACAAGATATACAGGTCATACCTATTTTACAACCTACTCCCCGCTGAAATTCTCAAATAATAAATCCCGGTCCTCCCTTGTGCAAGGAGACAATCATCCTCTCATTATCGAACCTTACAATACCTCCATTGTCTGATTTTGGCCCTCCTGCAATGTGTCACAGAGGGGGCCATTCCATTTGGCATTGTAAACAGGACCAGATCACTACCAGGGGTGGAGCTCTTGCAGAACAACATAACTTCCTGTGTCTTGTTAAATGACCATAACTTGCTCTTTCTTACCTTCTGCCCATAGATGATGGGCAACAAACCTCTTTGCCAAATGGAAGCAGATGGTGGCCTCTCTCCAGAACTAAACAGATTGTTGCATCTGCAGAGAGCTGCCCCTCTCCTCCACCATGGGCCTACCATAGTGCATCTAAGATCAACTCCCAAGCCTTTAGAAGAGCTTTATGATATATTCATTATTCTTTTCTTTTTTTGCTGTTGTAGTTTGTATTGGTGCTGCAGCAGCTGGCTGCAATGCTCCTCCCCATACCTGGCCCTTGGGAAATTATAGAAGAATGGCATGATAAGAACGTGAGGGCAATTCAACCGTGCGTGCAGCAGGGTGGAGTGGGTGGCAGATGCACCTGATAGCAATATCGTAACTTAAGCATACCCTGAGAATGACCCTTATGACAGACGCACCTGAAAGCAATAATTAAGCATACCCTGCGAATGCAGACACATCTGATCTATATAAACTGCATGTTTTTACAAATCAGTAGCGGCTCCTTCCCAACTCGCCTCTACACGACTGCTCTGTATGTAAGTTCCCTCAATAGACCCTGTCTCTTTCACTGGCTCTGAGTCTCTTCTTCAGCTTTTTGAACATGGTGCTATCTGTATTGAAATCAATAGGGGTCCAGCATGACAGAGTGGTAGAAGTGGCTCCTGTGTTGAGAAAAAGAATGGAACAGATGAGCTTTCCAGCTTTTTCACTCTAAGATGCCTTGATTCAATGATGAATAACTATGCCTCGTTCACCAGAGTAGAAATGGCACTGGTCCCTGGTTGCAGCCAACTCACAAGCACTTCCCTCAACTCAATCCATCAGAAAGAGCCTACCTAGATCACAAAATCCACAGGTCCAGATGGCACTAAGCATCCTCAGAGTTCCATCTCATATGCCCCAAGATTATTAGCTAAGGTTACATCTTCATTCCGCCTTTTGCCCCTCCCCTTTCTCAGTTACTTTGGTTTCCCCTAGGATCAAATTAAGGGGTTGTAGGAAGTGGGAGTGGGGAAACTCATGGAAATGAGTTGTGTCACTAATTAATGACATCAGTGTCAAGAAGAGCTGGAATTGAGCGAGTTTACAGGGAGCTAGGATCAAGGGCTTGTTTGATTTTAATGGTTGTTGTGGTTGTACTAAATGCTAATCACTTTTCATGACACCGGCTAATGGGTATGGAATATCTGGCTCAAGTCCTTTTCAGCGAATCCAGGCTAGCTCTTAAGAGAGCTGCAGAGTTCTGGCTCCAGCTGTGCTCCTTCCTCTTCCCTTCCTTTAAAGAATACGAATTATTCTTAGATATGGGTCCCAAAAATTTAGACAATGATTCACAGGAGAGCTGGGGAGGCAGAGAGAGTAAAACACAAGCCACCTGCTTAGGTTTCAAGGTCCAATCATTGACAACACACCTAATCAGGTTAAACTGGCACTAAAATGCTGCCTGTAGCTGCCTTTGATATCTGACAGATGTTGCATAACTATATTGGGAAAGGCCAAATTGTCATAGTACTCATTGGAGAAAAGGAGACAGTAAAAATTTTTAGGTAAAGCTAACCTACATTCACCTAATAAATGCTGAATAAATACCAGCAATGCTAGAGAAGCCATTTGTATGGATCCATGGTGTTTGGTTCAGCTGGGTTGAGATCTCCATGTTTCCATCATTCCTCAGGCACTATAAGCCTGTGACAAAATGGTGTCCTTGGGTCACACATGTTTTGGTCCCAGACTCGGTGTCCAATATGTCAGCCCATCAAGGCAGATGGTGAGCAGGACAATGTTTCAGAACTTTGGAAAATATACCACTTAAGAGTCCAGCCAGGGAAATGCCTGAAATTGAAAAATAATGTAATAGAATATTTGATTTGCCACCATAGACCTTAACTGGGAAGATTGCCACATTGAAATGAGTGGACAGCTTGGCTGACTTCGATCCTTCAGCTCTGCTTAGTAACTGCACATCAGTGGGTTGGGTCCTAGACTTTCAATGGGTCCCCAAAGTCCCTCCCCTAAACATTACACATCTACAAGCACATACCCCCAATAATATTTGGGGCTATATCCATAAAGTTGCAACATTAGCCTAAGAGCAAAGGTCTGAGCCAGTGGTCACTGGGTGTTTCCTCGGAGGGACTGTAGGTGGCCAGCAGAATGGATGGCAAGGCAAATGAAATGTCATTTCCATTTCATTCAGTTTGCTTTTTCTCCATGCTACCAGCTACTGACTTGGCCTCTTGGAAACAAAGTTGTTTTTCTGTGATTCACCAGAAACTTTCTGGACCTGAATACCTCACTTCTCCAAGGTTAGCCTCTTTGAGCCATTAAGAAGTGTTGTCCCTTGTCCATTCGGGGTTGAATGTCTGTTATTTCCCTCCCCACTGCCCCCCGCCAATATTCCTTGAACTTCTCAGAGAATATGTCTTTGGCATGCAGCCTGTGGAAGGCTGTTTATTTTAAACACCTGCAATTCTCTCTTCCTCACCTCACTCCCCTTCCAAACAAGGAATCACTCTTAGCAAATCTAAAGTGCTAGAGAGCTGATGGTTCTGGAAGCAGCCTTCAGCTAATAACAGATAGGGAAGGTAGTAGAAAATCCTCTAGCTTCTCTGGCCCTCAAGCAGGACCACTCTCTGAAGTGTGGTCCACACAGTCTTCCTGTAGTTCCCCGGTGAGGTCAAGCTCCAGGTTTCTAAGGCAATATCTGACTTAATAACACATTTTTAAAATTTGCTTTGTTCCTTTTCTATCTCACTTGCCTATGCCCCTCTTGGTATTTCCTGAGACCTTCCAAATAAACGATTTACACTAGAATCCTCCTCTCAGCATCTGCCTTGGGAGAGTCAGTCTCCATGCAGTAGGGAGGCTGTGTAAATTACATGCTGAGATTATGCCTTGCATTATCAGGAAGCACACAAAAAGCAAAACTACACAAAGACTTGGTGGATGAAAGACCTTCTCAGAAATGAGAAGACTGGCATTTGATAACATGCTAAGATGGCCAACATCTTTGAGTGGTTACTCTCCATTTCCCACAGTGAATTATAAGTCCCAGATAGGACACGGTCCATGACAGTTTTTGTTTACCAATGTGTCCCCATAAGGTAGACACACAGTAATATTGAGCAGATCTCTTATAACACAATCACTAGTTGAATGCTTTCTATGCATTAACTGATTAATTTGTGCAGAAAAGATCCAGCCCTTTGGATAACACAACTCCGTTGGTTAATGGTGCCCTTTCTATGGGAGGAGGATTCCTGATACTGCTAGTGCTGTCCTGATGACCAGCAGGGTCACAGAGATGGGAACTGACTCTGCCCTGGGAGTTGGCAAAGGAGACTTTTCATCTAGGTCTTGACTATTCCTAGGAGTCTAACGGTTAAAAAAAGGAAATGGAGTGGAGGGTGACAATTATTTATTTATTCAACAATTGTGTAATTTAGTACCAGCTTTGTGACAGGAATTCTGCTAGGCATAAAGAAGAAGTAGTGTTCAGGGACCCTGCCTTCTCAGAATTTTGATTGAAGCACTATTCACTTTGCATTCTTTGTGGAGTTGTACCACGTGTTCCTAGTGGTAGACAGCAAAGAAGTAAAAAAAAAATTTAAAAAGATTATGATAAATACGAAGTAATACAGCAGTGATTCTTAAATTTTAATTGGCATCTAGATCATGTGAGGATCTTATTTAAATGTATATTCTGATTCAGTAGGCCTGGGATAGGGCCTGAGATTCTGCATTTCTAATCAGGGCGCAGGTGGATACAGATGCTGCTGGTCCTTGGAGCGTATTTTGAATAGTATGGTGATAGGCTGTAGTTCTCAACCTGGTCTGTGCATAACAGAACCTGAGGAACTTTAAAAATGACTGATGCCTGACTTTACTCCAGCAATATTTGTCTAATTTGAATGGGAGAATCCTGGCATGATAGTTAACATTAGGTGTCAACCTGACTGGGTTGAGGGATGCCTAGATGGCTGGTGAAGTATTGTTTCTGGGTGCGTCTGTGAGGTTGTTCCTGGAGCAGGTTGACATTAGAATTGGTGGAGCGGGAGAGGAAGACTCACCGCATGTGGGTGGGTGCCATTCTCTTGGGCTGCCAGCATACCTAGGTCAAAATAGGCAGGAAAATGTGGGATAAGCTTGCTTTCTGAGTCTTCTGGCTCTTTTTCCTTTCCGGTACTGGATCCTTGCTTCTGTTCCCCCTGCCATTCGATATCAGACTCCAAGTTCTTCAGCCTTCGGACTCTGGGACTTGCACCAGTGTCCACCCCAAGGGCTTTCAGGCCTTCACCCGCAGACTAAGGGCTGCATTCTCGGCTTCCTTGGTTTTGAGGCTTTCAGACTTGGACTGAGCCACTATCAGCTTCTCTTTCCCCAGGTTGCAGACCACCTATTGTAGGACTTCGCCTTGTAATCATGGGAGCCAATTGTTCCTAATAAACTCCCTTTTATGTATACATATACGCTATTGGTTCTCTCTCTCTGGAGAACCCTAATATACCTGGGTATTGGCAATTTTTTTAAAACTGCTTTATTGGGTGTAAATTACATATCGTAAATCCATCTATCTTATTATACATTTTATGTGTACAAGTAAATAATTTTTAGTGTGTCTGTAATTTTGCCACCATTACCACAATCCAGATTTAGAACACTTTTCATTATCCTCAAAACATCTACTGAACTCATATGCAATTAATCTCAGTTCTCACCATCAGCCCCAGGCAACCACCAATCTACTTTATTTCTCCACAGATTTGCCTTTTCTGGACATTTCATATAAATGAAATTATATAATATGTGGTCTTCATGCCTGATTTTTTTATTAGCATGATGTTTTTGAGGTTCATCCTTGTTGTAACATGTATTATTACTTCATTCTTCCTTATTCCTTCATTGATTGTGTGGTATAAGTAGATTACATTTTGTCTAACCATTCACCAGTTGGCTGACATCAGAGTTGTCTCCACTTTTTGGTAAATAATGTTTCTTTGACTGTTCACATACAAATCTTTACATGGGAATGTATTTTTATCTGTGTTGGTTAGAGACTTAAGAGTGGGTTTTCTGGGTCATATGGCAACTCCATGGGTAGCTCTTTAAGAAACTGCCAAACTGTTTTTTTAAGTGGCATTATTTTACATTCCCATCAGTGATGTATGAAGGGTTTCTCCACATTTCCACCAAAACTCAATGTCTGATGTTGTGACTGTAACCATCTTTGAGGGTGTAAACTGGTATCTCGTTGTTTTTTATTGGCACTTCCATAATGTCTAATGATGTCGAGCATCTTTTCATGTGCTTATAAGCCATTCATCCATCATATTTGGTAAAATGTCTATTCAGATCTTTTGCCCATTTTTAACTTTGTTGTTTGTCGTCTTGTTGAATTGTAAGAGCTCTTCATACATTCTGGATATCTTTAATAAGATATATACTTTGGAAATATTTTCTCCCAGTTTATGGCTTCTCTTTTCATTTTATTAAAAATATCTTTTGAAGTACAACCTTTCACTTTTGATGATGTCCAATTTATTGACTTTTTCTTCTATACTTTGACTTTTAGTGTCATATCTAAAAACTTTTTGCCTAATCCAAGGTGACAAACATTTTCTTCTATGTTTTCTTCTAAACATTCTGTAGTATTACATTTTCATCTAGGTTTGTGATCTATTTGAGTTAATGTTTGTGTATGGTATGAGGTAAGGGTCTAAACTGATCACTTTGCTTGTGAATATCCACTTGTCTCAGCACCATTTGTTGACAAGAATATCCCTTTCCCTTTGACTTATATTGCCTTCTGTGTCTAAAATTAATTGATTATAAATGTAACGGTTTATTTCTGGACTCTCAATTCTGTTTCATATACGTATGTATGTAGCCTTATACTAGTGCTGTAGTCTCGCTTACTTTAATGGGGCTTTTAAAAAGATCCCCAGGTGACTCTAATGGGCAGCAAAGTTTGGGAGTCACCATGATAAAGAATGACTTGAGGAGTAGGATGGAGAGGCCACTTTAGGTAAGGTGGTCAGGGGAGGCTTTTCTGGAGCTGTGATGTTTCAGTTCCATCCAGCCATGAGAAATGCTGGGGAAAGAGTATTCATGAGCCATGTACCAGGAGACACTTTTCCAGGTTTGGCTAGAGATGTTTGCAGTCTAAGAAAAATTAGGTGGCCATGGTGATAATTCAGGAGGTCCTGACATATGAAGCTGCATGTTCCTAACTCTACACTATCAGCCAATACTTTGTCCATTGATTTCCAAACTGGGGTAGTTGTAGCCTCCTGAGTTACTCAGTGATACAGTACAGGATATGCCACAGGATAAGCCAAGCCCTGTTTACTGTTTCGTTCATTCACTCATGAATTCATTCAATAATATTCATGGAGTGTCTGGTGTGCAGAGCATTATACCAAGCATTAGGGATATAATGATGAATGAAACAAAGTCATTGTTTCACAGAATTGACAGAACACCTTCATAGAGCATCAGTTTTATACACGCTCACACACATACACAATTGTACGATTTAAATGATGGTGCCAGATGAATAAATTAGCACACATATTCTACCTAACTCTGGGGCTAATGCCTTACTTCTAAAGAGACTGAAATCGACAGGGATACTGTCAAAAAGATTAAGTGTAATAGTATGCTAGTAATGATAATATTATCCATGGTCTGACAGCTTCATATATGCCCATATTCTACTTACCAATTTATTGTCTCTCAGCTCCAAATTGCCCGTCTTTGTGATACTGCCGAGGGACCCTGTAAACATCCCCTTTGCCAGCTGGCTGAATCTTGGGCTTTGTCAAAAGAGGACAGCGGAATGACCCTGCAAGGCTATAGAGTGTGAAGACTCTTCCCTTCTGAGTTTGTGTCTTCTATTATTTATTAATCATTGTAGGAGCTGATGGCCTGTAGGGCTCAGCTCCAGTGGAGTCCACAGACCACTGTCAACTGTGTAGCTGCTTCCAAGCAACTTCCACCCACCTGAGCCTGACCATGCAGGTCAGGCCAGTGCAGGTCTGTGCTCTCTGGCAAGTTTCTTCTTCTTTGGCAGACTGCATGTTCTGTAGCACCACGCCCTCTGCAAGGAGGGCTGAGTCTTGCCCCTGGGAAAGGGGCTCCCGGCCCTTTGTTCCTGGTTGCCCACTCCTCCTCAGCCTGGAAGGAGCAGCTGCCTTTTTGTTCCTACTGTGTCTGAGTTCCTTGGAGTTCTCTTTTGCCCTTTTTAGTAGTTAATGACCTTAAAATTTTCCCATTCAATTAGTCAATGAGGTTTCTGTCTTCTGACTGGACCTTGACTATAGTGCAGAATGATG
The DNA here is from genome assembly GCF_000001405.40 of Homo sapiens. Taxonomy (NCBI): domain Eukaryota; kingdom Metazoa; phylum Chordata; class Mammalia; order Primates; family Hominidae; genus Homo; species Homo sapiens. Next base: position 67,221,324 of record NC_000003.12, on the reverse strand, counting down.
AAAACAGTTCTGTTTCATATCTGGGCTCAAGGAGCCATGTATATTGGATGGCTCCTTCAGAATGGAGAAAGAAAAAAAAATCAAGACGATAAAAGACTGGTTTATGTTTTGAAACCTTAGACTGATTTCACAGCCCCATGGCACACAAGGAACCCATGCCTGATCAACATTTCCCAAGGCTTTGCAACTCTAATACTCAGTGACAGTTGCAGTTAAAAATTGATGCTGCCATCCCAAAGAGCTGATTTCATTTTTCTCCCAGCTGAGGTTTGCCTCAAGGTTGAGTAAATTGTTGGGATGAATAGAAAAAGATCCGAAACAGGATCTTAGCCCTTGGGATATGTAGGCAGAAAAGTATGTTCAATAACATGGTGACTCTGGTATTCCTTCCTGACCCTGGTCTATATCTTACAGCTTGTGTGATGCAGAAGGGATAATTTGGGGTATGTGGACTTTTAAAAGTCTATTCTGGCCTCCTGCCTATTTGTAGAGGAAGTGACACTGAATGGTGGTTAAGCACAGAATCTGGAGCCTGGCTGTCTGGTTCAAACACTGGCTTAGCCAATTTCTGACTATATGATCTTGACCAAATCACTTAACATGCCTGTTTCCTAATCTGTGAAATGGGCATAAAAACACTCTCTGTAAGAGTATGGAGATTAAACAAGTTAATATTTATAAAATACTTAGATGAATACCTGGATCATTTTGTGGCCTCTAAGCATTAGCTGCCATGATGACGATGAGGGTTAATGGGTAAATGCTGTAAGAGACAAAGGTGGACACAGGAGAATGATAATAACAAAGGCAATGTAAACCTATTAAATATTATATCCCATGCATTTAATGCCAAATCTAGTTTAGTCTACTAGTGTATGATTTTTATTTTACAAATGGGGAAGCTGAGGGCTAGACAGGTTAAGCTTCAAATCATTGTTGCAGCTGAGATGCAAAATCAAAACTGACTTCAGCTCCATGACTTACCACCATGCTATATTGCAGAATACTAAACTACAGACAGTGAAAAATATGGGGGAAAAAAATACACTTTTCTTTTCTCTACTCTATATTTCCACCTCTGCTTACTTCTGTTGTTTTTTTTCTAGGAGTGCTGCTAAAACTGCTTACTTGTATCTCTACCCCAAACTACCCGTGAATAGTAGAGTGATTAGCATACATGTAGGAAAAGTTACATATAGAAGAGCATTTAGGTCAGATGCTATATAAGTTCATATACAAAAGGAATCACCAGAGACCAGGAGTGGTGGAGTTGGGATAGAGGAAGGGCTAGGGGTGCTGAAGGGATAGGACTTTAATGGAGTTTGAGAGGAGTTATGACTTGGAGCAGCAGAGAAATGCAGGAGTAAACTACTCTATAAATCACCTCCAGTTGGTCCAATGCCTATTGACTGATGGCCCTCACTGAGTCTGACCTAAGCTTAGTGAAGCACACAAAATCCACATCAGCTGCCACTTCCTTTCTCAAGGATAATTTCAGAGCCCTGCCTACCCCCCTTCTCTTCTTGTTTAGCCTCTGTAAGCACCAAGTAAAGGATTGCTTCCCATGTTTCTTCAAAGGGGTAGTTAGAACAATTGCCAATCTTTGGGCAACCCCTGACTCCTACCATTAGCCTGTTGAACACTCTACCACTCCATTTATGCACAATGCACATGAAGATTTGCAGCCCTGTCAGTAGATCCTTTAAATAATTACTTCAACATTCTGTGGGGGGATATTTTTCAACAGATCCCCTTCCTTCCAGCAATGAGACCTGAAAGAGGAGGTGAACACAGGGGGACACTAGGAACTGTTTCCTCCAGCTCTAGCTGTGAGTCAAAAATATATTTGTTGGAGCTCATTTAAATGAGTCAGAAGACCCCACAGTCCACATTTCTTGCCCAATCCCATTTTTTAATGGAAAGAGAACTCTCTGAGAACAAAGAATTGGCAAGGAACAACATACTGAAAACTACCAATTTTAGTTAATCAGTAATTTCTAATAAGTAAACTAGAATAAACTTCTTATTGCATAGATAGTTCAAAGTGTTTCCTCACTATTATTTTTCTACATGAACCAGCAGCAGATTCTGTGGGCATCTCACTCGTGTACACTTGCTTTTACCACTTCACTGCATCCCTCCAGGACTTCCAGTTCCTGTACCTGCATTCTTTTCCCTGAGGGATCTCTCTGGCCATGGGAGCATGGCAGACCACCAAGCAGCAGGCTGGAAATGCATGCTCCCTCCTAGTATCCCTCAACCAACCTCTGATGGGAGTTAGTGTATAAACACCCTAGCTTCAGCACGCCTTGGGTGGGATGACTTTGAGACACATGGTCTACGCTGATTCTCAGAGTTCTCCAAGGAATTAAGTTCCCAGTTGCAGGAAACTGGCTCAATAACACATCCTTTATTGTCTTCCTCATCTTTCTTGTCTTATTTCTTCCCTCCCCTACTGGTGCTTCCTAGATTGACCTCCAAACTACATTACTTGCACTCAAATCCTTGTTTTGGGGTCTAGTTGTGAAGATCTCAAACCCATGACCTTTGTTTATATTTTAACATTAAAGAACAAGGTATTCCCATTTTGAGACAATTCTTTTGGGACTTAAATAGGAGACAAAGCAATAAAATTGGTTTCTCTTGAGCTAATTTTAGGGAATTCTGCTTGCTTTATTTAAGAACTAATTGCCTATGAATTCATCTAGATTGTGCCCTACTCAAGGCTCTGTTAGTGTTAACTAATACAAACCCACTTAAACTAGATTAAGTCTTTGAAAGGCGGGATAGGAGGCTTTATCATAAGTACACTGAGATGTCTTTCAAGTCCAGAAATGCATCTTAGGCAGAGTAAGGAATTGGAACTAGAAATTAGACAGCCGTTTTCTCTTCTGGGGCTACAAATTCTCTTATTTTTACCTCATTTTATGTATCTGCCGCTTATCTCCCTGTAGATTGGCTTTTCCCATCTGTTTGTACAAACAGACATGGTTGCATGATAACCTTTACATTTTCCTCGTTTCTATTCTACCAGATAGTGAATTCAGAATTCCAGAAAGAGAGCCCTGATTGCCCCACCTTGAGTCAGATGTCATCTCTGACCCAATCAGCAGTGGCAGTGGGTGGGTGGGCTGGTTAACACCTGCCTGCTGGAATGTATGTCTCTGGGGAGCTCAAAGAAGAGGACTGAGGCCTGGGAATACCCCATTTGAGCATAGTCTATTTGGACACTTGAAAACAAAAATTTGGACATTATAAAAGCTGCCTGTTTCTAAGAGGGTAAGTTTCTGCATATAATTTATAATGCAAAAATGCCTTTATTCATTAATACTATGCCAAGGTTACTCAACTAACCGATGTTCTTTAAAGCCATAAAACTGGGGGGAAAATTTCATAAAGTGCTTTAACCTACGGAAAGGGCAAAAATGTGGGTTTTATGCATTGCCGACCATTGAACCTCCAACATTGTTCCATTTCTAATAATAGTGCCCCTGTCAAGAGGATAGGAATACTGCCTCACGTTGGATGACCTTTGAATTTTAACTCCCAGTATGTATTATTCAAGCAGTTAGAATGCCAGCTCTACTGCTTTCTAGCTGTTTAACCCCTGAAAACCTTAGATCCCTCACCTGGAAAATGGGGATATTGATAAAATATTAACTGAGAAACTGCCTGGCACATTGGGAGGAAGCACATAAAAAGAGTGCAACAAATGTTAACTTTTTTTTTTTTCTTGAGACGGTGTCTCGCTCTGTTGCCCAGGCTGGAGTGCAGTGGTGCAATCTCACTGCAACCTCCACCTTGGAGGTTCAAGCGATTCTCCTGCCACAGCTTCACAAGTACAGAGATTACAGGCATGTGCTACCACGCCCAGCTAATTTTTTTGTATTTCTAGTAGAGACGTGGTTTTGCCATGTTGGCCAAACTGGTCTCGAGCTCCTAACCTCAAATGATCTGCCCACCTCGGCCTCCCAAAACGCTGGGATTACATGCCTGAGCCATTGCGCCCAGCCAATGTTTACTTTTACCGTTATTTCTAGTTAAGATATAAACAACAGGACAATGAAAACACAAATGGAAGCCAGTGAAGTAGTTAAAATCATGCATTCTAGAATCTTTCAGTCTCTGCATCAGAATCTAGTTCAGACATTTATTAGCTGTGTATCAATTCTATTTCACAATTTTATGATCTGTGAAATAGAAATTAATCATCACAGCGACTACTTTCTTAATATTTCTAGTTAGGAGGAGATGAGATGTAAGGCACTCAGGACAGTGCCTGCCACTGTGAAAGCACTCAATGCTTTCACATGTGTAACTCATGAGTTAGTGTTCGTGTTACAAGGATTAGGATTCATAGCTGTGGGAAGTGTTCCAGTCAGAAATCTGCTCTTTAGGCTGCAGGTGAGATGAGGTGAGAGGGTAGTCTTTATATAAATGACATAATTACTCATGATTCACACATGAAATGTCACTAACCCCCTCTCAGTCGAAAAGCTATCCTAATAGAATTAGGTTAATATCCCAATTATTAGTGGCGAAGCTTAGTGTCAAAAATCATATTTATTCCTCGGGGCAAAAATAAACCTGTGCTGAATATAAGAACACTGGACATATGCCAAATTTGCTAGTTCAGTCTGAGATATTCCAGACCAACAGATTCATGAATATGTATTTCAGCCAGAGTTTGCTGGTAAGATGTAGTACGAGAAGCATTCGTTTAGGTCTATTTTTGTACATTAGGTTCAGCCACAGCTTTAAATACTCACCTGTCTGCTTTTTGAAGTCATGTTTATTTCTGTGATTTGGATAAACTGCTGTCCTTATTTGCAAACTCTTAAACTTTATTGCCATCCTTACATATGCTGCCATGGCCTTGGGTCAGATCAATGCATAGTTACTGAGACATCAGCCCTCCACGTGATTCTGATACACACTTTGGCTGGAGAACTCCAGGGATAGGTAGTGAACACAATGGTGAAATTTAGATTCAGTCCACCTGGTTTAGATCCTCCTTCATAGGTCTGTTGTGACATTTAAATTAGGCAATAAATGTAAAGCCTTTGAGCAGTATAAAAGGCAATGCACGTAAAGCACTTAGAACCAGCACTTACTAAGCACACAAAGTGTCTGTTATTATGACTATAATAATCATCCCACTGCACAGATGAGAAAACCAAAGATAGGAGAATGAATGGTTTGTGAAGTTCCAATGCCTGAAATAAGGTTTAACTTAGGGCCAGAGGCCTCAAAGTCCCCACAGTATTCTGAAAATGGAGCAGGCTGTGTCAGCAAGGGTTGAGACTGGGGACATGCCCCCAAATAGGATTGACTAAATTCAGGTATCAAGTGTTTTCTAAGTGATTTCATTCAGTGAAAACAACTGTTGGTTTGGGCACCAGCCAAAAGATGTGTCTGTCTGAAACTGCTGGTTCTTGTCTAATTATTCTCCCCATCAGCCTACTCTCAGTAAACCCTTTTCAAGAGCCACAGCCATCTGGGAGGCTGGAGAGCAATCAAGGGTCCATGTGCTCAGCTCATACAAGCAATATAATTTTTAGAGGTGCCTTTATAACCTTTGACAATTTTTAGAAAAAAAACTTGAAGAGCCCCCAAAACAGGTAAATTTGCAAGTAATAAGGTCATCTGTCTTCTAGGGCTGTCTTGAGGGTTAAATACAACAATGTATATAGAGTATTTCTAAATTCAGTGGCTGCCAATGAGTAACTCATCAATAAGTGGCAGCTATGCATAAAGAAAATGTATTCAAATTAGCTACGGAAACCTACCCTAGGATAAGCACACCTGACAGCAATAACTTCACCCTCTGAGAATGACCTTGTATGGCAGATGCACCTGAATGTGTGTTTCCAGCTAGTGAATCCTGGGCATGGCCAACACGGAGAGTTATTCCTTGTCTATAAAGAACAGCTGAGCGACCCCCTCAGGTGGCGCTCATTAAAGGGAAGTTAAGGTAAAATGCTATATAAACTGCATGCCGTTTGTTAGTGGTTACTGTTTTCCTGCCTAGCCTGCCACCTCTGGACTGTAGGGAAGGCGGTTCTCCTGTCCAGCCCACTGCCACTCCCTGCATGGAGTCCCCAAACGAAAGCCCATGTCTCCCTTGCGGGCTGTGGGTCTCTTCCTCAGCCTTGTGAACTTGGTATCTTCCTTATTGAGGCTAATAGGGGTTCAGCACAACACCCTCCTTACCTAACTCTTGGAAAAGGTGTGTGTGTACCTACACACACACTTGGCTTTTAAAATTCCTTTAAGGAGGCTCAATCAGTTCCCATTTAAGATTGTAACCCATCAAATGCTCCAAACTCCACCTTTTGGCAAGGGTCAACTGCTGTTAATGAAGGTTCATGGAGGCGTTAAAGCTGCCAGGCTACTACTATTGGTTAAATCCATAGAGTTTAGCGGAATTAATTAAATAAAGCAAGCAGCCAAATAGGTTGTAAGCAGTTCAGCACCTTTTGTCTTTTTTAGTAACTAAAATCTGCATTTGATACAGAATTTCCTTCAGTGTGGTTTCTGCCCTTCACACTTTGGTAATGAGTTTTCCTGAGAGCCATTCTAGGCAGGCAAATGTCTGGTTTTAATAGACAGGGTCTTTCAGTCCTTTCTGCAACTTACTAGCTGTGTGCTCTTCAGCAAGTTGCATAACTTTTCGAACTCTTAATTTTCTTGTCTGAAGGAATGAAGACGATGATAATGATGTCCATGTCATAGGTTTGTCAGGGTTAAAGAAACAACGGGCCGGGCGCAGTGGCTCACACCTATAATCCCAGCACTTTGGGAAGCCGAGGTGGGTGGATCACCTGAGGTCAGGAGTTCAAGACCAGCCTGGCCAACATGGTGAAACCCTGCCTCTACTAAAAATACAAAAACTCACCGGGCATGGTGGCAGGTGCCTGTAATCCCAGCTACTCAGGAGACTGAGGCAGGAGAATTGCTTGAACCTGGGAGGCAGAAGTCACAGGGAGCTGAGATCAAGCCATTGCACTCCAGCCTGGGTGACGAGCGAAACTTTGTCTCAAAAAAAAAAAAAAGAAAGAAAGAAAGAAACAATGAAGATAAGAGACTTTTCACAGTGTCCAGCTCATAGCAAACACTTAGTATATGGTGGCTGTTGTTATTGTCGTAATTGGCAATGTTATTTTGCTACTGGTACTATTATTTTAATTTTTTATACAGATAAAAAAATTGAGGTAAAATGGGGATAATAAGAGAATCTACCATTTAGGATTATTTTAAGGAGTAATCTAGATGGATAATGTGCTGAGTTCCTTAGATGCATAGTGGGTGATCATAAGCCATAGCTAATCCTACATTTTCATTTTTACCCCTTTTTACTTTAGACTAAGAAGTGAGGACTGGGCCTGTTTCTAGGTTGAAATACACTGATCAGATTAAACTACAGTCAGGATACTGGTTGGTAGTAATGACTGTTGGCTGAACCAGAACATAAAGTTTTTCAGAGCATGAAGTTATGTTTGTCTTCTAGCTTAGTTTGATGGATTGTCTTAAAGAGGCTGTTATTGTCACACTGAAAAAAATGTCATCGAAGTGTGCTAAGAAAGGGATATTTGGGGCAGGTTAGAGTACTAACAATGCCTCCCCCGAATAACCCCTATTGTGCAGTCGATCCTTATCAGTCCTAGCAGGAGCACCATAAATGACCTTTAAATTGACTATTATGTCATCAGCAGGTATTGGGATGACAAATAATCTGGGGCAATCTCATGGATCCTAAGGAGATCGTTTTCTTGCTTGTGTCAGCTGGAACAGAAGTGCTTAGGAGCAGGGCTGAATTTATGCCCTACCTTTTTAATCTCCCTCACTTTTTTATGCAATAAACAGAGAGTCAGAGGAAGTTAGTTCCTGCTTCCTGATATAATGGTGGTGGACTAAAATGTGGTTTGATTCTGAGATGCACTTATTGTTTGAGACTCTATTTGGAACTACGTGCAGGGAGGATAGAACTTTATCTGCCAGGGAATACATACAGGTATTTGATGGGGACAAGCACGGAGTAAAGAGATGAGTAGCTGATGGCCATTCCCAGGCCATAAAGGGTGAAATGTCAGATTTCAAGAGTGATCTCCTGACATTGTCAATCCAGCTAATCCTCTGAGCAGGTAGGGAGTGAAAAGTTATTCAAGGGTGGTGCTATGTACCCTTTATGAATTATGCATCTTAAACAAACTTGCACAAACCAGAGCAGTCAAGTGGAAGCCTTTTAGCTAGCAGCAGGCCACTGAAGAGCTCAGCTATAGATCTCTGTGATGGTTTTTAATGTTGCATTTCATCCCTAGCTATCAGGCCAGAGACTCTCCAGCGCTGGCTCTGACTCATTTCTCAGTTGCGATCCACTCCCCTTCCCACAGGGATGGCCATCTTACAGCTTTTTTCATCTTGGGGCTTTCAAAACCCACACTCGTTGAAATGAGAATTCCAAGGGTCACTGATTTCTTGTTTTAGGGGCTTTGAGCAGGGTTTTGCAACGCCCTGTGGATTCCTGAATGCCAGTGATGCCCTAAGGCACAGATCCCAAAGATAGAAGAGAAAGGAAGGAAAGACCAACATGGTTTGAGGAGAGGACAATGGTGGAGAGAAACAGCAGAAAGGAAGAAGTGCATTTGGAAAACAGTAAATGCCACTCTGAGATACATAAGGTGTTAATGTCATGAGCTGCTCACCTCAATGCAAGACTTGGGGTTTAGTGATAGAGCAACTAGATCTGTCACTAAATTCTACAAAACTTTGTAATGAAAACCACCTAGGAGTAGGAATCAAGATATGTGTACCAAGAACATGATTACCTACTGGGTAGCCAAGAATCGGTCACTGAAATAAATTGGATTGGATGGAATTGAAGTGAAGTGATATAATTTATTTGACCCTACACTTTACTAACAGCTAAGTGGGGACAATTCTACCACTTACTCCAACATGTGAGTAAGTAGTATGTGGTAGGTGTTTTCAGTGTGTGCGTGCATTGTCACATGTAACCCTCTGAGCCACTCTATGAAGTAGCACCACAGTATTTCCATTTTTTAAGTGAGTAAAGTGAGGCTTAGAAGAGGGTAAGCAATTTTTTTTATGGTCACCTAACCAGGAAATAATATAACCATGATTTGAACCCAAACAAATGATTAATCCTGCCAGTCCTTCTTTTGCTAAAAACTATGTCATATTATCTAGTATAAGTCCTGTAACTTGTCAAGGAATAACCATAGTCTATCCTTTGTCCAAATTACAAGATTACTTCTGGGTTCTGCAAGTGCTGTCAGAATGAAGAGCATCATTATTATTTGCTAAGACCAACCTATCATCATAATTAAAGAGATTAGGCTTCAGGGGATGGATAGCTCGTCATGGATTTAAGTTTTAGTTCTGCCACTTCTTGTTGTGTGACCTTTGACAAATTACTTCTTTGAGCATTAGTTGTCCCATTTGTAAACTGGGAGTAATAATGTCCCTAACTCATAGGGGTTTTTTGAGGCTTCAGTGAGATAATGCCAGTGAAATGTTAAGCATAGTGCCTTGGAGGTGATAAGCATTCAGGAAAGAGTAACTTCTGCTAGTATTATTTTCCCATCCCTGTAAATTAGTTTTGTCCTGGTACTGGCTAGGCGCTGGCTTAAAAACCAGTAGCTAGAGGTTCCCCCACCTGTCCCAGGCTGAGCCACGGTCACTCAGATGACATATCTGATGCAGTGAAGACAACCTGCAGAGTGTATGAGACCTCCTAGACCATCTTGATGGCTAGACTGACAGGAGCAATGATTGTTCAGCTTCTCATCATCATGAAGGTCAAGCCTCAACTTCATTTGAGTCACCCAGTCAATGAGCTGTAGGACTAGCTTTCTTTTCTAAGTAAAACTGATTGTTTCTTTCCTTGCTGGAAGAAATTTGGTGCCTCCTCCCTTGCACAATGTTTAAGGACTGTCGCTTATAGCTGTGCTTCACCTTGCCTTGGCCCTTGTTTTTTCCCCCTTATAATGCTTCAATATCTTATTTATAGTTTAAAAGAGGGTATTGAAGTTTTTAGCCTCTATGACCTAATGCAGTAATATATTCCTTCTAGACAGTCACCCCAAATACAGTGCAATGCTGATTCATTTAACAAACTGTATAGTGAGCACCTGCTGTATGCAAATGTTTGGCATGTTGAGTGTGACATAGGCCCTGGACTCGAGGCATTTCTGATCTTGTTGAAGAGGCAGATTGGATCAAGATACTTGGCCTGATGTTTTTCATTTAGGTGTCCCTGTCTCAACTCCTTCCTAGGCTCCAACTTCTAAGCAGCTGCCGGAATGAGCTTTTTAGGATCATGCTGCTCCCTGATGAATCCATTCAGTGGCTTCTCCCTGACAGCTACAAAAAGAGAAGATGTCTAATTTCATGATATGTCACATGAAATCCTGCACCACTGGCCCCTCCTCCTTTACCAGCCTTAATCCTTGTCCCATCCTTTCCTGAAAATTTTATGGTCAGTGTGAGCAGGGTACAGTTCCCCAGCAAGACAGGATAGATCTGTCATATTCACCATGCCTGCCTGATAGGGATGCTGTGGGCTTCATACCTATCATGTGCTTGACTGTCCCGAATCATTGTCCATGTCTACCACCTGGTTACTTTCCCACGAAACCCCCATGCTACAAATCCTGGCCCTTAGGGACACTATTTCCTTTGAACCCTCATTGGGCTGTAAAGTTCTCTCTCACTTAATAATCATTTTTTATTCCATATCTGCACACACACATGCCTTGCCAACTGCATCTGGTGCTAGGTGTACAATAAAAAGCCAAATTAGCAAATACAATAAAACACAAAACTCATGGTCTAACAACACAAATTAATGCTTCTGGTGCTCTGACAGTGATGCTAATGATAATAGAATCTAATATGCTTTTAGGACTTCAAGTGTACTGATGCTTAAGTGATTCAGACAGGACTGGGCAGTCAAAATGGCAGACTTGGACTTAGGATTCAAGAGTCTATGCTTTGAGCTGTATGAAGGCTGCAGAGTTTTTGGTCTTCACCATCTGACCTTGATTTTGGAGAATTAGGATGTGATGAAGCCAAAATCCGCTGACTAGAGTGAAGAGAAGAATTTAGGCATCTGGTATATCAGTGACGTTTTCAAGTCCTTATCACTGTGAAGTACAAAGCAGTGAAAGTGCACTAATTTTGGTGTTATTATAGAAAGCCTGACTTCAAATTTTCCCTTTTCTTCTATCCATGTGTTCGATTTTGCACACATTTTTGTGTGTGTATGTGTTAGCTTCTCTGGCCCTCAATTTCCTATTCTGCAAAATGTGGGGAATTAGACCAAACTACTTTTATCTTATGTTCCTTTCAGTTTTACAGCTTCTTTGGGAATGTATTATATGAATGTATATGTGCCTATACATATGTTTCCATTCACTGTGAGCACATTCTCTATTCCAAACCTATTCTGGCTGCTAGGGAAGGTATGACAGTGTGGGCACACTCATTCATGACACGTATATGAAACTTACACTTATATTTACTGACATCCTATGATTTAAACCTGCCCGAAAGCTGAGTTTAGGAGGTTAAGAGAGAATTAACATTTCTACTCAGCTAGGCAAATACATATTTAATTGCTAATGTACACTCTAACAAAAATGTCTGAATTGGGCGATTTTTGAAAGTAAAAACAACAAAGGACTTCAGTTTGACCCTTGGAAGTCCCTCTTAATCATTCGTTTGATCAGAATTTTCCCAGAGGGACTCTTTCAACTTCCTAGAATGTCTTCCTTGGCTCATATCTGCCTCCGTGCTGATGGAGTGCAGCAGCCTGTCAGATGCTCAGCTTTGGAGAGCATGTTTAAATTATTTAATTATTAATTATTGCTGTGCCAGCCAACCCATCCCCAACTTGCTGCATTTTCCTTCTCAGGCCTGTAACTTTCTCTCCTTTTTGTTCTTTGGGGGAAAGTACATTAAGATGAAGACAGAGGAGCTTCAGCAGAGCTCAAAACCTGCTTACAAATTAAATGAATTCCAGTTGTTTCTGGGCTACCCTGCATTTCAGTTAGCAGAGGAAGGATAAAATTGTTAAGAAATTCTGCCTTTCTGTCTAAAGAATGGTAGTGGACTCAAGTATATACCTCCCACCCCAGATTATATTCTCTCTGCAGGATACAGGATATTGTAATTTTGATTTTTTTTTCCAGAAACAAGGGCACATGTTTTGTATATTTATTATACAGCCTCCGAATAGGAAAAAAAAACATTACTCCAATGTAAGATAATCTTGACTTGACTACCTTATCTATCTTTTTTTTTTTTTTTTTTTTTTTTGAGACAGAGTCTCGCTCTGTCACCCAGGCCGGAGTGCAGTGATGCCATCTCGGCTCACTGCAACCTCCGCCTCCCAGGTTCATGCCATTCTCCTGCCTCAGCCTCCCAAGCAGGTGGAACTACAGGCGTGCACTACCATGCCTGGCTAATTTTTTGTATTTTTAGTAGAGACAGGGTTTCACCATATTGGCCAGGATAGTCTCCATCTCCTGACCTTGTGATCCGCCCACCTCTGCCTCCCAAAGTGCTGGGATTACAGGCATGAACCACCATGCCTGGCCGTCTTTCAGATTCTTAACCTTACATTTGTGCTAATGTTGTAATTATCTGTCTTTATGTTCATGTATGCATTTTTGCAGCACAGAGAATGTTCTACTAAAGTAGAAAGCTGAAGGAATATGGTGGTTTATAGTATAGGGAACATCTGAGGCATCTGATAGACCATGATGTGATTGTGTGGTTCTTTGAAAGCTTCAGCAAAAAGCAAATCAGTAAATCACAGGTTATTTTAGTGTGGGGTGGAACTTCCTGTTTTCTGATTCTTTAATCCATTTTGATAAGGAATAAGAAATGGAAACATGTTAAAAATGTCTCTGACCAGTTGTAAAATTAAATGAAAACGTGGGAATTGAATTCATTTCTCCTGGTCAAAAAACAACTCCTTTTGGAAAAGAAAAAATTCTATTCCACAATGTTACGTTTACCAATAGTTTTTCCCCCACCATATTCATCCAAGTGACAAGTAAACTTCTGAACCATTGATGAGGGAAAAAATAAAGTAGAACACAGTGTGATGATTGTTTAATGTGAACCATTGGTCATGGTACACTCTTCATCTCACCGTGCCATTTCCTCATCACTGCTCACAATTCCTCCTTAACAGCAACTTCTCTTGCTGAAATTATCTGGAAAGGATAATTTCATTATCACCTACTCCAGTTTTCACCTACTCCAGTTTTCATTTGTAGATTTGAGTACTTTCTTTTTTAAAATTGTAATAATTATTCCTAAAACTTTGTGTAATATAACTTCTTCATCTTTAATGGTTTTCAGTTGGAAATGTGCTGGTGTTCTATGAAGTTAAGAGTGTTGGGTTGAACATCTTTTTAAAAAATCTCATTCTATAATACAGTGATTTTAAACATATAGATTATCGAAATCTTGGAATTTTCATTTGGAAGTCTCATTTCATTGATATTCTGTATATATGTCTTAAGCTCATTTTTAGAATTTAAAACCATGAGATGGAACTATCATTTAATAAGTGTAAAGCTCAAATAAATCACTAAGTATTTGTTGTCAGTCATGGCCCTTTCCTGCCAGCCTCTTACAGTCTGGTTGGTATAGATTGTTTGTTTATCCATCCAGCTGTCCTTCCAACAAATTATTATTGAAAGAATGACTATACGATGCAGGAAATATACTAGATCCTAAGAACACAATTTTAAAGAATTGTCCCTGCCTTCTAGGAGTTTAGAGATGAGACACTGTCACTACCAACCAAAGGTGATATCTCTTATGTGACAAGTCACTTATGACGAGAGTAAATGCTTTAGGAATTTATCTGAGGGAATAATCACTTTGGGCTGAGGTCATCCAGGAAGGTTTCTTAGGGGGAGAATTTGAGTTGAAATTGAAGGATGCTTAGGATTTGGATAAACACAGGAGGAGAAGAAGGGCAAAAAGGTCAGACAACATGGTGTCTAGAAAGCAATGATGGGCTGCATCACTGAGCATGGTGCAGGGAAGTGGGTAAAAGAATTGGAAGAGCTACTGCCTGCTCGTGGAAGGCTGTGAAGAGTAGTAGAATGGGGAGTCAGAGTTTAAACTACAGCCAAACAAATGTGGAACTCCTTAAAATTAAATTATATGAGGCGGTCTATCAATATCAATGAAATAGAATGAGTACTGCAGCTCAATTTTTGTCCTATATGTTAAAACTTGCACATTAGGGAATGCAAAATGGTTATTTCACTGATCTAAACCAAAATTTGGAATTTCAACCAAGTGCATTAACTGGCTTTGTCACACAAACACAAAAATCAAGTACACCTAAGGAAGAACAATGATAGAGACAGATGGAATTCCAACTTGAAGATATATGTTTAAAAGATCTATGTTAAAATCTGCACTGAAGTCTTTATAAGGTTCAAATCTTTGACGTGTTGAATTCTAAAAAGTTTAAGTGACTTAACTTTTTGGACTAATTTGGCTCAATATCCAATATTCAATTAATTCAGTCGCATAGTTAAAATATTAGTGTATGTCAACACAGACTAAAGAGCTTCACTAAAACTCTATATATTTTTTTTTTCTTTCTGGGAGCTTATTTCTTTTAATTAATTGAGACAACAAGTTTTATGTATCTTTCCCTTCACAAATAAGTAATGATGTTAAAAATAAACATACTTAGAGCTGCCAACTCCAAATTACTAACATGAGTTTTCAACTGTTTCTAATTTCAATCAGAAAAACAACCTTAATTTGGTTTTATGCAGTCTAAATTAGTGTGCATGTTCCCTTGTTCCGCATCACAATTTGGGGTTTTATTCCTTTTTTTTTCTTTCTTCTTTTGGAGGGAATGGCAAGACAGATGCACTATTATCTCAGAGCTAATGAAGCAGACTTGATTAAGGAATCTCTCTGTCTATGGAAACATAAAAAGTATACAGATCTCATGAATCCCATGTCAAAAACAAGTTCTCAGTGTCTCCCCTCAGTGGATTGTCAGGGGTTGGCAAACTATGTAGTTCATGGGCCAAATCCAAACCATGGACTACATTTTTGGAAATAAAATAGCCTGTGCAAAATACAGCCACACTCACTGCTTGATGTACTGTACACAACCGCTTTCATGCTACTATGGCAGAATTGAGTAGTTATGGCAGAGACTGCATGGCTGTAAAGACGAAAATATTCATTATCTGGCTATATACAGAAAAAAATTCTGGCTCTATACAGAAAAAAATTAATTGATAATATATCATTAGTGTTGTCACTATTATTAAATATGTATTTTTTTACTTAATGCTTCAGATTTCCAAAGCACTTTCAGGAAAACAGTTCATTTGAAACATCTCCTGTGACAGTTTATAGTCAATAGGCATTGACCAGTTGGTGACCGGTGACTTTCCAGGCACTTGGTGCAGGGGTAAAAGAATTTACCAAGACAGTTGTAGGTAAAGAAAGGCAGATTTATTAGAGAAAGTATGAAAATATGTTGCAGGGGAATAACAGGCAGAATGGGCAAAGAAGGATCTGACTGCAAGGAAACAAAGGCTTCCTGGAGATTTTTTAGGATGGTTCTGGGCTGATTGATACCACCAAGGCAGCAGGGAGCTAACTTGTATTCTCTCTCAGCTGAGGTGTTTGATGACAAATTGAAGTGTTTGATGATAAGCAGGAAGTTTGTGAGTTACGTACGTCAGTGGTCCCCAACCTTTTTTGGCACCAGGGACTGGTTTTGTGGAAGAAAATTTTTCCATGGATGGAGAAGTAGGGGTGGGGGTTGGGGGTTGGGGGTTGGGGGAGCATGGTTTCAAGATAATACTTCTACCTCAGATCATCACATGCACAGTTCACAATAGGGTTTGTGCTCCTATGAGAATCTAATGCTGCCTCTGATCTGACAGGAGGAGGTGCTTTAATGCTCTCTTGCCTGCTGTTCATCTCCTGCTGTGTGGCCAGGTTCCTAACAGGCCAGGGACTGGTACTGGTCTGTGGCCTGGGGGCTGGGGACCCCTAATGTATGTTATTTGCTTGGGAGGGCTATATGTCCTGGGCCACAAAGGCAGACCTACAGCTCATCTGCTTTCTCTAGTTGCTTTCCCTTGGTGCCGCCAGCCTGACTCCTTTTCCCTAATAAGGACTCCACATAAATCTTCTCATATCCATTAGTAAATGAAGAAATTGCATCGGACCCTTCTTGCCTGAGTCAATGAGAAAATTCAGGAGTGAAAGGTCGTTCTTCTTAACATTGATCAGTGCCAGTCATCGGAGTATGAAAAAAACCATGGACTTGGTGTTCTCCTCTCAAAAGACTAAGACCAAAACTACCTAGTGACCAAACTGAGGCATGGGACCAAGTTTTTTTGTTTTTGTTTTTGTTTTTGTTTTTTTTGTGCTGTGCCTTTGAAAATCAGAAGGCCAGGGCCGGGCGTGGTGGCTCACGCCTGTAATCCCAGCACTTTGGGAAGCTGAGGCAGGTGGATCACGAGGTCAGGAGATTGAGACCATCCTGGCTAACATGGTAAAACCCCGCCTCTATTAAAAATACAAAAAATTAGCCGGGCGTGGTGGCGGGCTCCTGTAGTCCCAGCTACTCGGGAGGCTGAGGCAGGAGAATGGCATGAACCCAGGAGGCAGAGCTTGCAGTGAGCTGAGATCATGTCACTGCACTCCAGCCTGGGCAACAGAGCAAGACTCTGTCTCAAAAAAAAAAAAAAGAAAAGAAAATCAGAAGGCCAGGGCATATACATTTGTTGGGCAACTGGCAGATGGTGTTCTAGACCCTTTGCATGTATTATCTCATTGCTTCTTAATTATGGGGGTGCAGGTAGCATATTATCAAAGCTACCTGCTTTTCCCTCAATATTAATTTAATATTTTAATAGAATAAATATGTATATTGAGTATGTAATCATTGTAACAATTAGAATAATGTAGAAATAAGCATATTGAACACATGAAAATTCCCTTTATTCATTTCTCCTCTTTCCCCACAGTCTTCCCCTTCTAATAGGTTAGCAACAAAGACTGGTGCATCTTTCCTCTATCTTTGCATTTATTCAATAAAAATAGTTTTTAATATGTAAAAGTGACCATCCCATATATATTATTCTTCCATTCACTTCTTCTCACTTAATAATTTTTTTAGAAATCTCCCCATCTCTGTACCTAAAGATGCTAATAACAGTTTACATATAACACTTATTATGTACCAGGAACAGTTTTACATGACCTAACATATCTAATGCTCAAAATAACCCTGTGAAGAAGGGTTATAGATAATAGAAACAGGCCCCAAGAAGTTTAGTAACTTGCCCAGATCAAAAGCTATTAAAGGTCATCACTTGCAATTGAACCCACATTGGGCATCTTCAGAACTCACACTTTTAACCACTCCACTGGACCATCTCTTTAACACCTTGTTCTTTCAATCACTATATGTTTTAAAATGTAAACAATACTACTTTAAAGGATATATTAGTCCATTTTCACACTGCTATAAGAACTGCCTGAGACTGGGTAATTTATAAAGGAAAGAGGTTTGATTGACTCACAGTTCCACATGGCTGGGGAGCCTCAAGAAACTTACAATCATGGCAGAAGTTGAAGGGGAAGCAAGGCACATCTTACATGGTGGCAGGAGAGAGAGAGACAGCACACAGAGGAAACTGCCAAACACTTTTAAAGCACCAGATCTCGTAAGCACTCACTCACTATCACAAGAATAGCATAGGGGAAGCTGCCCCCATGATCCAATCACTTTTTTTTTTTTTTTGAGAAAGACCAAAAAAAAAAAAAAACAAACAAACAAAAAAGTATACTTATGTATAATCATAGAGCCAAAGAGTTCAAAGTACCTCCTAAATTGGGGGTTGAGGGCCCCAGGCTCTGGTGGGCACTGTCTTACTTCCCCATTCTCATCCCTAGCATTGGCCTCAATAGGCTCCCTCTTGATTGTCTCCTAACAGTGGTTTGAACACTACCTGAGGGCAAGCCCTGGACTAGGCAAAGGAAATCAAGGGAAGAAAAGCTCTTGGTGTGGAAAGAGAGCCAGACAAACAAATAGGCATTATAATGCAGAAATACTATAACAGAAATTATGGACGACGTTTAAATTGCTCAGATGGAGTGATCTGACCGATTAACCACACAGTTTCACAGGCAAATTAGGTTTGTGGAAAAGAGCATCCTGTGATGCATAGAAACTGCTGTGGAACTTTAGTGCAGCTAAAGATGGGGTCCTTGTCACATGGCCACGAAAATTTAGGCTTGCAGATGATTTGAAGAGTGAGAAAAATGGGATTGATTGGGCAAAAAAGGGGAAACAGGGCAGAGCGAGAGTCCTGCTAGTACATCCTTCCTGCTTCGCAGATTGAATCCTGGGTTCCACCCAGGAAGAGGAGAGGCCAAGCTCCTCCCTGCTGCAAGGGGCATGAACTTCTGTGGCTCCACCCCAGTGGGCACTCATCTCAGTGCGCAGGCTACTTGGAGTTTCTCTGGGAACCCCTTCCCACCTGGCTGTCTCAAAACATTATCCTTGGAAACAGCCTTGTGACCTTGGACTAGCTGCTTTTCCCTCATATGTAAATTAGTAATGCTACTTCCTCATAAGTTTTAAAGGATTAAATGAGATGTCTATAAAATGCTCCCTATAGTTTCTGGCCCATTGGAAGTGCTCAAGGAAGAATAGTGATCATTATTAGCTGAATTTTATGACATCTGTGTATTCCCTTCTTTTACCCAAGTGGTAATTCTGTCAAAATCAGGAATATGGTTGATTGGGAATGACCTTGTTCTTGGTGAATCCCTACTGGTCCGTAGCAATCACTGCATTATTTTGTCAGAAGCCTTATTTAATAATATATACTAGCATTTTGTTTCCCTTTCACAAATGAGACATTTGCACATCTCTAATCTTCAAACATATCTCTGCTGGTTGATACTGCCAAGGTACATTAGTCAAGTATTTACATTCCTGATACAATCTTCCCAAGACACCCTCAGAACTTTTGCTAGTTCATGCATAAATAAATAATGCTGTTCGGTCACTTTGGTTTTTCTTGAAACTACTCCAGTAACTCCTTGTCAGTTGAGAAGTAACATCGCCATTTTAAAAGATGCTTAAGATCTCAAATTCTAATTGAAGTGAACTCTTTCCTTCATATGCAAAAAAAAAAAAATAGTGAACTTGCTAGTTCAAAAAATATAAAAATCAATGAGAAAGATTTAAGGAAGCAATTAATGAGATAATGTCTAGAATGAAGTTTGAGCCCCTGGGAAGAAATGTTTTTATATCCACAGAGCATTTTTATCATTATGT
Source organism: Homo sapiens (assembly GCF_000001405.40). NCBI lineage: Eukaryota > Metazoa > Chordata > Mammalia > Primates > Hominidae > Homo > Homo sapiens. Next base: position 67,201,934 of record NC_000003.12, on the reverse strand, counting down.
TTGTTCATGAGCCATGAATACAATTGAATTCTTCTGTGAAATCAGTGCCTGGAGGTAAGAAAAAAGGAAGAGTCAATATTTTGTCTTTACGTGCCCTGGAGTTCTTTGTTCAGATCTATTTGAATATTTATTTATAATTACTAATAGAACACAAAACCTTTTTAAAAAAGCATTTGACTAATCTCAGGTTAAAGAAAAGTGGATCTATCAACCACCTTCATTTTTATCCCTGAAACTCAGGCCTGTTTTTGTTCTAAAATTGGACTATAATTTTTAGGTTGGCTTTAAATTATTTCAGAAAGATTCTGAAGCATTCTTTATTTGTACCTTCACCTACTTCTTTATTGACTTTGTCATTTATTTAACAGACACTGGATTTCTGTACACCATCCATCCCCCTAATCTGGTACACTGTCTCCAAGTTACAGATAGACCAGAAAAACTAAAATAGAGACACCTCCTAAATTCAAAGTGATCATGCCTGGTTGTCATTATTCTCCATTTGACTGAAAGCAAAGATCATAGAGAACTTTTCAAAAGCACTAGTTCAGCTGTGGAAAATTCTAATCTTTTCATCCCTTCAGATAAATACAAATGATGGAGAGAGTGAACAAATCATTTAATCCTGAAACCCGTATTCTAGAGCAGTGCTCCTCAAATGTTAAGGAGCATACAAATCATTTGGAGATCTCATTAATAGTGATTCAGTATGTAAGGGTGGGGCCTGAAAATCTGCATTTTTAACAATCTCAAGCAATGCCTAGACTTTTTATTCATAGACCAAACTTTGAAATGCAAGGATCTAGAATGTTTTAAAGTTTTTAGACCAAAGACATCAGTATTTGAATTGAGTTACACACTTGGAAAATATGATAGTGCACGTAATATATGAAAGTTTATGTCAGAGTTAGAACATATTCAAAAGCAAGTTGTCAATGTAAGGAAATTATAACAGATTATTTGCCAAATTATTCCTTTGAAAATGCAATGCACCTATGGTGTTTATATAGACATTGGAAAAATAATTTGATACTGCTGAAATTCAACCAAAGATTTTAATGGGCTTCCCAGCTGCAAAGTTTTTGACTCATACTGCTTATTTTGGAGTAAAAATAACTGCTGATTATGCAAATATTTGATAGAAAAATCTTTATCAACTGATTTCTTATTTTTTTAAGATATGTATTTATCTTTTTAAAGGTATTTATTTCTTTTTTTTAAGATATTTATCCTTTGAACTGAAATAATTTTTTTTTTTTCTGAAGCATTATTATGCCAGGTGTGGTGGCTCATGCCTGTAATCCCAACACTTTGGGAGGCCAAGGCGGATGGATCACTTAAGGTCAGGAGTTCAAGATCAGCCTGGCCAATGTGGTGAAACCCTGTCTCTACTAAAAATACAAAAATTAGCCTGGCATGGTGGCATGTGCCTATAGTCTTAGCTATTCCAGAGGCTGAGGCAGGAGAATCACTACAACCCGGGAGGTGGAGGCTGCACTGAATCAAGATCACAACACTGCACTCCAGTCTGGGCAACAGAGTGAGAGTCTGTCTCAAAAAACAAAAAGTCTGAAGCATCATTTTAATAATTTGTCTAAAGAATGAATCAGAAAAGTCTGAAAACAGGAGAGGAAAAAAAATTCTCCATAAAAGGCACCTGCTGCACAATCGCTCTTATTACTTTCTTAGAATTTTCTTCTCAATTTTTTTACACATCAAGTCCTACATACAATCCATGTGTGGACAAATTTGTAACCTGCTTATTTTTCATTAGATTATATCTTAAGCATTCTACACATTATATAACCTTTTTACATTATCCCTTAAGCATCCTTCACATTTTAGTTGATATGCCAGAATTTATCTAACTGTCCCCTTTCATTGACAGTTCATTAGGTTGTGATTTTATAAAATATTGTAAAGCTTCTAATGTATTGGGTTATTTTACTCTATTATAGTAATTTCGTTAGTATACAGTCTCAGCAGTGGTATTGATGGAGCATATTTTCAGAGATGTCCCAAATTTGTTAAATGATTGGATAAAATAATATTATAACCTCTAAAATATATTGGCAAAATATTTTCTTAGAAGACATAGCCAATTTTCATGTCATCAGCAGTGGGTGACAGCACCAGGTTTAGGCTCAAATGTCGCTTTTATTCCATCCTTCTATGACGCTCTAAAGTAGCTCACTGCTGCTTCAAATTCTCCACCACATCACCTCTTTTGTTTCTTCAGTAGCACTTTAGACAATATGAAATTATTTTATGTGTAAGCTTGCATGGCATTTGTCTCTCCCCTTCTAAAATATAAGAAGCAACAGTAATAATGGCAACAATGTTGTCTGTATTGCTTACTGCGTGGCACGTTATAGATACTCACAGGATATTTAACAAATGAATCCATTTTGCAAATGTGTTAGAGAAATAAAAACTGTGCTTGGTTCTTTTAATTTGCCTTTTTAAAAATTACTACCCTCATTATTAATTTATAATTAGTTGTCCCTTCCCTTTTGTGAACTGTTTCTTTAAGTCTATGTAAATGCAAGTTTGGGCCATGAACATGTAATGTAACACATACAGACCAGCTGGACTCTACTTCAGGATGTGGATTTGGTATCTTCCTATAATACACTCTGCCCATGTAGAGTAAAGATATGTGTATCACCCAAAGTGACCAGAGATTGAAAGGGCATGGATGGATGTAATGAAGATGAAGTAATGGAGATGATGTACATTAAAATGAGCTTGAAAACGTATGACTAGGCACCACCATTAGGGGTGGGGGAGGGCAGGCAATTTTGTATTCTAGGGAACATTTGGCAATGCTTGGGGACATTTTTGCTTAGGAGAGGAGGTTGCTAGGCCATCCGTCAGGTAGGGGCCTGGGATAGACCCCCAACACACAGAAACCCTGGTCTACAATGGGACATGGACATCAATATTGTTTAAAATCTTCACAGATAATTCAGGTAATGTGCAGCCATGGTTGAGAGCCATTGGAATTTTGGAGAAATGGTTGTCAAATATGTTAGCTAAAGGAGCCTATTAAATTCCCCTGGGAGCATTTTAAAAATAGAGACTCTCTTTCCCTTATTCCCATCCCCTTCCCTCAATCTCTTTACCAGTAAGTCTGAAGTGGGATGGGGAATCTAGTGTTCAAAAGTTCTTCAGCTGATTCTAATGAATTTCTAGAGTTAGAACCACAAGTGAGAGTCTGAGTGATTCTCAGCTTAGGTGAGAGGATGATCATTTGCTCCAGCAAGTGTGCTTTTAGAAGAGTTCCCTACATGATTCTGCTAAGCACCTTCCCCTGCAGAGTTAAAGACTCAGTGCTTTGTTACAGCAGAGAGACCCTGTAGGTGTCAGGAGAGGGAAGGGAGGCTTCGGCCTGTGGGTTTCCAGCACAGAACTGTCTGTCTGGGTTGCATTAGAGTCTACAGACAGGAAGAAATGAGACCACATTTATGTTGGTAAAATAAAACCTGCCTGCAAAACTCACTTAGCTTTACCATTAAGCAGTGGTCACTGGTTCTCTTTTGCTGCCTGTGTCAAACACTGGAATTTGAAGCTTCCAAAAGTAGATGAAAGAGGAGACCACCTGGGAAATGGCTTGTTCCAGTTAACCCCAATCACTCAGAATAAAATTCCAACAAAGAGCTAGTCCTTTGTGTGACCCCTGCCCTGACTCCCTCTCTCAAATATTCTGGCCCTAGTGTGGACTGTGTTTAAAGATAGCTTTAAAATATGATCTAGGTTTCCAGACTCCCTAGAGTCCTCAGTGGTGCTCTTTGGCATCTTATCTGGGTCATCAAAGTGCTTGAGCTCATTCATAATTTATTAGCAAAGGTGCCTTTATACCACCTTCCAAATCACCAGAGCTGGGTGGATTTCAGCAGAGGCTGCCTGCCCCCAGTGCCTCGTGCCTTCACCCAGCTTAGGGTAAAGAAATGGCACTTTGATACATGCCTGTTGTGGTATATTGATCCTATTAACATTATCTCTTAGGAAAATCAATGTTTCAGTCTTACAGGAGATGCATAAATAAAGTGATACAAAATAAATCAAGGCCAATTGTTTCCTGATGGAAAAATGAGAGGTGAATTAAAACAATTTGAGATCTGCAGCAGAGGAGTATTTCTAAGCTCATGAAGATTTAGAAGGAATGAAAACTGGGGCTGTGTTTGGTAACTCACTGGTACTGGCTATTCCGCTTGTCTGAAAGACATCCTTACCCCAAGTGTTTGGTTTCCTAGTTGTTAATGGTGTTGCTTGGACTGTATGCTTTGGTCTGATTTGAAACCAACACTGTTTACTCAATTTTCCTGTCAGTTTTATCTTATTAAATAAAGCTTTGTCCCAACTGACCTAAGTGATAAAAAGAGATACTGGTAATCTTAATAAGGGTAATACTACTAAACTATTGCTGGAATGGCCTGCATATCTATTTATTTATGGGGTAATATACATTTTTAATGCTTTGCTTGTTTTGGGTATTATTATAGGCCCTAAGATACAATGATCACCAAGACAGACACATTCTCTGCCTTGTTGGAACTTGCCAGTTAGACAGGGGCACAGGCGGAAAACAAATACAATGTGATGCCAAATAATGACGGCTGCAGTAAGGAAAAGAATAAAGTAGAGTAAAAGGATACCTGGGAGGCCGAGGCAGGTGGATCACGAGGTCAGGAGATAGAGACCATCCTGGCTAACACGGTGAAACGCCGTCTCTACTAAAAATACAAAAAAATTAGCCGGGCGTGGTGGCGGGCTCCTGTAGTCCCAGCTACCTTGGAGGCTGAGGCAGGAGAATGGCGTGAACCCGGGAGGCGGAGCTTGCAATGAGCCGAGATCGCATCACTGCACTCCAGCCTGGGCGGTAGAGCGAGACTCCATCTCAAAAAAAAAAAAAAAGGGGGGGGATACCAAGTGAATGTAGCAGTTTATTCCAGAGGTTGGAGCAAGTCGCTCTGAGACGGTATAGAAGCAGAGACCTGGATCAAGCGAAGGAAAGAACCGCTTCAACGACAAACATATTCCCAGTATTTATCTCCCTGGGAGGCATCCAGTTAGACTACAAAAGGCCTGTGCTTTGGAAGCAGGAATCCTGGGGATCTGATGCTGGCTGCATTTCTGATTAATTACGTGACTTGGGGAGGTTAAGTGCTTTCTTTCTGTGTTCTGATTTCTCCAGGAAGAAGAGGGAAATACAGTCCTGTGCCACTTAATGGCGGGAATATGTTCTGAGAAATGCATCCTTAGGTAATTCTGTCATTGTAAGAACATCATAGATTGCACTTACACAAACCTGAAGAATATAGCCTACTACACACCTAAGCAATATGGTGTAGCCTATTGCTCCCAGGCTACAAGCCTGTACAGCATGTGCCTATACAGAATACTGTAGGCAATTTTAACACAACGGTAAGTATTTGTGTATCTGAACATATCTAGACATAGTAAAGGTACAGTAAAACCATGGTATAAAAGATAAAAAAAAGTCACACCCGTAGAAGGCACTTAACCATATACATAACTTGCAGGACTAGAAGTTGCTCTGGGTGAGTCGGGAGTGAGTGGTGAGTGAATGTGAACAGCCTAGGACGTCACTGTACACTACTGTAGACTCTCATATACTGTACACTTAGGCTACACTATATTAATTTTTTTAATTTTCTTTCTTCAATAATTTCCTTAACTTACTGTAACTTTTTACTATATAAATTTTTTAATTTTTTTAACTTTACAACTCTTTTGTAATAACACAGCTTAAAACACACATTGTACAGCTGTACAAAAATATTTTCTGTCTTTATATCTTTATTTTATAAGCTTTTTTCTATTTAAAAAATTTTTCTTTTTGTTTTTTAAACTTTTTATTAAAAACTAGGACACACACACACACACACACACACACACACACACACACACACATTAGCCTAGGCCTACACAGGGTCAGGATCATCAATATCACTGTCTTCCATTTCTACATCTTGTCCCACTGGAAGGCCTTCAGGAGCAGTAACATGTATGGAACTGTCATCTCCTATGAGGACAATGCTTTCTTCTGGAATAACTCCTGAAGGGCCTGCCTGAGGCTGTTTCAGTTAACTTTTCTTTCTTTTTCTTTTTTTTTTTTTTTTTTACAAGTAGAAGGAGGACACTCGAAAATAATGATAAAAAGTATAGTAAATACATAAACCAGTAACATAGCTATTTATTATCATTGACAAGCATTATGTACTGTACGTATTATATGTGCTAGACTTTTATACAAGTGGCAGCTCAGTACATTTGTTTACACCAGCATCACCGCAAACAAGTGAGTAATGCTACAGCAGCAGAATGGCTACAATGTCACTAGGTGACAGGACTATTTCAGCTCCATTGTGATCTCGTAGGACCACTGTTGTGTATTCAGTTCATTGACTGAAACATTGTTCTGGGGCACCTGCTGTATTCCCATGCCCCTTATAGGATGGTTTGAGATTTGAATGAGAGTCTAGTGTTTCAAACACAGGAACTAAAACATAGGCTCATGGAGAAGGCTAGTTCCTTTCTGCTGCGATGCTGGAGATGCAGGGAAATGGGTTGGCCGATATTTGAATCAGCACATGTCTATACAGGGACTGCTATGCATTCATTCGTTTAGTCAGAGTGTGTGTGAACACCTACTCTGTGCTGGCACTGTTGGCAGACTACAGTAAACAAGGCAAGCCCCTCGTGGGCCTATGCATCTCTTTGGTAGAATATGATCTATGAAAGTTTAGCATTTGGGGAATACGAACCCTGGAGGAGTACTGTGTGTGTACAGATTCTAGGTCCTGCCACTTAGTAGTTGTTAGATCTTGGCATATAAGGTAACTTCTTTATGCCTCAATTTCCTCATCTCATCTGTAAAATGGGATGATAAAACCTTCATAAGATTGTTAAGATAATCAAATGAGTTGCTATTTGAAAAACATTTAGCACAGGGTCTTCCACATGGTGAGTACTAGAAAAGTGTTTCGAGATTAAAAATAAGTAAAATTCCATGGGAAAGGTGCTGTTCTATAGAGGAAGCACGCTAATCTTCCGGTTTGTGCTAGACACTGTTGGGTGTTCTACGTGTATCATCTCATTTCATCATCTCAAAAGTTTACAGATGAAAAAAACTGAAACTCAAAAATGTTAAACACTGTGGCCCATAGTAACATGCATGGTTAGTGGGGCAGCTGGAATTTTAAACTAAGTTTGACTCTGAAGCTGTCACTTGTCCCATATTTCCTCCAAAAAAGGTTACTGAAGGCTACCGGGATGAGTGAAATGGGGTTCCTATCCCAAAAGGAATTAAAGTGGAGAGGCATAGCTGCTAAAGGTTTAAATGACTTGCACAGGATCTCACGGCTCATAATGAATCTAAATGCAAAGATTCCAACTCTTAAATCCAGGACATCTTTGCTATGCTCTTTGCACAATGGAATCCAGTAAATACTTACTAAATGTTTCTATATACAAAAAGAACAAAATAACCCCTAATGTGTTAGGGTGATCATAAAACACGGTTTACTCCAATGAATACCATGAGTATTCTCTAAGACGAGTGAACTGGAGAGAGAGCTTTCTTTAAAGCAAATTTTTATTTTAGAATATTTTAGATTTACAGAAAAAGCCTATTCCACAGGCTCCCACATACTTTTCATCATTTCCCTTATAATGGTAACATCTTGCATAACCATGGAACATTTATCAGAACTAAGACATTAACAATGATACATTTTTATTAACTAAACTACAGACTTTATTGAGGCACATTATGATCAAATTAGCAAAACTCAAAGAAAAAGAATACTCAAAGCAGCAACCTGCTTTTCGGAAGTCTATTCAGATTTCCCCAGTTTTCCACTAATGCCCTTTCTCTGGGATTCATTCCAGGATACTAAATTGAATTTAGGGAATCCCCTTTTAAACTTAAGAAATTTTAACTTGAGACCCCATTTACAAGTCTTACATTTTGATCATGGGGTAAAAAGAGACTGCGTCTCATTTAACAATTCCTTGTCTATTCAGAAAGGAAGATCTAGGTGCTTCTGAGTTTTGCATGACACAGTTCTTACACAGATTTGTTTCCCAGACTCAAGAAAAAAGGATCAACTAATCCCACAGTATAATCTCTACATTTCTTCATAACATTAAAAAAGTCAATAAATTCAGTGAGAAAAATCTACCAAAATGTCTTTCTTTTACTTTATTGATCTATTATGGCTAAGACAAAAGGAGTTTATCTATCTCTGTTAATTCATTGATCCCCAAGACAGATTTAACTTTTATTTTTAATGTACACCTCTAGAAATTATTCCATCCTGTGTTTGTGTGTATGTGTGTGTCTCAAAGTTGGAGTTATTCTAAGGGTGATGAAGGAACACTGGAGAGGGCAATTGAAAGAGGTCTTTACAAGATTCACATTCATTTTTATTACACAATTTTGTCTGAAATATTGGTTAAATTAGATACATAATGTGACCCTAATGTATGTATTTGCATTTATGCAATAGCTTTTTAGTTTGTTTTTAGCAGAGGTCTTGCTGACTTTGCAGTACAAGAAAGGTTGCTTTCACATGGTTGAATGATCTGAGCATCTTTCTCCAGTGTATTAAGCAAGAATGGGTTTGTCTTCTCACCAACATGGTGCCATTAGTCTTTAACATCTTGTGTATTTGTGTCAACAAAATTAATTATGACCATTTTGGAAGAAAAGTAAAACACAACACAACTTTAATTCATGCTGAAGCTTCTAGGTGTTTTCCTTGTAGGAAGAAGCTTGAGGGAGAGTTTGCCATTTGATAATTCATATAGTTTTTCCCTGACTCAGTCATTTTTTTCGTTTTGTTTTGTTTTTTGAGATGGAGTCTCACTCTGTTGCCCAGGCTGGAGTGCGATGGCACAATCTCGGCTCACTGCAACCTCCGCCTCCCGCATTCCAGCAATTCTCCTGCTTCAGCCTCCCGAGTAGCTGGAATTACAGGCACCCACCACCACCCCCACCTAATTTTTGTATTTTTAGTAGAGACAGGGTTTCACCATGTTGACCAGGCTGGTCTCGAACTCCTGACCTCAGCTGACCCACCCACCTTGGCCTCCCGAAGTGCTGGGATTACAGGCGTGATCCAACGTGCCCGGCCGACCCAGTCTTTTTTTATTACGCGATTAGTCTTCAAGTGCTGCTTTCAGTCATTGTTTATCTGTGGGAGTTAGATTCCTCTTGTGCAATAGGAATTTAGAGAGATTCTTACTGAACTAGTAAAGATTCTTTAGGTAGACTCTCTTTTATTGTAACCTGGAAGCAGCTGTCTTGAGAAATAAAGATAAAGATGTGGAAACTAGTCAAATTGGAAATTATCCCCCAACCCCAAGCCACAATTCCTTGATGATTTCACTTCCCTTTAGTGAATTCCTCATTTGTTACAATTCATACTCTTGATGCTGGCATTGAGATCCTTGAGTGTACAATCTGAGAAAGGCCATGCTGGAGGACTCTTTCTCTTTACTCCTCACCTAAAGCTGTGACCCCACCTAAGTTGGTCACTTCTTCATCCCCGATACCTTCATAACAATCCCACATGTCTTCAGCTTTATTTCTGCATTCCCAAAACGTCTGATGTTTTTTTCCTTCTGTCTCTCTATGTAGTTATTTTCATTCTTCAAGAATCATTTCAGGTATTTTTCTTAATTCCCTTTATTCATCCATCCTTGAGAGGAAGTCTTCATGATAGAGACTATGCATTCTCAGAGGGGCAATGTTATTCCCAAGAGAGCAAAAATTGGCTTGGAGATGGGCACAAGAGAATCATATTCATTTTATGTATAAAGTACAGATATACATCCAAGGCATAAACATGTATACAGTACGGTCATTCCCTGGTATCTGTGGGGGATTGGTTCCAGGCCTCCCTGCAAATAACAAAATCCATGGGTGCTCAAATGTCTGATATAAAATGGTATAGTATTTGAATATTATCTACCTGCATCTCCTGTATAAATCATCTCTAGGTAACTTATACACAATAAATGTAAATGCTATGTAAATAGTTATACTGTATTGTTTAGGTAATAATGATAAGGAAAAACTCTGTACATGTTCAGTACAGACACAGTTTTTCTTTTTAAATATTTTCAATTCTTAGTTGGTGGAATCCACAGATGTGGAACCCACAAACACAGAGGGCTGACTGTATATCTGTCTACTAAAATTTTATGGAGAAGGCAATCAGGAAAAAATATCTGAAAGGTCTCCTTAGGCAGACAATATTGAAAAAACTTGAAAAACACTGATATAAACTATTACTTGGGTATGCATTGTTTCCAGCAAGAGGGTTCATCTCTCTAGCAGCTATGCCCTCTCAGTGTCCTGAGTAAATGAAACAGGGGAAGCAGATAAAAGATAACATTGGCAACATTATGGGACTCAGGCAATGCCCCATTCCACAATCTCCCCATCACCATACTAGAAAGAAATGTTTTTGACGTTATCTTCTCCGCGCTTTTGTGCTTTCTGATTTACAAAACCATCAGTAAGTTTTGTCATTGTCATTGTGTTTAAATATTCCAAGTTACCAAATTTTATATGATTATATGCCTGGACTTAGTGGACAAAATAGAAATGTTTTCTAACAATTACAGGGAGTAACTGTAAGAATAACTAGAAATAAGGGAAAAATTGTTGTGTAAATGCCAAAACCACAAGGAGAAGTAGGGGAGACCCCATTCGGATACCGTCACTTCCAACCTCACTATTCCTGACCACCTCCCAGAAAACTGGAGCAAATGAAATGCTTTCCCAGCCACTCATTTGGTCAGGGGTGGTCATGTGCCATATCTAGGAGAAAGTTGCTGGTGATAAGGATGATAGTTTTGGGAGCAAGTTCGTTTTCTTATTACAAAAGGCAACTGCGCTTGTCTCTTTCTCTTTTTATTCTGGCATTGGATGCAAATATAATGTCAGGATCTGGCAGCCATCTTGCAAACATGAGGCAGCAAACCCAGGGATAAAAATCCAGCATGCTATGGATAGCAGGGTGGAAAGAAAGGAAGAATCTGGGAAGACATCATTAAATAGCTGAGCCAGTGCCAGGGGCTGGGTTGCCCTGCTGTTCCATGGCATAATACATGTCTGTAATACTTGACTCACTCTTAGTAGGGTTTGCTAGTACTCGAAGCTAAATGCATTTGCAGTTGATACAGGAGATAATGTCAGTTGATGAGGAAGAAGAGATGAATATTTTTCTGCCATAACTGCTAAGTGGACATTAATCCTGTAGGTGATTCCTATAATATCAGGCCTCTGCAAACTTAGCTCATTAATATTTCTTGACAGTGGGAATACCGTACCTTGTTGGTAGTTATTCTGTATGTTGCAGTTCAAAGTAGATTGGAAGCTCTCAAAAGGTGGACACAGTTTCTGAACATCTTTCCCACTAATAATGTCCTTGATTATGTTTTGCATATGTGGAATCTGGGTGTCCTTAAGCCCCTGAGATAACCCCCTCACCACCCCTGGATTAGCCCAGTAGAAAGGAGGAACAGACTTTTCTCCATCATCCCCCTCGCCAATGCTCTATGCTCACCTCTCAGTTAAACAAAACTGCAGAAGCATAATTCAACACCGAATGAAGACAAATGTTTGCAATATCATACAGGAAAGTTTAACTCTCTCTAATCTCAGTTCAACTCCTGGCCACTCCAGTCAAGTTTTGCCTTTGCGTGATCAAAAGTCCTGCTGAAGGGTTTATTTTTTTTCTCTCTCTCTCTATGGGATAACAATATACTACCACTAACAGATAATCTGCTGGTAGTTATAAAATAACATTTTGTTCCCACATGCGTAAATAAATATTTCAGAATTACTGAGATTAAACCTCAGTTACAATGTTTTAAATACATATTTTAAAGAAGATATCTTTATTATTAATGTAATTATTTAACAGGTTCATAGGTGAGGAGATTAGGAAGACTTTCAGGTCACCTTTTCTGTCATAAAAAAATTAGAAACTAAAGAAAATAAGGAAGAAAGTGAAAACTAATTATGACAATATTACCTAGAGATATTTTTTGGGTGCAAAATTGTGGTTTTTGCATACATATATATGAATATATGTCATATATATGGATTTCAATCTGATAACTATATTTTTATTAATAAGTTATTAACATTTTCCTAATTCATTAAATATTCTGTGACAACACCTTTTTCAATGATGGCATAAGATTCTATGGAAATATAATTTATGTTAAAAAAAGCTCAATTGTTAAACCTTAATTTTCTCTTAATTTTCATCAATATAAATATTGCTAGTAGGAATACTTTTTATATAAATCATTGGGCGTAATTTAGAGTCATCTTAAATAAAATCTCTGGGTTTTCTTCTAGCAAATTGTAATCTGGAATTCATCAGAATAAAGTATGGTTTTATTCTATACTCAACTCTCATATCAAATGAATGTTATTTTATCTAAGGTTGTGCCACTCTTTATTGAGAGCATCAATCCAGTTTCTTCCAGATGTTAATATTTCTATGTTCTTGAGTTTCTGAACTTTCAGACTCCTTTAGGTAAAGTCAGTCTTTGTTCTGTAAGCTTTAGTAATCATTTAGTGTGTTAACCAGGCAACAGTCCATATTGCCAAATGACAAAGTGTCTGGGTTTCTTGTGAGGTTTCCTAATTTGGTACATTTAAATTATAGGAGTTTCATTTTCCAGGCAGTTTGACCATCAAGATTGTCAGTGCCGAATAGATGCATTTCTGCTTTAATGTTATTTTGTGTCTATCAGGCAGTAATGGTTTTCTTTTATAATTGGTTTATAACTCATTTCATAATCATAAAGTTATTAATGAGAAAGAGAATGCTGGCTTGGGCAGCAAAACGTGGTAATGTTACATGTAACAGATCCAAAGAGTAAAAGTCTTGGTTGAGTCAACTTTTGTAAATAATGCTTCTTCTGGTTTTGTTTAATCTAGAACTCAATCATATTTATGTTTTTAATCTTTCTTTATAATCATAATAAAAATGCATTAAAATTATGCAAAAATTGAAAACACAGAAAAAATATAATGCAAAAAATAAAAATTAGCCACAATTCCACTTCCCAAGGACATAACTGAAAAAGTAGTATATTTCCATCAAGTCATTTTTCTGTCTTTACTTAAAATAAAAATATATATGCTTTTTTAACTTCTTATATTCTAACAACTGCTTCATTTTACTAAAAATTCTTCAAAAACACAATTGTAATAGCTGCATAATATCCCAGTGATAACCATAATTTAATCAATTTTTCTATTGAGAGATGTTTATACTCTTTTAAATAATATTTCACTACCAAAAAGAATTCTGAAATGAACATCTTTGTCAAAATATTAACCTAATTCTATAGGGTTGATTTCCTAAAGTAGAATTACTAGATCAAAGAGTATGAACTTTTATTAGGCTCTTGTAACATATAGGCAAATTGCTTTCCAGAAAGTAATTCACAGTCACATCACTGGGTAAAGAGATTATCTGTCACCATACCCATGTCAGCTGAGGTTTTTTTTAATGTTGACTAATTTAATAAATATTGTTACTAAGCAGTTTCATAAGTTTATTGATTATTTGTGCTTCATCTGTGAAATATTAATTCATGTGTTTCTGAGAACAAGAAAGTTGACTATAATAGTCATGGGGGGTACTGAAAAAACGCTTACTTGAGGATCATTGAAATTAACTTTGTCATAAATTATATACATACTCTACTAGATAAACAACTCCAATGCTGTTCATTGGAGATGGATGAAAAAGGTCTAAATGTTAAAAAAAGAAAACCAAACAGTTCTGAGGGACACTAGGGATAATTTTTTCCAATAAATCTTGAGAAGTGGGAAATTTGGCTATAGATTCAAGATTGCATCACAATAATTGATTGTAATGGTTTTGAAATGTGAAAACATGAGATTTGGGAGTGGGCAGGGGTGGAGTGGTATGGTTTGGCTGTGTCCCCACCCAAATCTCATCTTGAGTGGTAGCTCCCATAACTCCCACATGTTGTGGGAGGAACCCAGTTGGAGACAATTGAATCATGGGGGGCGGTTTCTCCCATAATTTTCTCATGGTAGTGAATAAGTCTCACAAGAGCTGATGATTTTTATAAGGGGTTTCCCTTTTCACTTGGCTCTCATTCTCTCTTGCCTGCCACCATGTAAGACATGCCTTTCACCTTCCTCCATGATTGTGAGGCCTCCAAAGCCATGTGGAACTTTGAGTCCATTAAACCTCTTTTTCTTTATAAATTACCCAGTCTGAGGTATGTCTTTATCAGCAGTGTTAAAACAGACTAATACAGTAAGTTGGTACTGGGAGTGTGGTGCTCCTGTAAAGATAACTGAAAATGTGGACGCGACTTTGGAACTGGATAACAGGCAGAGGTTGGAACAGTTTGGAGGGCTCAGAAGAAGACAGGAAAATGTAGGAAACTTTGGAACTTCCTAGAGATTTGTTGAATGCCTTTCACCAAAATGCTTATAGTGATATGGACAATAAAGTCCAGGTTGAGGTGGTCTCAGATGGAGATGAGAAACTTGTTGGGAACTGGAGCAAAGGTGACTCTTGTTATGTTTTAGCAAAAGGAGTGGTGGCATTTTGCCCCTGCCCTAGAGATCTGTGGAACTTTGAACTTGAGAGAGATGATTTAGGACATCTGGTGAAAGAAATTCCTAATCAGCAATGCATTCAAGATGTGACTTGGCTACTATTAAAAGCATTCAGTTTTATTCATTCACAAAGGTATGGTTTGGAATTGGAACTTAGGTTTAAAGAGCAAGCAGAGCATAAAAGTGCAGAAAATTTGCAACCTAACCATGAGATAGAAAAGGAAAACCCATTTTCTGAGGAGAAATTCAAGCTGGCTGGAGAAATTTGCATAAGTAATGAGGAGCCAAGTGTTAATCACCAAGACAGTGGGGAAAATGTCTCCAGGGCATGTCAGAGGTCTTCATGGCAGCCCCTCCCATCACAGACCCAGAGGCCTAGGAGGAAAAAATGGCTTCCTGGCCAGGCCCAGGGCCTTGCTACTTTGTGCAGTCTTGGGACTTGGTGCTCTGCATCCCAGCTGTGGCTACAACAGACCAACGTAGACCTCAGGCCATTGCTTCAGAGGGTTCGAGCCCCGAGCCTTGGAGGCTTACATGTGGTGTTGGGCCTGTGGGTGCAAATAAGTCAAGAATTGGGGTTTGGGAACTTCCACCTAGATTTCAGAGGATGTATGGAAATGCCTGGATGTCCAGACAGAGGTGTGCTGCAGGGGCAGGACCCTCATGAACAGCCTCTGCTAGGGCAGTGCAGAAGGGAATTTTGGGGTGTGAAACCCCACACAGAGTCCCCACACTGAGGTACTGCCTAGTGGAGCTATGAGAAGACGGCCACCCACCATCCTCTAGAACCCAGAATGGTAGATCCACTGAGAGCTTGCACCTTGCACCTGGAAAAGCCACAGACACTCAACGCCAGCCCATGAAAGCAGCCAGGAGCAGGGCTATACCGTGCAAAGCTACAGGGCAGAGATACCCAAAGCTGTGGGTCCACCTCTTGCATGAGCGTGACCTGGATGTGAGACCTGGAGTCAAAGGAGATCAAATTGGAGCTTTAAGATTTGACTGCCCCACTGGATTTCAGATTTGCATCGGGCCTGTAGCCCCTTTGTTTTGGCCAATTTCTCTTATTTGGAATGGCTGTATTTACCCAATGCCTGTACCCCCATTGTATCTAAGAAGTAACTAACTTGCTTTTGATTTTACAGGCTCATAGGTGGAAGGGACTTGCCTTGTCTCAGATGAGATTTTGTACTGTGGACCTTTGAGTTAATGCTGAAATGAGTTAAGACTTTGGGGTACTGTTGGGACAACATGAATGGTTTTGAAATGTGAGGACATGAGATTTGGGAGGGGCCAGGGTAGATATGGTTTGGCTATGTCCCCACCCAAATCTCGTCTTAGAACTGTAGCTCCCATAATTCCCACATATTGTGGGAGGAACACAGTGGGAGATAATTGAATCATGGGGATGGTTTCTCCTATAATGTTCTTGTGGTAGTGAATAAGCCTCATGAGATCTGATGATTTTATAAGGGTTTCCTCTTTCACTTGGCTCTCATTCTGTGTTGCCTGCTGCCATGTAAGAAGTGCCTTTTACCTTCTGCCATGATTGTGAGGCCTCCCAGCCATGTGGAACTGTGAGGTCCATTAAGCCTGTTTTATATATATTGAAACAGGCATATATATATAATGAAAAATTGGTGAGCAATCCTCTCTAAATTCTTATAAGGGTCCTGGAGCAAATTTCTCACAAGGACCCCAGAACAGCTTTTTCAGCCATACGTTCACAGACCGGTTTGATTACTGCTGTCTTTCCGGATGCTTTTAATTTCATCATCATTACTTAATATTCATTAAAATCTGGCCATGCTAATTGAGGGCTTTACCAAATGACCCAACAAGAACTTGTGTTAATACCTCTTCCCATTAACCGTCACCTTGATGGGCTCAGGAAACAACACAGACAGGAACAAGGACCCAAAGTCCCTGTTGCAGTTACGGATTGATTCATTTAATTTCTTAGACAATTCTTCCGCAGGGAAACTGGACAATATGTGGTCTTGGACCTTTTGCTTTCACATGTAAGGGTTTCCATCTGCCTCCAAATTATCAATTAGGGACAATGTAACTAAAATTTAGATTGCAAAATATTTTTTCTTCTTCTTAATGGCTTCTCATAACAACATAGCCTTTCCTTTTCTAACAAAAAAAAATCATTTTGAGTTTTTGTTTGGTTTGGTTTTGCCCTTCCCAGATTATCCTATAATATTAGATGAAATTATAGAAAATACCAAAGTCTGGCAATACTACTTGAGATACCTTCATGATTGTATTTTAAGCTCAGTGATCTTAGTGTCTCCTAGATGCTACATTGCCTAAAAGACAGCCAAATGTGTATATGGCAGATGGTGGGGGTATGGAGGGGAGGGACTTTAATTACAACACTGAAAAAAAACTGTTAAGACATGTAATTTTCAGATGGAGTGCTGAATCATTCATATTATAACACCATGATGATAGCTTTCATCATTTAGTCATCCTTATGGACCATATCAATCTATTTCCACTCACTAATATATTAATCCTATTTGGCTGTTCATTTAAATGACATTGATACAACTGCCCAGTCATGGGTAAGATTTCTCTCTTGTAAGTGAAGTTCCACTAGGTTATAAATAGCTAATAACTCTCCAAACTTCTCTGGTTTACAGGAGAAATAATTTAATGAAGGCTCAGATTACTTTGTGTAGCTTTGTTAATGTAAATGAGTAATGTGTATTGATTTTTCACAGCTTAAAAATCTTTTTATTCATCTTGTGCAAGAAAGTCTGTTAAGGAATTATTAATGACAGGATAATTGCTTTAAGATCTATGCCCTAATTAAAACAGTAAATTCTTTATTACATCTTTATTTTAATTAGATGTACAGAAAGACAATAGTTTTTACAAGAAACCCCTTGTAAAATAAAATTACCTCATTTAGAAATGCTTCAAAGAACCTGCAGTGGTGCTACTCAGAGTCTATGAAAAACCAAAACCAGAGTGATTCTACTTCCAGTCAAAATTGAGATGCCATTTAACTGAAATTAACAATGTTAAATAGACGATTTTACAATTTTGGTTAAGTACAATTCACCTATATCAGTATATTTCTGCCTCTACTGTTAAAAAAAATCATTTCTTAAAAGTAGGGATTTTCTTAAAGTTTAACAAGCTCAATGAAAGATGAGGAAAATGAGCCTATTGTCATGAAAATGAAAATTATATCAACCTGAGATAATTTGTTTTTGTAGTTGTACTTTGCTCTGTTTCTTCAGTTTGCAAGAAGATGCATTTTAATGATTTGTCCTGAGTTGTATGTATTGAAAAACCAAACCAAAATCAATAATGACCTTTCATTTATCATGTCTTTCTTTTCTACCTGTTTTTCTGTCTTCAATTTATATGCACGATTAACTGAAGCCATGAATGCTTCCCTGTGGAGTATGATCACTGACTTGAAAGACGGTGGGTGAGATAACATTTGAGTGTGGACCTTGTGCTAAGCACTGTGTTAGGACTTTTCACACTTGTTATTTAATCCTCACAAACACCAAACTTTGGTGCAAAAGTCATTGTGGTCTTTTCCCTTAAAGGTAATGGCACCTTTAATTAAGGTAATTGCAAAATTAATGACTTTTGCACCAAACTAATATGAGTCCCATTCAATGGAGAAAGGAACTGCCACCACTTTGATCATCTAAACCAGGAGTCAGAACTACAGAACTACAGCCTGTGGGCTATATCCAGCTTACCATCAGATTTTATAAAGTTTTATTGGAACATAGAGACACCCATTTGTTAGGTGGTGTCTATGCCTGCCTTCATGTTACAATGACAGCATTGAGTAGTAGAGTGAGAGATATTCTGACCTACAAAACCTAAAATATTTACTATCTAGCCCTTTAGAGAAAAAGGTTGCAGATCCCTGTTATAAAGCAAGAAACCTGGAACTGCTTACACAATCAAACCTCCTCCCATTCAGCTCCAATCCCACTGTGCAACACATTTTGCTTAAAATTATCCATCTGCCTTTTCTAGCATGCTCTTCAGACTTCATTTATTTCTTTTTTCATTCCTTTATTTTGACACTCTTCATATACGGGCCTTTTTCCTTTGAGCAACATCTCATCTCCTTTCTTAATAGGCTGAAATAACTTCTTTCTAGCTGATTTCTCTCTTAGCTGTCATTATTTATTTAACTCTAATCATGTTATTTCACTCAATACAGCATTTTGGACCTCAGCTAGTAAGAGGATGATTATAGCAAAGTATTGCTTCATGTTGCTCCTCTTGTTACCTGAGATTTTTCCCTTTAATTTTCCCAGAGCATAGATTGTCTGACTGCTGGGGAAAAAGTCACAGACATTTACAATTTAGAAAGTCCACAATTATCACATAATGAAAACCAGATCAAAGCAGCACTGTGCCCAGTTACATACTTCCTTGCATGTAGAGAAAAGGGAGAGCCATGGGGTAGAAAGGGATGTTCCTGCCCTGAACATATTAGCCAGTGGATAGTAAAATGCCTAACAGACACTGTACACAAACACTGCTTGTTATACAGCAAAAGTTGGCCAACTCCAAATTTACCTTCAGCAAGTTCAGTTGTGTGGACTAATTTATTAGTTCTCCAAAAGAAGAGACCCAACCAGGCTTCCATGAATAGACCCTGAGGGGTTTGTCTACGAGAAGAAGAAGGCCAGAGAAAGTCTAATTAGTCAAAAAGTGGTTAAAGGTTGTGAAAATTGGAAATAATCTAAGATGGTCAAGAATAGAACATTAAAAATAGAATATCCATAATGTGGAATACTATGCAGTATGACTGATACTGCAGAAGAAATTTCATGATACGGGGATATAGCAGGTTCTTAAATGCTTATGTCTAATTTTGTTAATAATTTAAATTTTGTTTAATATATACATATGTATAGGGAAAAAGCAATACATACCACAATATTACACACAGTGGTTATCTTTGGGTAACAGAGTTATTACTGACTTTATTGTTTTCTTTTTTGTATTTTTTCAATATGCATTACTTTTATAATCATAATGTGTTTCTTTTTATGATATAAAAAGGATACAACTAGGAATGCCATGGATAATCAGAAGGAAAAAATGAGATGTTCCTACCCTTAACTGAATTTGAAGAGTTTTGGTAAATGTGTGGTGTTTCCACCCTAGGGGCTGAAATCTATCTTAGAAGCAGATTGCCTTCACAGGTCTGTTAAGAGAAAGGATTTTGGTTGTTTCCTCCTGAATGTCAAGAAAGCTAGAGTAAGCATATACTGTCATTAGTCACTGGAGTACTTATTTTGAAGGTCTTTGGGGTTCCCAAAACTGTCTATCGACTATGGTCTTTCTTCTTTGCAAGACTTATCTAAGGTTCTTCCCTCAGTCTTTCTGCTCACCCTTTTCTTATTGGACCAGCTAAGAAAGTTACTTCTTCCCTGTATTGCTAGCAATCCCTTCCATTTCTCACCAATCAGTACTCCCTTCCTGGACCAATAACATTTCTATAACTCTTACTGGGTTGGACTATACTTGCCTCTCTCTCTCTCTTTCTTCCCTACAACACTGAAATCAAGACCAGGTTTAAGTCATATTTCTGATGCTTTGAGTAAGTATTTGAATTGCCCATAGTAGCCCAATAGCTCCGCTCAGCAAAATTTGATTTCCATTGGCTTTCCAGCTCAGTTCTTAGATATGTCCCACCCTCTTCCTCCCCAGTCAAAGTTCTTGGTAATAACCCAGATGCATGGCTACGAATGGAAGGTATGGTGGGAAAAGAGCTCCACTAGAGCACATTTTTCTAAACTGTCACATTTTAACAATTTTGTAAGGTAATATATTGACACCACATTGGGGAAGACTGCAATGAAAAGTTGCTAGAGAAAACAACAGTGATATGTAATTGAAACATTAGTATTTGTCCAAGAGACTCATAAAGAAGGTAATCAAATGATAGTGCCATTTTACATGTGTCCTCCTCTACAAAGTGTACCACCACTGACATGCCCTTACCCCATGCCGACCTTCCTCATGGAGGTTCTTCCCTCAACCCTTGCATGAGTGGGCCCTCTTAAAAATTACCCACCCTGACCTTATTACCTACGTTCCTCTCTGCTCATCTGCCAGGCCTATATAATTTCCAATTTCAGGATTTTGTTGAGATGTTCTTTGAGGCCTAGTAAAAAATGTAGTCTCTCTCTAGGAAATAAATTTTAACACATAGCTATGAAAGCAAAATTTTCTATTATATTTCCCAACTCTTCTATATCCTTAGTTTTTGGTCTGCTTTATCTGCTAAAGATTGAACAAAGTGTGTTAAAAAGCCCCAGTAAGTAATTTTTATGGTAAATGAAGTATTTAAGCTAGACAAGGCCTTTAAATTCAAGAAGGAATTAGAGAAAAAGGAATGAGATGGGGCCCTTTGGACACCTCATTAATTCTACAACACAGGAGACTGACTCCCTTTTATGCTTATACATGATCTCCTCACAGGTGTTGAGGTGTACAGTAAAACAGAGAAAGAAGAGAGAGAAGGATGGGAAGGGGAGGAGTCCCTAATGAAGAAACTCAGTGTTAACCTGTTTGTGGAATACCTGTTATTCTTGGGCTTTTCAAAGTAAGGCTACTATCTTATTCCTAATCAGAATGAAAAAGAAAAATACTAATTTTTGGACTGTTAATCAGCCACATTGATGCTGTATTAAATTGTTATGATTTTCTGCTCTCCGATGAGGTAGTATTGTCCACTGGATTTGTTTTCTGTCCTTGACCTCACACTAACCACAAAACACCCCTGGTCTTATATCCCAAATCGAAATGAAATCAGAAGATAAGCCCAACAAAAAATCAGACAGCCATCTCTAGAGGCCCTACATACTCTGTCTCTTTTTCCATAAGTTCATTCTGTTTAATTTGCATGAGTACTTTAGGAGAACAGGCAGGGGTGTTACCTTCACAGACAGTAGGAAATTACATTTCCAAAATGGGTCCATGTATTTGACCATCAGGGAAAGAGAGGAGGAAGATTTATAAATTTGTGGTCTCTTGGAAACAAATATCCTTTGTGAGGCATGCGTATTTTTAGTTAGCCATTCCTTTGAAGTCTCAACTCAATTTTTGCAGAGAGTTAAACTAGGATAATAATAATGATAATAATTAATACTTGTAAAGTGTTTGCTACATTCTAGGCACTTTCTGAGGCATCTTACATATATTGATATATTTACATCTCAATTTTTTTTAACTATTTGAGTAATGAGAGAACTGAGGCACAGAAAGACTTGTCTAAAGTTAAACAACTTGTATGTGACAGAGATAGGATTTGAGTTACGGTGGTTTTCTGTTGACCATTAGGCTATTCCATTTCTTAAATATGAGGGGAAAGAAGCATTTTCAATGGCTGTCAAGTGTGTTCAGGTCTGTATTATCTGCAGGCAAAATTCAATTCAAGAGACAGTTTTGAGATTCAGTCATTTGTGGGACACTAGGCTGAATGCTGTGGCATTATTTTTTCTAAAAGAGAAAAAACATTTCTTGTTTTAGATTGCTTAGTGTTTAGTAAAGAGATTAAGACAAACAAAACCTACAAAGCAAGAAGAAATTTCATGTTAGAAGATTCAGCAAAACGCTGTGATGGTTCAAAGTTAGACAAGATGCAGTGGTCTTTCATAAAATTTAGTGAGATTGTGTTTTATCTTTTCTTATAAGTTACAGATTCTATCTATTGTGTTTTCCAGTGTTCAGTATAAATAAATAAGGATTTATTGTAATTTACACCACAGAGGTAAGCCTAAGCCATTGACAGTGTGTAACCCTTAATCCCAAGGTTTGTGTTGACTAAACATGCTTTAGTACTTGCGTGAAGCCGTAAAACAAGGCTAAGGTAGGAGACAGTGATGGGTCATAAATTGCAGCTTATTTATTTTTTTAAGTTAAATGATCTGTCTAGCTCTTTTTCTTAAAATTATTATTTTATTTTTTATGTCTTGCTCTGAGTCTTAGATTTCCCCAAATATAAGATTATAGAGTACTTTCTGGTGTTTGAGACATGAGCTTAGTTTGTTTCCTAGGCAGTGCCTTAAATATTTCTGACAGTTTCCAAACCTCAACACAATGCAAAGTGTTAGGCAATAACACATGTCAAGCGCACACACAATGGCTGTCTTAGAGGAGGGCACAATTATTATTGGTCATTATTGCAAAGTTTTGGGGGCTGGAGGTGTGTGTGTATGTGTGTGATCCCTATCAAGCTCCAAATCCCAGAAGCCATTTCTATCACACCCTCCTGACTTGGAGGAGCTCTAAATCACATGGCAAGGGCAGAGAAAGTGTGTCTGGCAAAGAAGAAAGCATAATACAAAGTTCAGAAACTTTAAGTCATTTGGGGCAAGTTCAAATTATTAAGTTTGGTTGAAATATGGAACAAATTGGTGGACTAATTGTGGACATGGACTAATGAAATAAAAGTTGGTATTTGGCTGTATTTTGTGACTTTTAACATTCGTGTGTCACTTTCATCTGAAAGAAAAAAATATTATCTGAGAACAATGTGACAAATGTGGCTTTTTAATATAGTAAGCTTGCCTAGAAGTTAAAGAGTAATAGAAAATGAAATTGTGTCTTAATCTTTAATCTACTTTGCCTGTTGTATTTTGTTCCAAGCTCATTTTTACCTGATAACTTAGCTTGCCCCACACTAGTTAGTATTTAAATCAATTTAAATACAAATGTAGGTAAAACATAATTGTGTCTAGAGGGGATTAGATATATAACATATTTCACAGTTAAATTTAAATCATTTTAAATTATCTGCTAGTTTGGATTATTGACCATATACTTTCAGATATTGCAAAAATAATAATCAAGATTAGACTTACTGAAATTCTGAGTTTGTCTTCAAGGTGTTCATCTCCCAAGGTATACAAGCAGCATGAATAATTCCAATGCATGTGTCGGTTGTACAGTATTCCAGGATGGAGGCATTCAATAGGAGCTAACTGGGGATTCTGTTTTCCCCGCCTCAGGGTGAATACTTTCTTCATAATGTAGAAATATATAACTAAATATGAATAGCAACTTACATGAATGAAATATATTTTTCTTTGTAAAATAAGGTGACGGTGATTAAAAGCAGGACTTAAAGTTCCTTGTGGTTTCCTTTCGAAGTCCTACTCTATTTAAAAACAATAACAACAATAATAAATACCTGTACCTACAGCACAATACACTCTTATATCTGTTAAAATATTAACATGTTTAGGTATTTAAATACTTTATTAAAATACAGTTACCAGTCTTATTTCTTTCGAGTACAACACTTAATGAATCTAAATAATCAAACCTTTGAGAGAACAACACACACTCGTCCATGAGTAAATTTATAATTCATAAGGTATAAGCAGACTGAGTCTGTTGCTATGCAGACATAGCAGAATCTGTAGCTATGAATTGTTGATGGCCATTGAAAAGGCACATATATAAGGAACCATCTTCTTTTAATTATAAAATATTTTCTGTATCAGAAGAAAAGCATATCTGAATTCATTACAATAGTCACATGTGTAACATACATCTCCAGTCTTCTTTGCTGAGTTTAGTGGTATCAGAGGAAGGTGGCAGAGGGGCCATGGACTTCAGCAGTGACAGCCAGCACCACATCCCAAAGATCTGGCAGGGCCAGGCATACCTCACCATATGCCAGAATGGGATGGTGAGGGACCCTTGGAGCAAGGGCCTTCTACTTGGAGGCCAGTAAGGATCAAGAATAGCACAGGAACCAGAAGGATATGGACATCCTTCCTCTGATGTTGGGACAGTACCTTGCCCCATCTTCAAGAACCTAGAGAGGAGAATCCAGAATCAATGAGGCTAAAATACCAGAAACATAGTTACCTTGGTGGGATCGTATTGACATGAACGATGAGACTTTAAACTAGAAGTGATGAGAAATACTATTTTTTGAAACATCAAAGTGTTTTACATCCTCATTCTACCTTCCATTGTGTTTGCACTTTATCGTTGTTTCAAGTACTTCATAAAGTTAAGGGTACTACAGGAGCAGGGGGGAGGGGTATCAAACCCAGACTGGGGGAAAGGGAGGGAGTAGAGAGGTCAGGGAAGATTTATCCAAAGAGGAGTTACTTGAGAATTATCTCGGGGAAACTGGTGGTGGCAGTGAGCCCCAGAACACAATCATCCTTGATTTTAAATCAGTGCTTGTTACATAGTGCCATCTGCTTGACAGCCATCCATAATCAACCTACTCACTATCTGGCACCTTCTGGATAAAATGTAGGCAGTTGCTCTTTCAAAAAAAAAAATCTGACCAATTGTACATTTTATTTCATTACCTGATAGCAAAGCAGATTCACACAAATTGCAGAATGATTCAGAACTCCAGGCAGGAGGAAACCATACCTCACCATATGGAACCTTATAACACTCCATTCAATGTGAAACACCTTTTGGTGATATGTTATAAAAGTCAGCGTGGAACTGGGGAAGTGCAAACAACTGTTTAATCCGCAAAGGCTCATCCAACTCATAGAAAAGAGTGTAATAGAACAACTGCACTTAAGTAGCACCAATCCTCTGACAGTCCTAGGAAGCTGCTTAGCTCAGCAGACTCAGCCCACAAAGCTGAAAGCTTAGTTCCCACATTAGCCAGGGCCTCTGTAGGCCTCTGTTCTTGGCTCAGGGTCAGATGATTACACAGTGCTTCTCATAAATGAGCCAAAGGATCAAGAAACCAGAAGGGCAGGAATGCTTAAAAGTACAACTGTCAAACCCAAGAGACAGTCTCCAGATGTGTCTTGGCCCTTGGTTTGGGAACTCCTTGTTGAAGAGGACTTGCAAATCCCAGCAGAGGGGCTATGAGGGCCCAAGGTAAAGGGCACAGTTGTGAAAGGGTTTATTGTGGCCCAGGTGTCCCCACTGTTATTGCCTGTTGATTAGAATGATCTGTTTCAAGAGTGGCCAAAAGATTTTCGTGTGTATTCTTGTCATTGATGGGTCCTCTTGATCCAAGTTTACAGATTGTTTTGGTTGTCGAGACAATTTCTCCTGGCTTTGCGTCTTTGCCACAGTTTGAGTTCTGGAACAAGACAGCATAGAGCTCACAGATATTGTCTCCTATTCTGAAAACTGCCCATCCCACCCCTCCCCCCACCTCTCACACACACAACGTCCAGTTAGCAGCCAACCCCACTTTCATCACCACTTCATTCATCAGAATTAAATTCTGTTATCGCTTTAACATTTTTAAAGTCTTTATGTGCCGGCCAGGTGCGTTGGCTCACTCCTGTAATCCCAGCACTTTGGGAGGCTGAGGCAGGTGGATCATGAGGTCAGGAGATCGAGACCATCCTGGCTAACACAGTGAAACCCCATTTCTACTAAAAATACAAAAAAATTTGCCAGGCATGGTGGTGGGTGCCTGTAGTCCCAACTACTCAGGAGGCTGAGGCAGGAGAATGGTGTGAACCTGGGAGGTGGAGTTTGCAGTGAGCAGAGAACGCGTCACTGCACTCCAGCCTGGGTGACAGAGTGAGACTCCATCTCCAAAAAAAAAAAAAAAATTTAGCCAGGCATGGTGGCAGGTGCTTATAGTGCCAGCTACTCGGGAGGCTGAGTTGGGAGAAAGGTGTAAACCCAGGAGGCGGAGTTTGCAGTGATCTGAGATCGCGCCACTGCATTCCAGCCTGGGTGACAGAGCAAGACTCCATCTCAAAAAAAAAAAAGAAGTCTTGATGTGCCAACTAGTTTTGGTGTGTTTGTGAATTTCTCTTGTCTTTCTTCATTTATTGCCTCAGCATATGTCTGTCGAGGTGACTGTACAGGGCACTTGGGAAACAAAGAAAACAGTCCCTGCTCCCACCGATTGACAATCTAACAGAGAGGATTGGAAATATCAGCAAGTCACTGCAAACATGTCTAGAGAGGATTCAACATAGAATGTCACATTTAATAAGACTACTGAAAAAAATGAAAAGTTATATAAAAGAATTATTTGAGTGGAGAAATGTATCAAGTATCTGGAGAAAGGGCATGGCACAGAAATTCATAGGGTCTTCTGGGATCCTAGAAGGATCCTAGGATAGGTCTACCCTAGGCTTGAAGAGAACAAAAGTGGGAAGATATTAGCAGAATGCAGAGAGAGACTTGTATAGAGAAAGTTGTCTTGAGTAGCAATGAGCTTGGGTCAAGGGACATAGCCAGCTTTGGAGACAAATCTGGTGATCTCAAAGTGGGGGAAGTCAAAGATTCAATACCCAGATCTCCTGCTAGGGCTTCTCTTGGCCAAATCCAACCAGCAGGCAGAGCACAGAGAAGCCCTGCTGATATGGTCCATGTAGGTCAGCACTAGGACAGAGAGCAGAGCGAAGAAGGGGCAGGAATGAACTTGGAGGGTCCATAAAAGACGTCTCACACAACAAGCTAGGGAAAGGTCTGTCATGTGAGATTCTCTATGTCTTCAGAGATGAAAGGCTCTTCATTTGAGGAAATATGTAATGTCATGCTTTGCCTGTCAACTTAATAGATTTCCTGATATCACAAAGGATATTTCAAAGCTACTCTGCTACCTTTCCCGAAGCCATCTACGAAAGCTAATTAATAGTGCACCCTTGTTAACACATGCAGATTTGGCATTATTAGTCTAATTAAAAGGATTTTAACAGTCTCAACTTCCCCCCACCTACTGATTCCTACATATCCCAGTCGAAGTAAATTAAACCCATTAATCAAAGTGGTAAAAATGATATAAGGTACAGGATACAGGCAGAACTGAGAGGAGACTAACAGCCCTCATTACGTTTAATTTTGTTCCCCAACAAAGGATAATAAATTCAAATTGTAACATCACAATAAAACATTTAATTTTTCAAGAGCAGGGCAAGACACATTATAATTAGCTCCCTGTTATGTGTCTTCATTTAGGTGGTAATAGATGCAGTTTAGTAGCCCAGCCAGTCCTAAGCTAAAGAGTTTAAGTGAGATCTCAACCACTCTGTCTCCATGGAACATGTCCTTACCATGTAGAGCTTGCAGTGGGATATGAGCAGGTGGCAACTTAAGGTCTGGTGTTCATTCAGTCATTCTCTATTCAGCAGAGCTCAAGTGAATGCCAGGTGTTTGTTAGACAGGCTTCTGGGCACTGGAGCTTTAAGAGTGAATAAGCAGAGTGTCACCCTTTGTGGAACTTTCAGGAGAACTGAAACAAAATCCATGCTTTTTAGCCTCAAAGCTCTATGCTCTATCCCCAGCTTACTTCTCAGATGTGATCTCATGCCACCTTCCTCCTTGCCCACTGCACTCCTGCCACCAGGCCCTTTGCTGATTCTCAAATGAGCCAACCTCATTCTTACCTCACATGCTGTATTTTTGCTCTTCCATCCACCTGGAACTCTTGTTTCCCTGACTGTTTTCTTCTCATTAAGTTCTTTAATTAAAAGTGACCTATCCATTAGAGAAATGCAAATCAAAACCACAATGAGATACCATCTCACACCAGTTAGAATGGCGATCATCAAAAAGTCAGGAAACAACAGATGCTGGAGAGGATGTGGAGAAATAGGAACAATTTTACACTGTTGGTAGAAGTGTAAATTAGTTCAATCATTGTGGAAGACAGTGTGGCAACTCCTCAGGGATCTAGAACTAGAAATACCATTTGACCCAGCAATCCCATTACTAGGTATATACCCAAAGAATTATAAATCATTCTATAAAGACGCATGCACATGTATGTTTATTGCAGCACTGTTCACAAGAGCAAAGACTTGGAACCAAGCCAAATGCCTATCAATGATAGACTAGATAAAGAAAATGTTGCACATATACACCATGGACTACTATGCAGCCATAAAAACGGATGAGTTCATGTCCTTTGCAGGGACATGGATGAAACTGGAAACCATCATTCTCAGCAAAGTAACACATGAACAAAATCAAACACCACGTGTTCTCATAAGTGGGAGTTGAACAATGAGAACACATGGACACAGGGAAGGTAACATCACATACCAGGGCCATCATGGGGTGGGGGCCTTGAAGAGGGATAGCATTAGGAGAAATACCTAATGTAAATGACGAGTTGATGGGTGCAGCAAACCAACATAGCACATGTATACCTATATAACAAACCTGCATGTTCTGCACATGTACCCCAGAACTTAAAGTATAATAAATAAATAAATAAATAAATAAATAAATAAATAAATAAATAAAATAGACACTGAAGCAAAAAAAAAAAAGAGAGAGAGAGAGACCTGTCCTGACCACCTTATCTAAAGAAGCTCTCCAAACCCCAGTTATTCTGTTTTGTTTAACATTCTTCATAGCACTTACCACAATTCAATCTTGTCTTTCCTGTGTATTTACCTCTTGTTTATCTCCTCACTCATCCTCAGTAGAATATATGCCACTCAGGAGCAAGGACATTGTCCCTCCTCTTCACTGTATTCCCAGAGTATGTGCAGCCTAGCACATAAAAGGCTCCCAACAAATGTTTGTGACTCTGGCTAATCAGCTGATCATATTTTTCCAAGATAGCAACATCATCTCCTATCCCATATGTTTTCTAAAACCCTAGTCACATCCCCATAAAGAGGTGCAGACTACTTCCCTTCTTCTCCAACCTGGGTGGGTAGTCTTATAACTAGCTTATAATCAGTAGTGTGTAGTAGAAGTGATACAGGCTAAGTATCCCTATTCTGAAATTCTTGGGACAGAAGTGTTTTGGATTTTTAGTGTTTTTTTTGGAGTGTGGAATATTTTCATATACATAATGAGATATCTTGGAGATGGGACACAAGCCTAAACATAAAATTCATTTATGGTTTATATACAGTTTATATACATAGCCTGAAGGTATTTCATATCATATTTTAAATATTTTTTTGCATGAAACTAAGATTGTATACACTGAGCCATCAGAAGGTAAATATGTCACTAGCAACCACCTATGTGGACAGTCTGGTTGCTTGCATGGGAGAATCTGAACATGTGCAACAAATGTACATCACAGCTGAGGAGGGCTCCAAGGGTCTTTGTTCCCTTGGAAGCACAGAATAAACTGCTTGTTATGCTCCTGCACTGTGACTTGCAGCCTGTCACATGGGGTCAAGTGTGAAATTCTCCACTTGTGGCTTCATGTCAGCAGTCAAAAAATTCAGACTTGGGAGCATGTTGGATTTCAGATTTTCAAATTAGGGATGCTCAACGTGTATTGCGTAACTTCAAAAGCTAGGTCATAAAAGGTGGTACATCTTACCTTTGGAGTCCAGATTAACCCATGTGCAGAGGCCCAGGAACTACATGAAGACAGTAAGCTGCCCATCCAGCCCCCAGCTGCTTCAGCCCCACACTCTCCCAGCCACCATATGACTTGAAACCACAAAGGGAACCTGAGCTGAGCCACCTAGCTGAGTCCTTCCAAGATTCCTGACCCACAGAAACTGGAAGAGATAATGACATAATTGTTGTTGTTTCAATCCACCAAATTTTGAAGTCATGTGTTACCCAGCAATAGATAACTAGGACAGTGGCTGACTGGCTGAATTTGTGAATGAATGAATGAGCTACCAAGCATATAAAGCACAACTTATTATTTCCAATCTGATTCAGAATGAAGTGAAGAACATGTAATCAAGACAGAAAACTATCTTTTAGAGATCTGTGTGTCTAAATAGAAATCAAATATTTTAGCAAAATTCTAATATTAAGTGCCCCAATACAATACAGCTTCAATTGTACTGTTGATTAAATCATATACCCTCTGGAACAGTATAAGACATGTTTTACCACTGTATAGAAACTGTTGCCTATCACAAGTTGCCACTTGTTCAAGGTAATTATGGCCAATTACTGATGGCAATTTTTTATTGCTCACTGTAGCCTCACCAACCCTTTCAGACAGCCATGAACAATTGATTAGGGTTGTCACTATACATGTTTGTCATGCTGGCCTTAAGTAGACCCCAAAACATCCCAAAGAGACACAGATTATCTCCATTCCTCACATCCCACCATCTCTTTCTCTGGGATTTGGACAGTGAGGCTCGAACTAGGGGCAACATGACAAATTTGAAAGTTGACAATATTTGGCTTGTCTGTCAACTCTTCTGAAATTCTATTTCCATCTATATCCATCCCTAATGAGGGAGGCAGCATTTGTTTATTGACTATTGGAGTTACTCACTGGTTGATAAGCAGGCCCAGAGATCTCTATCAATAAGAATTTGCTCAAAACAATTGGGATGTTAGGATGGTACTAGCATTTTCAAATACTTTGTCCATTGGTTTGTTTTGGACAACACTGGATTGTTAGTTCTGCAAGGATTTCTTTCACTCATAATTAGTCTGTATCGCTCATTTTCATCCACATACATGTGTGCTATTGTTGTCTATAAAAATGAGCACAGTATCATTATTTGCTTTCAACTAAACTGAGAAAGTAACAATTCTTTTGGCCCAAAGCACTTATCTATGATCTCAAATACTATCTTTGTCAAGTAGTCTTTCCTAGTTCCCTACAGTATACTGCTCATTATCACTTTTTCAGAACTCCAATATTGGTTGGTATTTCCTAGAGACATTCAGTATTCCATGAGACAGAATTATTTTTGCAATTGCTTTACATCCTCCAATTATATTGCAGAATCATCCCTTGACTCATCTTTTGCATTCTCTGCAGAGAATGACTCTTCTTATAAGCAAATTCAGGACCTCCTGAATAAATGACTCTTCTTATAGGCAAATTCTGGAGATCCAAAATATCAGTGTTGCATTTCCACTCAGATTCTTCCAATTCATACCCACGTATCCCTTTGACGGAAGTCCGTTTGTAACCTGAACAAGAAAACGTATTGGAGAGTCATTCTGATTAGTGAGCTATGGTTCTTAACTGGAGATAGTATTAAGTCTCCCACCCTCAAAAGGCAGCTTTTGGTACACATGGAAAGCATATTTTAGTCACAAAATTTGAAGGAGTTGCAAATGATATTTAATGCCCAGAGTCCAAGAATGTTAAACATGCTGAAATGTGAGGGACAGGCCTAATAAGAAGTTGTCCTGCTAAAGAGAACATCGTTGGACTGTACCTGGCTGTGTTAATACTAGCCCTTTTTATGTTCACTTATTCTGTGCCAGACACTAACTAAAAGGTTTACTTACCAGTAATTCTCCACATTTAGTGTGCATCAAAATCACCTGGAGGACAGATTAAACTACAAATTGCTGAGCCCCACCCCTAGAGTGTCTGATTTGGTAGTTGTGCAGTAGGGTCAAAAAATTGCATTTTAAAAATAACTTCCCAAGTCATGCTGATACTGCTGGTCCAGAGACCACCCTTTGAGAACCAGCGACCTGCACTAATTTAACTTCATGATTATCATCTGAGTTATTTTCTGCATTATCCCTATTTTTCATATGAGGAATTCAAATTAGAGAGGTTAAGTTCAGCACTTATCCAGAGATACACAGTTGGGATTTCAATCCAGGTGTCATGAGTATTGTCTAATAGAGTCAGTACAGAATAGAGAGAGTACAGAAATTCATTTGTTTGAGCAGCATGCAGATAGGTTAAAGTGAGGCTACTTGGGTTCACTCTTTCTTTGCTGTGTGATCTTGAACAAATTATTTAAAATTTCTGAGCCTCAGTTTCCTTGACTTAAAACAATGATGATAATGGTCCTTTCTCATAGATGTGTTATGAAGATGAAATAAGATAATGCGTGAAATGCTGTTAGAATGTTTCAGATATAGAATAATAGAGTGAATCAGAGTTCTCAAGTTTATATTCCAGTGGAAGAGCCAGTTATTAAACCCATGGAAACAAACAATTCCAAACACTAGAAGTGCTATTAAAACGTAGGATAGAGAATGACTTGGAGATGGGGAGGAGAGATAGTGAGGTCTGAGAAGACTCTTTCAAAGAGATGACATTTGATCTGAGAAAAGAATGATGAGAAGGAGGTAACCTACATAAAACTGGATAATCAATGTTTCAGGCAGAGACAAGAGCAGATACAAAGACATGGTGGCAAGAATATGCTTTTCTTGTTCTAGAAGCTGAAAGGAGGAGATGTTGGCATGTAGTGAGTAGAGGAGTGGAAGAAGTAGTAGAGTGGAAGGAGATGGCAATCAGAGAGGTTGGTAGCAGCTGATGACAGCTGAGCTGGTAAGGCATGATGAGGAGAATGCATTGTATTCCAGAGGCAGCTGAAAGCCGTTGAGAGGTTTTCGAGCAAGGGAGTGACTTAACTGGATTTGTATTTTTAACAGACAACTTTAGGTGCTATGTTAAGAATAAATTATGTCCAGTAAGAATGGAAACATACAGACCTGTTATGAAGCCACATTGTAGAGACCAGGTGACCTGGACTAGGGAGGTGGCCAGAAAGATGAAGAGATATAGATGGATTCAGTATCTAGGACTTGCTGATAGATAGCATGTATGGGGAGTAGGGCATTGGGTTTAGCAACAGGATGGATGACAGTCCAGTCTGCTACAATAGGGACAGCTAAGGTAAAAACATGTTTAGAGTTTAAAATACAAAGTTCCGTTTCGGATATGTGAGATAGATTACAAAGTCCACCAGGAAATTTTGGGGAGGTACGGATATGTTCATTACCTCGATTATGCTGTTGGTTTCATGGATACATACAGAGACTACAATCCATCCGCTTGAAAATTTAAATATGTGCAGTGAGTCAATTATATCTCAATAAGCCTGTATTTTAAAAAGCTATAAGGAACAATGACAAAAGAGTAAGATGTTTATTCACCAAATAGAGATGCCAATAAGCTATTGGATACGAGTTCAGAACTGAACAAGGAATATCTCAGGAGATTTTTCCTGACAAATTCAGAAACTTGGAGGTGAACTTTTCAACCAGTTAGTGTCATGGCTCAGCTTAACTGAAGGAGCACAGAATTAAAAACTAGAAGATTTGGGTTCTGGTTCCTAACAGATCATAGATAGCTGGAAACCTTAAATATGGCACTAAATCCCTGTTTAATCATGTTTTGCATCAGTAAAGTAAGGAAAAGCATATTTGACTGGAGGGAGGATAAACTTGGTACTGTTGTAGAAATGTTTGCAAAAGTTAAAATTGCTCCATAAATCTCAGTTGCTCTGAGTATTATTCAAAAGGAGAATACTTCAAAGATGTGGTGGCTTGAAGAAAGCCTTTGGTCAAAACAGACTATGAACAAGAAACACAAGCAATACTAACAATTTTCCAACAACAGAGAACATTATTTTGTATTTATTTTATAGCCAGAACTCAATGCTTTTCTCCCGTTAGTCTTAAGAAAAGCAGAACTTAAAGGTGCTTTGTGGACTGAAATGTAACCAAAGTTATTGTCTATAAAGCACACATAATCTTATACCTTTTAAAACATCACTAAGTAATTATTATGAGAACACTGGGATGGGAATGGGTAATCAATATTCTAAATGTTCCATGAGTGTAATTTCTCTCTTTACGCAGCCTCTCTGCAAGATATACTGTCTTGTTGAAGTGTGTTTAAAAATAAATAAGATAATACCGACCTTGGGAGTTACACATAAGCAGCCAGCCATTTAAAGACTCATTAATCACTGATTTAAATCTCAGGGTCTCCAGCCATCCAAATTAATGCCTGAGATCTTGACTTGAGTCATGATGTAAGCTAAAAAGTCAGCTGTTTCAGCCCTCGCATGATAGGGATGTGTGTGCTCTTTACTTTTAAACATATACATGTAAGCTTAACAAATTCCCTAAAACATAAACTAATTGCTTCCTAATAAAATTTATGTTTTACAGAAAGAATCCACTGTGAAGAGAAAGGGTTGAGTTTATTTCACTACTTATTAAATAGTACTACGTGTTTTTTTTTTAAAAAAATAGAGACCACATGATATTTACAGTCAACTTGTACACATGTCCCCACCTCCAAATTATCCTACCACCTCATGTAACTAAAGAGTGATCTGTTCCAATGCTGCAGGGGAAAACTCGCTTTGTTGATTTATTTAATGAAATGGGTCAGTAGACAAAGATGTTACCAAAAATGGGTGATTTAAAGAAATTTCAAGAATAATTTTATGGGCTTTTTGGTTTGTTATATATATGTATGCTTTTAGGGTACAAGTTGTTTTGGTTACATGGATGATGGTATAGTGGTGAAGTCTGACATTTTAGTGTACCTGTCACCTGAATAGTGTGCTTTTTATCCAATATATAGTTTTTTATCCCTCACCCCCCATCTCACCGTCCCCACTTCTGAGTCTTCAATGTCCATTATACTACTCTGTATGCCTTTGCATACCCACAGCTTAGCTGTCAAGGGTGATTTAGAATGTACACAATTTTCATCTTGCAATGGCGAGTGACCAACTCTACCTAAGAGGTGATGCTGCTGTTAATGGCTCATCTGCTTGGTTCAAGCCTACACATATAAAACTTAGAATAGGGTAAGTGCTCAACAAATGAGAACTGTGACATCAGTAGTAGCAGCCATTATAGTCACGGGATCAGTAGAGTAATCATAGTAGTAGATGACACGGCTACAGAAAGATCTCTTTGAACAAATATTAGCGGGTCTCTGAAGCCAAGCAGAGCTTATTGTCACGGTGGTTTAAAGGTTCTAGGCACCTTAATTAAGAAATTGCCCTGAATAATGGAGTGCTTTTGGAATTTGGTGTCCATTCCTTTAAGAGGCCATTTTTAAGGGGTTGATAAATGGTCATTTATCTAGAGCTCACTCTGTGTTCTGGATATAATCTTGTTACATTGACACCCTACTTTGTGGTTTTTCAAGTGGACCCATTCGTTTATCCTGCGGATTGTTTAATTATTTATTTTTCCAGCATAGTTTAAGCTAAAGAAATAATGGAAATTCTAGATTATAGGAAATTTGCAGTTTCTGTCAAGAATTGGGCTGAAACACAGCAAAATACCTACTCTGCATGATTTAATATTAATATCTAGGAAAAATGTAGATTAGCTTTTAGTATTAAAGATAAAAATGGCATCCTTTATTCTGTACCTATTATTAATGTATTTTTATTATTAAAGTATTATTAAAAAACATATTATTAAGGTATCTTTCAGGATATTTATAAATATAAGGATTAACATGTCATTTTGATTTTTTAAAGTCTAAGTTTGCCTGAATTTTATTAGCCAAAACCATTTCTTTCATGAAACTATGCAAAGGAGGATTGGTAAATTTGAACAGGTACATTCACGGTACCAAGTACTATGTTGTACCCTTCATATTATATTTTATGAGTTACAACATGCCTTCATATCTAAATCTCAATCTAATGATATTGCAATAAATGATATCTAAAACTAATAGAAATTGAAAAGTAAAATGGTAGAGTGAAGAAAACTTATTACTAAGAAAAAAATCAATTTAATATATTATTTACTGCTGTAGAATAAGTTATTTATCTAAAACAGTAGAATATGTTCAACATCTGGGCCACAGAACAATTTGAAAATGAAGTTTTCTCATCTGTTTTTCTTTCCTATCTCCTTGATTTTTCCCTGTGTGAAGGAGATCTGTGCCCTTACAAAATAAGCCCAAGAAAGTTTTAACCCCTTTTGCCATGTAAGGACACAGCTAGTAGTCACCATCTATGAACCAGAAAATGGGCCTTCCCCAGATACCAAATCTGCCTGGATCTTGGACTTCCCAATTTCCAGAATTGTGAGAAATAAATGTCTGTTTGTAGTTTTTTTAAATTTCAATAGCTTTTGAGGTACAAGTGGGTTTTGGTTACATAAATAAACTCTATAGTGGTAAATTCTAGGTTTTTGTGCACTCATCACCAAAGCAGCGCACACTGTACCCGATATGTAGTCTTTTATCCCTCACCCCCCTCCTACCTTCTTCCACCAAGTCCAATGGACTTAAATTATAATCTACAACATATGGACTTAACAGATATTTACAGAATATTCTACCCAATAACCGCAGAATATAAAATCTTCTCATCAGCACATAGAACATTCTCCAGGATAGTTCATATAATAGGCCACAACACAAGTCTCAATAATTTAAGAAAATCAAAATCATATCAAGTGTCTTCTCAGGCCACAGTGGAATAAAACTGGAAATCAACTGCAAAAGGAACCTTCAAAACTATACAAATACATGGAAATTGAATATCTGCTCCTGAATGATTTTTGAGTTGACAATAAAATCAAGATGGACATTTAAAAATTCTTTGAAATGAATGATAATAGTGACCCAAATTATAACATCTGGTATATGGGCAAAAGCAGTGCTAAGAGTTTACATCTGAATTCTACCACACATTCAAAGAAGAAGTGGTGCCAATTCTACTGAAACTATCGCAAAAGATTGAGAAAGAGGGAATCTTCCCTAAATCATTCTAGGAAGCCAGTATCACTCTAATACCAAAACCAGGAAAGGACATAACAAAATAAGAAAACTACAAACCAATAACCATGATAAACATAAATGTGAAAATCTTCAACAAAATGCTAGACAACTGAATTCAACAGCACATCGAAAAAATAATACACCATGATCAAGTGGGTTTCATACCAGGGATGTAGGAATGGTTTAACACTCACAAGTAAATGAATGTGATACATCACATGAACATAGTTTTTTCATTAAATTGTAATTTATTTTAAAATCCAGGGTACATGTGCAGGATGTGCAGATTTGTTACATAGTTAAACATGTGTCACGGTTGTTTGCTGCCCCAATCAACCCATCACCTAAGTATTAAGCTCAGAAGACATTAGCTATTTTTCCTGATTCTCTCCCTCCCACTGCCCCCATGACAGACCCCAGTGTGTGTTGTTCCCCTCCCTGTGTCCATATGTTCTCATTGTTCAGCTCCCACTTATGGGTGAGAACATGCAGTGTTTGATTGTCTATTCCTGAATTAGTTTGTTGAGGATAATGGCTTCCAGCTCCATCCATGCCAAGGCTATCCCTACAAAGGACATGATCTCTTTCCTTTTTATGGTTGCATAGTATTTCATGGTACATATGTACCATATTTTCCTTACCCAGTCTATCATTGATAGGTATTTGGATTGATTCCATGTCTTTGCTACTGTGAATCGGCTGCAATGAACATACATGTGCATATATCTTTATAATAGAATGACTTATATTTGGGGGGTTATATACCCAGCAATGGGATTGCTGGGTCAAATGGTATTTCTGGTTCTAGGTCTTTGAGGATTTGCCACACTGTCTTCCACAATGGTTGAACTAATTTACATTCCCACCGACAGTGTAAAAGTGTTCCTATTCCTCCACATTCTTACCAGCATCTGTTGTTTCTTAACTTTTTAATAATCGCCATTCTGACAAGCACGAGATAGCATCTCATTGTGGTTTTGATCTGCATTTCTCTAATGATCAGTAATGTTGAGCTTGTCTTTATGTGTTTGTTGGCTGCATGAGTGTCTTCTTTTGAGAAATGTCTGTTCATGTCCTTTGCCCAGTTTTTAATGGGGTTGTTTTTTCTTGTAAATTTATTTAAGTTCCTTGTACACCTTGGATATTAGACATTTGTCAGATAGATAGGTTGCAAAAATTTTCTCCCATTCTACAGATTATCTGTTCACTTCTATGATAGTTTCTTCTGCTGTGCCAAAGTTCTTTAGTTTATATCCTATTTGTCAATTTTTGCTTTTGTTTCAATTGCTTTTGATGACTTAAGCAGATTAGAAACAAAACTTTATGATCATTTCAATAGATACAGATAAAGCATTTGATAAAATCTAACATATCGTTATGATAAAAAACCCTTAATAAACTAGCATAGAAGGGACTTACCACAAATTAATCAAAACCATTTATGACAGACCCACAGCCAATATCATACTGAATGGGGAAAAGTTGAAAGCATTCCCCGTGAGAACTGGAACAGGGTAAGGATGCCCCCTTTGACCACTTCTATTCAGCACAGTACTGGAAATCCCAGCCAGAGCAATCAGGCAAGAGAAATGACTAAAAGGCATCCAAATTGGAAAAGAGAAAGTCAAACTAACGCTGTTCACTGATGATATGATTGTCTACCTAAAAAACCTTAGAGACTCATCCAAATGATTCCTAGGTCTGATAAATGAATTTAGTGAAGTCTCAGGTTACAAAATCAATGTACACAAATTAGTAGCACTGCTATACACCAACAGTGACCAAGCTGAGAAATTAAGAACTCAATACCTTTTACAACAGCCACACACTAAAAAATAAAATATTTAGGAATATACTTTACCAAGGAGGGAAAAGATCTCTACAAAGAGAACTAAAAAACACTACTGAAAAAAAAATCATAGATGACACAAACAAATGGAAAAACATCCTATGCTCATAGATGGATAGAAAGACTCAATATGGTGAAAATGACCATACTGTCAAAAGCAATCTATAGATTCAATTTCTGTTGTTTCTAAACTACCCAGTCTGTGTTATCTTGTTATAGCACTCAATAAAATTGGACTATGCATATCATAACTTGTTAATAGTAAACTGTTTTCTAGTTTAGACTGTTAAAGCATATTTTTCTAAATATAAAATTGTGACTCTCACACAAATATAAAGCCAATACATTGAAGATTTTATTTAACTCATTAATCAACGAAGGAAACTGTAACTGTTGCAGCCAGTTCAAAGGAGAATCTAAAGAACAGACAAATATATAGGCTTTAATGAATTTACAAATAGATGCAAAACTGGCAAAAATACATTGGGCAATAATCAATTTCATTCCCCTGGAAACAATTTGCATGTCTACGGGCAAAAATCATTTGCCTTACTATCAGTTTTCTAAAATTCATAGAACTGTAAAATAGCTGAAAAACAATGAAAGGCAGTAATAACCTGGAAAGATGCACTAGACAGGGCACATAGTAACCTTTTCAAAGTCATTCACATTTTTCCCCCAGAGCACCATTTTATCCTCTCACAACAGTAACTGGAAATTCTCATTGCTTTACAATCTTGCCACATTTGGTACTGTCAGACCTTTTAATTTTTGTCAGTCTGGTGGGCATGTAATAATGTTTCACTATGATTCTAATTTGCATTGTCCTGATTATTAATAAAGCTAAGCACCTTTTCATATGTTTCTTGGCCATTTGGATAGCTTCTTTTTTGTTAGTTTTTTAAATTTTTTATTTTTTGTTTAGTGGGTACATAGTAGGTTTATATATTGTACAGGAGATGTTTTGATACAGGCATACAATGTGAAATAATCACATCATGGAGAATGGGTGAATAGCCTCTCTTTTGAAGCATGTTTCCAAGCTTTGGGCAATTTTCCTATTGGTTAAATTAACTTTTTTGAAGCTCAAAGGGAATTAAGAGGTTGTCTAGTGTAGAAGGTCCACAGTTTCCTTTATTTTTGTGCTAGTTTTACAGAACTGACTTTATCTAAAAATATATATATATATATGCTGAATTGTTACTTTCTTTAATATTTTTCTTCAAATTTACTGATTTTTCTACATGTATTGATTTTAAAATTAAAATTTATTTGAATACCGTAAATGGAAAACCAATATCAATTTGCCATAAACATAGTATAGCAGTTTAAACAAATACAATAAAAGCAAAATTACATTGTTAAATTTTACTAGGTAGATGGGCTCTGAAATGGGGGACCTGAGCTTCATTCTCTCTCCTTTTTATCTTTCTCTTCCCAACCCCCATCCCAATAAGAAGGGAAATAAGCAAGTATTAGAGCAGTCTGAAAGAAATACTAAAACCAAACAGGCTATTTCCCTGCCTTAATATAAAGACTTGAAAGAAACTGGCATGGGAATAGCAATCTCATTGTGTGACTCTCGGTGTCATTTAGCGTCAGATCCAAGAGCAGGATTCACTAAACTTGTGTTGTGGTCCTCCAGAGGCATGTTTTCACATACTTTGAGAAACACTGATTTCATCCAACTCCCCTGTTGTAGAAGTGAAGATGCTGGAGCAGCCCAGGGAAGGTAAGTGCGATAAGCAAACCAATGTTCCCCAGAGATGTCACCTTCTAATCCCTAGAACCTGTAAATAGGTTACCTTATATGGTAAAATAGGCTCTACAGATGTGATTAAGGTTAGACTTTGAGATGAGGAGATTAGTCTGAATTATCTGGTTAGGTCCAATCTAATCACTTGAGCCCTTAAAAGAAGAAATATTTCTTGGACTAGAGCCAGATGCAGCAGCAGAAGATGCAAGAGAGATCTGAAGCCTGAGAGGAAATGTCCCATTGTTTCTGGATTTGAGGTGAAGGGAGCCAAGAGTTGGGGAGTGCAGGTGGCCTCTAGAAGCTGAGGATAACCCCTGGCTGGCAGCCAGCAAGGAAATGAGAACTTCAGTTTTCCCATTGCTTAAACCAAATTCTGCCACCATCCTGCAAACAATGAATGAGGTTGGAAGCAGATTCTCCCCCAAGGATTCCAGAGAAGAGCCCAGGCTGAACTTAACCTGGATTTTAGCCTCGTGGAAGCCAGAGGAGCACAATCAGTCAAGCCAACTGGGCTTATGACCTGCGACACTGTGAGCTAAAAAATTTGTGTTAAGCTTGTGGTCATTTGTTATGGCAGCAATAGAAGATGAATACAAGTATTCAGCCTTCAAAAAAGAAAGAAATCCTGTCATTTGACACAACATGGATGAACCTGGAAGACATGATGCTAAGTAAAATGAGCCAGACACAAGAGGACAAATGCTATGTGATCCCAGTGATATGAGGAATATAAAATAGTCAAACTTGTTGAAGCAGAGAGTAGAAAAATGATTGCCAGGGTATAAGGGTGGGAGAAATAGTGAGATGATAGTCAAAGGGTACAAAGATATATTTTTTATTTTTTATTTTTATCATACTTTAAGATCTGAGGTACATGTGCAGAACGTGCAGGTTTGTTACATAGGTATACACGTGCCATGGTGGTTTGCTGCACCCATCAATCCGTCATCTACATTAGATATTTCTCCTAATGCTATCCCTTCCCTAGTCCCCAACCCCCCAACATGCCCCAGTGTGTGATGTTCCCCTCCCTGTGTCCATGCATTCTCATTAATCAACTCCCACTTATGAGCGAGAACATGCGGTGTTTGATTTTCTGTTTTTGTGTTAGTTTGCTGAGAATAATGGTTTCCAGTGTCATCTGTCTCCCTGCAAAGGACATAAACTCATGCTTTTTTATGGCTGCATAGTATTCCATGGTGTATATGTGCCACATTTTCTTTATCCAGTCTATCATTGATGGGCATTGGGTTTGGTTCCAAGTCTTTGCTGTTGTAAACAGTGCCACAATAAACATACACGTGCATGTCTGTTTGTAGTAGAGTGATTTGTAATTCTTTGGTTATATACCCAGTAATGGGATTTTTGGGTCAAATGGTATTTCTAGTTCTAGATCCTTGAGGAATCGCCACACTGTCATCCACAATGGTTGAACTAATTCACACTCCCACCGACAGTGTAAAAGCGTTCCTGTTTCTCCACATCCACTCCAGCATCTGTTGTTTCCTGACTTTTTAATGATCACCACTCTAACTGGTGTGAGATGGTATCTCATTGTGGTTTTCATTTGCATTTCTCTAATGACCAGTGATGAGCTATTTTTCATATGTTTGTTGGCTGCATAAATGTCTTCCTTTGAGAAGTGTCTGTCCATATCCTTCACCCACTTTTTGATGCGGCTGTTTGTTTTTTCTTATAAATTTGTTTAAGTTCTTTGTAGATTCTGGATATTAGCCCTTTGTCAGATGGATAGATTGCAAAAATTTTCTCCCATTCTGTAGGTTGCCTGTTCACTCTAATGATAGTTTCTTCTGCTGTGCAGAAGCTCTTTAGTTTAATAAGATCCCATTTGTCAATTTTGGATTTTCTTGCCATTGCTTTTGTGTTTTAGTCATGAAGTCCTTGCCCACGCCGATGTCCTGAAAGAATGGTATTGCCCAGGTTTTCTTCTAGGGTTTTTATGGTTTTAGGTCTTATGTTTAAGTCTTTAATCCATCTTGAGCTAATTTGTGTATAGGGTATAAGGAAGGGATCCAGTTTCAGCTTTCTGCATATGGCAAGCCAGTTTTCCCAACACCATTTATTAAATAGGGGATCCTTTCCCCATTGCTTGTTTTTGTCAGGTTTGTCAAAGATCAGATACTTGTATATGTGTAGTGTTATTTCTGAGGCCTCTGTTCTATTCCATTGGTCTATATATCTGTTTTGGTACCAGAACCATGCTGTTTTGGTTACTGTAGCCTTGTAGTATAGTTTGAAGTCAGGTAGTGTGATGCCTCCAGCTTTGTTCTTTTTGCTTAGGATTGTCTTGGCTATGGGGGCTCCTTTTTGGTTCCATATGAAGTTTAAAGTAGTTTTATTCCAATTCTGTGATGATAGTCAATGGTAGCTT
This sequence comes from Homo sapiens, assembly GCF_000001405.40. Classification (NCBI taxonomy): domain Eukaryota; kingdom Metazoa; phylum Chordata; class Mammalia; order Primates; family Hominidae; genus Homo; species Homo sapiens. Next base: position 67,158,876 of record NC_000003.12, on the reverse strand, counting down.
GATGGGGATAGCATTGAATCTATAAATTACTTTCAGCAGTATGGCCATTTTCATGATATTGATTCTTCCTATCCATGAGTATGGAATAGTTTTCCATTTGTTTGAGTCCTCTCTTATTTCCTTGAGCAGTGGTTTGTAGTTTTCCTTCAAGAGGTCCTTCACATCCCTTGTGAGTTGTATTTCTAGGTATTTTATTTCCTTTGTAGCAATTGTGAAGGGCAGTTCACTCATGATTTAGCTTTCTGTTTGTCTGTTATTGGTGTATAGGAATACTTGTTATTTTTGCACATTGATTTTATATCCTGAGACTTTACTGAAGTTGCTTAACAGCTTAAGGAGATTTGGGGCTGAGACGATGGGGTTTTCTAAATATACAATCATGTCATCTGCAAACAGACATTTCAGTTCCTCTTTTCCTAATTGAATACCCTCTATTTCTTTTTCTTGCCTGATTGCCCTGGCTGGAACGTCAAATACTATGTTGAATAGGAATGGTGAGAGAAGGTATCCTTGTCTTGAGCCAGTTTTTAAAGGGAATGTTTCCAGTTTTTGCCCATTCACTATGATATTGGCTGTGGGTTTGTCATAAATAGCTCTTATTATTTTGAGATACGTTCCATCAATACCTAGATTTTTGAGTTTTTAGCGTGAAGGGCTGTTGAATTTTGTCAAAGGCCTTTTCTGCATCTATTGAGATAATCATATGGTTTTTGTCATTGGTTCTGTTTATGTAATAGATTACATTTATTAATGTGCATATGTTGAACCAGCCTTGCATCCCAGGGATGCAGCCGACTTGATCTTGGTGGATAAGCCTTTTGATGTGCTGCTGGATTTGGTTTGCCAGTATTTTATTCAGGATTTTTCTATCAATGTTCATCAGGGATATTGGTCTGAAATTTTCTTTTCTTGTTGTGTCTCTGCCACATTTTGGCATCAGGATGATGCTGGCCTCATAAAATGAGTTAGGGAGGAGTCCCTCTTTTTCTATTGTTTGGAATAGTTTCAGAAGGAATGGTAGCAGCTCCTTTTTGTACCTCTGGTAGAATTTGGCTGTGAATCCTTCTGGTCCTGGGCTTTTTTTGGTTGGTAGGCCATTAATTGCTGCTTCAATTTCAGAACTTGTTATCGTCTATTCAGAGATTCGACTTCTTCATTTAGTCTTGAGAAGGTGTATGTGTCCAGGAATTTATCCATTCCTTCTAGATTTTCTAGTTTATTTACATAGAGATGTTTTTAGTATTCTCTGATGGTAGTTTGTATTTCTGCAGGATTGCTGGTGATATCCCCTTTATCATTTTTTATTGAAACTATTTGATTCTTCTTTCTTCCCTGGCTAGTGGTGTATCTATTTTGTTGATCTTTTCACAAAACCAGCTCCTGGATTCATTGATTTTTTGAAGGGTTTTTCATGTCTCTATCTCCTTCATTTCTGCTCTGATCTTAGTTATTTCTTGTCTTCTGCTAGGTTTTGGATCTGTTTGCTCTTGCTTCTCTAGTTCTTTTCATTGTGATGTTAGGGTGTCCATTTTAGATCTTTCCTACTTTCTCTTGTGGGCATTTAGTGCTATAAATTTCCCTCTACACACTGCTTTAAATGTGACCCAGAGATTCTGGTACGTTGTGTCTTTGTTCTCATTGGTTTCAAAGAACATCTTTATTTCTGCCTTAATTTCATTCTTTACCCAGTAGTCATTCAGGAGCATGGCATTCAGTTTCCATGTAGTTGCACAGTTTCGAATGTGTTTCTTAATCCTGAGTTCGAATTTGATTGCACTGTGGTCTGAGAAACTGTTTGTTATGATTTCTGTTCTTTTGCATTTGCTGAGGAGTGTTTTACTTTCAATTATGTAGTTGATTTTAGAATAAGTGCGATGTGGTGCTGAGAAGAAAGTATATTCTGATGATTTGGGTTGGAGAATTCTGTAGATGTCTATCATGTCCCCTTGGTCCAGAGCTGAGTTCAAGTCCTGGATATCCTTGTTAATTTTCTTTCTCATTGATCTGTCTAATATTCACAGTGTGGTGTTAAAGTCTCCCACTATCATTGTGTGGGAGTCTAAGTCTCTTTATAGGTCTCTAAAAACTTGGTTTATGAATGTTGGTGCTCCTGTATTAGGTGCATATATATTTAGGATAGTTATCTCTTCTTGTTGCATTGATCCCTTTACCATTTTGTAATGCCCTTCTTTGTCTCTTTTGTTCTTTGTTGGTTTAAAGTCTGTTTTATCAGAGACTAGGATTGCAACACTGCTCTTTAATTTTTTTTTTAACTTTCCATTTACTTGTTAAATATCCCTCCATCCCTTTATTTTGAGCCCATTTGTTTCTTTGCACATGAGATGGATCTCCTGAATACAGCACACCAATGGGTCTTGACTCTTTATCCAACTTGCCAGTCTGTGTCTTTTAATTCGGGCATTTATCACATTTACATTTAAGGTAATACTGTTATGTATAAATCTGATCATGCCATTGTAAATGCTAGCTGGTTATTTTGCCTGTTAGTTGATGCAGTTTCTTCATAGCATCGATGGTCTTTACAATTTGGTGTGTTTTTGCAGTGACTGGTACCGGTTGTTCCTTTCCATGTTTAGTGCTTCCTTCAGGACCTCTTGTAGGGTAGGCCTGGTGATGACAAAATCTCTCAGCATTTCCTTATCTGTAAAGGATTTTATTTCTTCTTCGCATATGAAGCTTAGTTTGACTGGATATGAAATTTTGGGTTGAAAATTCTTTCCTAAGAATGTTGAATACTGGCCCCTACTCTCTTCTGGCTTGTAAGGTTTCTGCCAAGAGATCCACTGTTAGTCTGATGGGCTTCCCTTTGTGGGTAACCTGACCTTTCTCTCTGGCTCCCCTTCACATTTTTTCCTTATTTTAACTTTGGTGAATCTGACAATTATGTGTCTTAGGGTTGCTCTTCTCAAGGAATATCTTTGTGGTGTTTTCTGTATTTCCTGAATTTGAATGTTGGCCTGCCTTGCTAGGTTGGGGAAGTTCTGGATAATATCCTGAAGAGCGTTTTCCAACTTGGTTCCATTGCCCCCGTCACTTTCTGGCACACCAATCAAACGTAGATTTCGTCTTTTCCCATAGTCCCATATTTCTTAGAGGCTTTGTTTGTCTCTTTTTACTTTTTTTTCTCTAATCTTGTCTTCCCACATCATTTCATTGAGTTGGTCTTCAATCTCTGATATCCTTTCTTCTGCTTGATCGATTTGGCTATTGATACTTGTGTATGCTTCACAAAGTTCTCATGCTTTGTGTTTTTCACCTCCATCAGGTCATTTATTTTCTTCTCTAAACTGGTTATTCTAGTTAGCAGTTTCTCTAATCTTTTTTCAAGGTTCTTAGTTCTTAGCTTGCTTGTATTGGGTTAGAACATGCTCCTTTAGCTTGGAGAAGTTTGCTATTACCCACCTTCTGAAGCCTACTTCTGTCAGTTCATCAAACTCATTCTCCATCCAGTTTTGTTCCCTTGCTGACAAGGAGTTGTGATCCTTTGGAGGAGAAAAGCCATTCTGGTTTTTGGAATTTTCAGTCTTTTTGCACTGTTTTCTCCCTATCCTTGTGGATTTATCTACCTTTGGTCTTTGAAGTCGGTGATCATCAGATGGGGTCTCTGATTGGATATCCTTTCTGTTGATATTGATACTATTCCTTTCTGTTTATTAGTTTTCCTTCTAACAGTCAGGCCCCTCTCTGCAGGTCTGCTGGAGTTTGCTAGAGGTCCACTCCAGACCCTGTTTGCCTGGGTATCACAGGTGGAGGTTGCAGAACAGCAAAGATTGCTGCCTGTTCCTTCCTCTGGAAGCTTCATCCCAGAGGGGCACCCACCAGATGCCAGCCAGAGCTCTCTTGTATGCGATGTCTGTTGGCCCCTACTGGGAGGTGTCTCCCCATCAGTATATGTGGGGTCAGGGACCCACTTTAGGAGGCAAGCTGTCCCTTATCATAGCTCGAATGCTGTGCTGGGAGATTTACTGCTCTCATCAGAGCTGCCAGGTAGGGATGTTTAAGTCTGCTGAAGCTGCACCCACAACTGCTCCTTCCCCTAGATGCTCTGTCCCAGGGACGTGGAGGTTTTATCTATAAGTCCCTGACTGGGGCTGCTGCCTTTTTCTCAGAGATGCCTTGCCCAGAGAGGAGGGAATTTAGAGACAGGCTGGCCACAGCGGCCTTGTTGAGCATGGTGTGCTCTGCCCAGTTCAAACTTCCTGGCGGCTTTGTTTACACTGTGGGGGTAAAACCACCTACTCACGCCTAAGGAGTGGCGGATGCCCCTCCCCCCACCAAGCTTGAGGGTTCCAGGTTGAGCTCAGACTGCTGTGCTGGCATGAGAATTTCAAGCCAGCGGATCTTATCTTGCTGGACTCTGTGGGGGTGGGACCCCGCCGAGCCACACTACTTGGCTCCCTGCCTTCAGCCCCCTTTCCAGGTAAGTGAACGGTTCTGTCTCACTGGCATTCCAGGCACCACTGGGGTATGAAAAAAACTCTTGTGGCTAGCTCTGTGTCTGCCCAAAGGGCCACACATTTTTGTGCTGGAAACCCAATGCCCTGGTGGTGTAGGCACCGGAGGAAATCTTCTGGTCTGTGAGTTGTGAAGACCGTGGGAAAAGTGCCTTTTCTGGGTCAGAGTGCATGGTACAGTCCCTAACGGTTTCCCTTGGATAGAAGGGGAGTTCCCTGACCCCTTGGGCTTCCTGGGTGAGGCAACGCCCCACCCTGTTTTGGCTCGCCCTCCTTGGGCTACACCCACTGTCCAACCAGTCCCAGTGAGATGAACTGGGTACCTCAGTTAGAAATGCAGAAATCACCCACCTTCTGCATCCATCTCACTGGGAGCTGCAGATAGGAGCTGTTCCTCTTTGGCCATCTTGCCAGCAAATCACACAAAGTTTTAATTATGTAAGATGACTATGTCCTAGACACTGACTACCCAGCATACTGCCTGTGGTTAACAATACTGTACTGTATATGTATGTAAGAATTTGCTAAGAGGGTAGATCTCATGTTGTGTTCTTTTGTTTTGTTTTTGTTTTTGTTTTTTTGTTTTTTTAACTTCTTTTTTTAATTTATTATTATTACACTTTAAGTTTTAGGATACATGTGCACAATGTGCAGCTTAGTTACATATGCTTACATGTGCCATGCTGGTGTGCTGCACCCATTAACTCATCATTTAGCATTAGGTATATCTCCTAATGCTATCCCTCCCCCCTCCCCCTACCCCGCAACAGTCCCCAGAGTGTGATGTTCCCCTTCCTGTGTCGATGTGTTCTCATTGTTCAATTCCCACCTATGAGTGAGAACATGCGGTGTTTGGTTTTTTGTCCTTGCAATAGTTTGCTGAGAAAGATGATTTCCAATTTCATCCATGTCCCTACAAAGGACATGAACTCATCATTTTTTATGGCTGCATAGTATTCCATGGTGTATATCTGCCACATTTTCTTAATCCAGTCTATCATTGTTGGACTTTTGGGTTGGTTCCAAGTCTTTGCTATTGTGAATAGTGCTGCAATAAACATACGTGTGCATGTGTCTTTATAGCAGCATGATTTATAATCCTTTGGGTATATACCCAGTAATGGGATGGCTGGGTCAAATGGTATTTCTAGTTCTAGATCCCTGAGGAATCGCCACACTGACTTCCACAATGGTTGAACTAGTTTACAGTCCCACCAACAGTGTAAAAGTGTTCCTATTTCTCCACATCCTCTCCAGCACCTGTTGTTTCCTGACTTTTTAATGATCGCCATTCTAACTGGTGTGAGATGGTATCTCATTGTGGTTTTGATTTGCATTTCTCTGATGGCCAGTGATGATGAGCATTTTTTCATGTGTCTTTTGGCTGCATAAATGTCTTCTTTTGAGAAGTGTCTGTTGATATCCTTTGCCCACTTTTTAATGGGGTTGTTTGCTTTTTTCTTGTAAATTTGTTTGAGTTCATTGTAGATTCTGGATACTAGCCCTTTTTCAGATGAGTAGGTTGTGAAAATTTTCTCCCATTTTGTAGGTTGCCTGTTCATTCTGATGGTAGTTTCTTTTGCTGTGCAGAAGCTCTTTAGTTTAATGAGATCCCATTTGTCAATTTTGCTTTTGTTGCCATTGCTTTTGGTGTTTTAGACATGAAGTCCTTGCCCATGCCTATGTCCTGAATGGTAATGCCTAGGTTTTCTTCTAGGGTTTTTATGGTTTTAGGTCTAACATTTAAGTCTTTAATCCATCTTGAATTAATTTTTGTATAAGGTGTAAGGAAGGGATCCAGTTTCAGCTTTCTACATATGGCTAGCCAGTTTTCCCAGCACCATTTATTAAATAGGGAATCTTCTCCCCATTGCTTGTTTTTCTCAGGTTTGTCAAAGATCAGATAGTTGTAGATATGCAGTGTTATTTCTGAGGGCTCTGTTCTGTTCCATTGATCTGTATCTCTGTTTTGGTACCAGTACCATGCTGTTTTGGTTACTGTAGCCTTGTAGTATAGTTTGAAGTCAGGTAGTGTGATGCCTCCAGCTTTGTTCTTTTGCCTTAGGATTGACTTGGCGATGCGGGCTCTTTTTTGGTTCCATATGAACTTTAAAGTAGTTTTTTCCAATTCTGTGAAGAAAGTCATTGGTAGCTTGATGGAGATGGCATTGAATCTATAAATTACCTAGGGCAGTATGGCCATTTTCACAATATTGATTCTTCCTACCCATGAGCATAGAATGTTCTTCCATTTCTTTGTATCCTCTTTTATTTCATTGAGCAGTGGTTTGTAGTTCTCCTTGAAGAGGTCCTTCACATCCCTTGTAAGTTGGATTCCTAGGTATTTTATTCTCTTTGAAGCATGAGTGAATAGGAGTTCACTCATGATTTGGCTCTCTGTTTGTCTGTTATTAGTGTATAAGAATGCTTGTGATTTTTGTACATTGATTTTGTATCCTGAGACTTTGCTGAAGTTCCTTATCAGCTTAAGGAGATTTTGGCCTGAGACAATGGGGTTTTCTAGATATACAATCATGTCATCTGCAAATAGGGACAATTTGACTTCCTCTTTTCCTAATTGAATACCCTTTATTTCCTTCTCCTGCCTAACTGCCCTGGCCAGAACTTCCAACACTACGTTGAATAGGAGTGGTGAGAGAGGGCATCTCTGTCTTGAGCCAGTTTTGAAAGGGAATGCTTCCAGTTTTTGCCCATTCAGTATGATATTGGCTGTGGGTTTGTCACAGATAGCTCTCATTATTTTGAGATACGTCCCATCAATACCTAATTTATTGAGAGTTTTTAGCATGAAGGTTGTTGAATTTTGTCAAAGGCCTTTTCTGCATCTATTGAGATAATCATGTGGTTTTTGTCTTTGGTTCTGTTTATATGCTGTATTACATTTATTGATTTGCGTATGTTGAACCAGCCTTGCATCCCAGGGATGAAGCCCACTTGATCATGGTGGATAAGCTTTTTGATGTGCTGCTGGATTCGGTTTGCCAGTATTTTATTGAGGATTTTTGCATCAATGTTCATCAAGGATATTGGTCTGAAATTCTCTTTTTTGGTTGTGTCTCTGCCAGGCTTTGGTATCAGGATGATGCTGGTCTCATAAAATGAGTTAGGGAGGATTCCCTCTTTTTCTATTGATTGGAATACTTTCAGAAGGAATGGTACCAGTTCCCCCTTCTACCTCTGGTAGAATTCGGCTGTGAATCCATCTGGTCCTGGACTCTTTTTGGTTGGTAAGCTATTGATTATTGCCACAATTTCAGATCCTGTTATTGGTCTATTCAGAGATTCAACTTCTTCCTGCTTTAGTCTTGGGAGGGTGTAGGTATCGAGGAATTTATCCATTTCTTCTAGATTTTCTAGTTTATTTGCGTAGAGGTGTTTGTAGTCTTCTCTGATGGTAGTTTGTATTTCTGTGGGATCGGTGGTGATATCCCCTTTATCATTTTTTATTGCATCTAGTTGATTCTTCTCTCTTTTCTTCTTTATTAGTCTTGCTAGTGGTCTATCAATTTTGTTGATCCTTTCAAAAAACCAGCTCCTGGATTCATTAATTTTTTGAAGGCTTTTTTGTGTCTCTATTTCCTTCAGTTCTGCTCTGATTTTAGTTATTTCTTGCCTTCTGATAGCTTTTGAATGTGTTTGCTCTTGCTTTTCTAGTTATTTTAATTGTGATGTTATGGTGTCAATTTTGGATCTTTCCTGCTTTCTCTTGTGGGCATTTAGTGCTATAAATTTCCCTCTACACACTGCTTTGACTGTGTCCCAAAGATTCTGGTATGTTGTGTCTTTGTTCTCGTTGGTTTCAAAGAATATCTTTATTTCTGCCTTCATTTCGTTATGTACCCGGTAGTCATTCAGGAGCAGGTTATTCAGTTTCCATGTAGTTGAGTGGTTTTGAGTGAATTTCTTAATCCTGAGTTCTAGTTTGATTGCACTGTGGTCTGAGAGACAGTTTGTTATAATTTCTGTTCTTTTACATTTGCTAAGGAGAGCTTTACTTCCAACTATGTGGTCAATTCTGTAATAGGTGTGGTGTGGTGCTGAAAAAAATGTGTAGTCTGTTGATTTGGGGTGGAGAGTTCTGTAGATGTCTATTAGGTCTGCTTGGTGCAGAGGTGAGATCAATTCCTGGGTATCCTTGTTAACTTTCTGTCTCGTTGATCTGTCTAATGTTGACAGTGTGGTGTTAAAGTATCCCATTATTATTGTGTGGGAGTCTTAGTCTCTTTGTAGGTCCCTCAGGACTTGCTTTATGGATCTGGGTGCTCCTGTATTGGGAGCATATATATTTAGGATAGTTAGATCTTCTTGTTGAATTGATCCCTTTACCATTATGTAATGGCCTTCTTTGTCTGTTTTGATCTTTGTTGGTTTAAAGTCTGTTTTATCAGAGACTAGGATTGCAACCCCTGCCTTTTTTTGTTTTCCATTTGCTTGGTAGATCTTCCTCCATCCTTTTATTTTGAGCCTATGTGTGTCTCTGCACGTGAGATGGATTTCCTGAATACAGCACACTGATGGGTCTTGATTCTTTATCCAATTTGCCAGTCTGCGTCTTTTAATTGGAGCATTTAGTCCATTTACATTTCAAGTTAATATTGTTATGTGTGAATTTGATCCTGTCATTATGATGTTAGCTGGTTATTTTGCTCGTTAGTTGATGCAGTTCCTTCCTAGTTTCAATGGTCTTTACATTTTGGCATGATTTTGCAGTGGCTGGTACCGGTTGTTCCTTTCCATGTTTAGTGCTTCCTTCAGGAGCTCTTTTAGGGCAGGCCTGGTGGTGACAAAATCTCTCAGCATTTGCTTGTCTGTAAAGGATTTTATTTTTCCTTCACTTATGAAGCTTAGTTTGGCTGCATATGAAATTCTGGGTTGAAAATTCTTTTCTTTAACAATGTTGAATATTGGCCCCCACTCTCTTCTGGCTTGTAGAGTTTCTGCCGAGAGATCCGCTATTAGTCTGATGGGCTTCCCTTTGTGGGTAACCTGACCTTTCTCTTTGGCTGCCCTTAACATTTTTTCCTTCATTTCAACTTTGGTGAATCTGACAATTATGTGTCTTGGAGTTGCTCTTCTCGAGGAGTATCTTTGTGGCATTCTCTTTATTTCCTGAATCTGAATGTTGGCCTGCCTTGCTAGATTGGGGAAGTTCTCTTGGATAATATCCTGCAGAGTGTTTTCCAGCTTGGTTCCATTCTCCCCGTCACTTTCAGGTACACCAATCAGACATAGATTTGGTCTTTTCACATAGTCCCATATTTCTTGGAGGCTTTGTTCTTTTCTTTTTATTCTTTTTTCTCTAAACTTCCCTTCTCGCTTCATTTCATTCATTTCATCTTCCATCACTGATACCCTTTCTTCCAGTTGATCACATCGGCTCCTGAGGCTTCTGCATTCTTCACATAGTTCTCGAGCCTTGGCTTTCAGTTCCATCAGCTCCTTTAAGCACTTCTCTGTATTGGTTATTGTAGTTATACATTCGTCTAAATTTTTTTCAAAGTTTTTAAGTTCTTTGCCTTTGGTTTGAATTTCCTCCTGTAGCTCGGAGTAGTTTGATCGTCTGAATCCTTCTTCTCTCAACTCATCAAAGTCATTCTCCGTCCAGCTTTGTTCCGTTGCTGGTGAGGAATTGCGTTCCTTTGGAGGAGGAGAGGCGCTCTGCTTTTTAGAGTTTCCAGTTTTTCTGCTCTGTTTTTTCCCCATCTTTGTGGTTTTATCTACTTTTTGTCTTTGATGATGGTGATGTACAGATGGGTTTTTGGTGTGGATGTCCTTTCTGTTTGTTAGTTTTCCTTCTAACAGACAGGACCCTCAGCTGCAGGTCTGTTGGAGTTTGCTAGAGGTCCACTCCAGACCCTGTTTACCTGGGTATGAGCAGCAGTAGCTGCAGAACAGCAGATTTTCCTGAACCGCGAATGCTGCCATCTGATCGTTCCTCTGGAAGTTTTGTCTCAGAGGAGTACCCGGTCGTGTGAGGTGTCAGTCTGCCCCTATTGGGGGGTGCCTCCCAGTTAGGCTGCTCAGGGGCCAGGGGTCTGGGACCCACTTGAGGAGGCAGTCTGTCCGTTCTCAGATCTCCAGCTGTGTGCTGGGAGAACCACTGCTCTCTTCAAGGCTGTCAGACAGGGACATTTAAGTCTGCAGAGGTTACTGCTGTCTTTTTGTTTGTCTGTGCCCTGCCCCCAGAGGTGGAGCCTACAGAGGCAGGCAGGCCTCCTTGAGCTGTGGTGGGCTCCACCCAGTTCGAGCTTCCCGGCTGCTTTGTTTACCTAAGCAAGTCTGGGCAATGGCGGACGTCCCTCCCCCAGCCTCACTGCCGCCTTGCAGTTTGATCTCAGACTGCTGTGCTAGCAATCAGTGAGACTCCGTGGGCGTAGGATCCTCCAAGCCATGTGCAGGATATAATCTCCTGGTGCGCCATTTTTTAAGCAAATTGGAAAAGTGCAGTATTCGGGTGGGAGTGACCCGATTTTCCAGGTGCCGTCTGTCACCCCTTTCTTTGACTAGGGAAGGGAACTCCCTGACCGCTTGCACTTCCCGAGTGAGGCAATGCCTCGCCCTGCTTCGTCTCATGCACAGTGTGCTGCACCCACTGTCCTGCGTCCACTGTCTGGCACTCCCTAGTGAGATGAACCCGGTACCTCAGATGTAAATGCAGAAATCACCCGTCTTCTATGTCGCTCACACTGGGAGCTGTAGACCGGAACTGTTCCTATTCGGCCATCTTGGCTGCCCTCTGTTTTAGTTTTGGAGACAGGGTCCGCTCTGTTGTGTTCTTATCACCAAAAAAAAATTTTTTTAATAAAGAGGGCAGGGAGAAACTTTTAGAGATGATGGATATGTTTATGGCATTGTTTATAGTTTGTTTTTTGTTTGTTTGTTTTTTGAAACAGAGTTTTGCTCTTGTTGCCCAGGCTGGAGTGCAATGGCATGATCTTGGCTCACCACAACCTCCACCTTCCAGGTTCAAGCAATTCTCCTGCCTCTGCCTCCTGAGTAACTGGGATTACAGGCATGTGTCACCACACCCAGCTAGTTTTGTATTTTTAGTAGAAATGGGTTTCTCCATGTTGGACAGGCTGGTCTCGAACTCCCGACCTCAGGTGATCCACCCTCCTTGGCCTCCCAAAGTGCTGGGATTACAGGAGTGAGCCACTGCACCCAGCTTATAGTTTTATTCTCCAAACTATTACATCGTGTACAATAAATATGAAGGAAGGAAGGAAAGAAGGAAGGGAGGGGAGGGGAGAGGAGGGAAGGGAATCTACCATAGTCATATTTTATAATTTGCCTTAACAGTGAAGGGTAACCTTGCCCTCTGGAGGTTTGGTAATTGAGTCTGTTGAAATAAATGGACAATAAAAACATTAACAGGAGAAAAGTCAGACACAATGATTAACGTGCATATGTGCACAGGAGCCACACAAAATACAAGACTTAAGGAAGGGCCAGATGATTGAAGTTTAAATACCTTTTCATAGGGGAAAGGGATTAGAGGAAAAGTAGATAATTTTTAAGGGAAGTGAATGGGCATAAAGAGTAGATAACAGCCTTGGACAAAGTTCCTCTGGGCTCTGGAGGAGATGGCAACAAGCTATGGGAAGATGAGGGGCAGAAGTGTACTATGCATAAAATTTGTCTTATTCTGCAGATAGTTGTTTAGGTGACAGCCCTTGGAAGAATAGTTGAAAGAATAGCTGAAAAGTCTGTCTAGGCATAGTGTCCTGGGTATGGAGACTTTTCATTCCCTCTCCTGTGATAAGAGTTAACATTTTATGGTTAATGTAGATTCCAGGGAGGGTTCTAAGGCAATTGCATTTCTTTTGGAAGAACTACCTTCTGTCAGATAAAGGAACTTCAGAGAAAGCCCACCCTTGCAGTTAGGGGAGAAAGAAGGAAAAGTCAGAGAGACCTTAATTCTGAAGCAATTTGTAAGGTCGTTAATTTTCTTTAATCAAAGCATACCAAAACACCCTACTTTGCGGTATCATTTTCTGAGCCCCAAAATAGTCACACCATTCTCTGAAAACAAAATAAAATTTAAAACGAAAAATAAATCTGATATTGTGACTTGTTCAAATTCATGCAACTATCTAGAGTCAGAGCCCAAACTAGAACCCAGGGTTTTTGTATTCCATTCCAGGGTTCTTTATGCTATATTACATAATTGTATATTGATACAAAAGATTAGCTTGGTATATAGTAAAATATATAGGGAAGGCTATTCATAAGCTGTACTTCTCATTCAGTCATTCATGTGTGTAAGTATACCTATATATATATATCAGGACTATACATTTTCAAGAAAACTGGACATGTTGAAAATTTTTTAATTATCCTCACAGAGCAAGAGCATTTGAGCCATGTTTTTCATCCAACAATCTTGCACTGGACTAATTCGTGCAAAGTGAATAATATCCTGAAAGGCAAAGGGCAGAATATGTGAGTCACACTGCTGAGGAGATAACTCATTCTATAGAAGCTTAAAAAAGAAAAAGAGAAACAAACCTAAGACAACAATGTTCAGTGGTGTGGTTACTTAATGCAATCAGTTTACAGTTCACACCAGTTTTCTAAAGAAGGCCATGTATAAAGGACCAGTTATGCCACGTAAGATGTCCTACTGAGGAGGAAATTAAATGTCTCCTGTCCAATACCTACTGGATTGGCTCTGATTTACCTAATAAATACAAACTTTCTCTCCCTGAATAATAGTTTTTCAGGCAGTAAGCTTTTGGCAAGAAAGGTGATGGCAGAGAGTTCTTCTCCCCCACAGTCATTATTTTTTTTCCTTATTATGTGCAAACAACTCCATTGATGTCCAGCGCCACCGAAGTTGTGGCAAAAGGAAGGTATTTTGTGTCAAGGCTGATTCTTTGATGAAGATGCACAGGATTTTGTGACTCTCAGTTTTAGGCCAAGGCAAGACAACAAAAGATCCTACTGGTGGTTACCATAACTTGTGGTCATTTTTTGTTGAGCCACAGAACTGGGAAATTCAGCAGAAGTGCATGAATTCTGTTCCATTTTAGATTGAAAATTTTAATGGCCTTTTGACAATTATGCAACTCCCACAGACTCCCTTTTTTGGCTATTCCATCATCAAGAGATCACAAAAATCAGTTTCACAAGCCCAGTGTTGAACATACAACTGGAGTCTGAGCATTTTTTGCCTCCTTAGCAAATAATGTTTCAGAATTTTTATTATTAATGTACTTTCTTTGTCAACAGTAAATTATTTTACACTACAAACTTTTGGGGAGGATAACAACAATTAGATCTAGAACACTTTTATTTTCAACTTCAGCTCTGGTTTCTCTATCAGGATAACGTTTATACAAAATAATTCAGAAAGTCTAAATAAAATGTGTTATGTGGAGAAATGCTTTTCTCAATGATCACTAAGAATTGGCCTATGAGTAGTGTAGGTATAATTAGAAACATTCGCAGGCAGAGGAAATCTTACATGAGCAACTTCTATAATAAACTCATTTGCTATCCAAGGAGATGTCCTGATCAATGTAAATCAGAGGCTTGCATAATTGTTGCAGGGGGAAAAATTGAACTATCTCTGTTCCCACTGTGAAATTTTCTATCAAAGTTCAACAGTGGAATGAGATCACCCTCAGACTCATCCACATCAATACCAACCAACTACATCAATCAGTGCATTAATTGAGCACCTGCTGGGGTGTGAAAATGGGAGAATGACTGGAGAGAGAGAGACATAAATCTGAGTCCTGGGTAATTCAATTTCTCTTCTGGGTCTTAGTTTCCTCTTAGGTAAAATGGAAGCATCTCTTGAACGAAATAGCATTTAATGAATTCCAAAGTCCCATCAGCTCTTATAATCTGTAATTCCATGACATGATCATCATATATGTTTAAATCTTTTTATTCCAAAAATTGGTGTGTACTTATTATTTTAAAGTATCTACAAGTTACAGAAAAATACGCAGAAAACATTTAAAACACCCATAATTTACACATGTACAAATCTATTAAAATTCAAAAAAATGTCTTTTCAGAGTTTTTTCTTATGCTTGTATGTAGGTAACTATGTGTCTATATGCATATATATACATACACACATATGTATTTATACACACAATATTTTTAACAGAAGGATTTACTGCACACAAATTTTTAACATCCATTTCTTCATGTAATAAATCACAAACATCTCCCCATGTTAGAAAGTGTAGGTCTACATTATTTTAAACTATTGGAGAGAATTCCATTATGTGTTTGTACCATCATATATTTCGACAGTTCTCCATTGCTAGACATTTAAAGTGTTTCTATTTTTGCTGTTATAAACAATGACAGAGTGAATATGCATATGCCTATATATTTGCCTATATAAGCAGATATTTCTGTGGGATAGAGACCCATAAGTAGAATTAATAGATCAAAGTATATGCACATTTTAAGGTTTTATACAGTACTTCTATTGTTTGGATTGCAAGTACAATGTCAGGAGCGTGAAAAAGTCCATTTCTTTCTCCAACGACTTACTGATGTGATTCAGGTACTATAAGAAATAATTTCAAATTATGTTTGCACTGGAGATTTTTTTCTTTTTTGAGACAGGGTCTTGCTTTGCTCTGTCACCCAGGTTGGAGTGCGGTGGGACAATCATGGCTCACTGCAGCCTCAACCTCCTGAGCTGAAGCAATTCTCCCACCTCAGCCTTCCAAGTAACTAACACGATAGGTGTGTGTTACCACGCCTGGCTAATTTTTGAGTTTCTTGTAGAGATAGGGTTTCGCCATGTTGCTCAGACTGGTCTCAAACTCCTGAGCTCAAGCAATCCACCTGTCTCGGCTTCCCAAAGTGCTGGGATTACCAGAGTAAGCAACTGCACCCA
This sequence comes from Homo sapiens, assembly GCF_000001405.40. Lineage (NCBI taxonomy): Eukaryota > Metazoa > Chordata > Mammalia > Primates > Hominidae > Homo > Homo sapiens. Next base: position 67,143,510 of record NC_000003.12, on the reverse strand, counting down.
GCCTGTCCTGGAGATTTTTAAATAAAAGTTTGCTTTGATTTTTGTCCCTGCATTTTGAGATTTTACCAGTGACACCTATCCATGTAATTTCAGAAAAGTGTCAGATACATTTAAGATACCTAACTTGGCAATATCGCTATTCTCATCCTTATTGTGATGATACGTAGACCAGCAATATCTCCCAAATCTCCTAATAACTTTTAGTTGGTAAAAGTAGATCATTTGCTCAAATAATCTACTAAAGACTCAAGTTGGCTGAATTAGCCAAGTCAGTTATGATAAATTAAAAGCAGAGTTTAGTTTTTCTTTAATTTTTCCTTTCTTTTTTAAAAAATTTTTGACCTTTCTTTTTAAACAAAATGTTAGTGGTAAGTACTATGAAGTAAACAGAACAGGGTAAGGGAAAGAAGAGTTGTGTGATGTGTGGTGCTTTCACATGTAGCACTTCTTTGGGGAAGGGAAAGGTTAGGGAAGGCTTCTTGGAGGAGGTGGCACTGAAGCAGAGCTATGACTAAAGTTAAGAAGCCAGCCATGTGAATATCTGGAGGAAGAGTGATCCAGGCCATGAGAAGAGCAAATGCCAAAATCCCAAGTTGGAAACATTTTCTGGCATTTTACGTAACAGCTCTTAAGAAAGCCATTGTGGAGGATCTGGCAAGATGGCCAAATAGGAACAGCTCCAGTCTGCAGCTCCCAGTGAGACCCACATAGAAGGTGGGTGATTTCTGCATTTCCAACTGAGGTACCTGGTCCATCTCATTGGAACTGGTTAGACACTGGGTGCAACCAACGGACAGCGAGCAGAAGAAGGGTGGGGCGTCACCTCGCTCAGGAAGTGCAAGGGGCTGGGGACCTCCCTCCCCTTCCCAGCTGTGAGGCACCGTGCTATGTGGCCCAGCCATCATGCTTTTCCCACGGTTTTTGCAACCCACAGACCAGGAGATTCCCACGTGTGCCTACACCACCAAGGCTGTGGGTTTCAAGCACAAAACTGGGCAGCTGTTAGGGCAGACACCTAGCAAGCCACAGGAGTTTTTTTTTCCCTCATACCCCAGTGGCACTTGGAACCCCAGCGAGACAGAACCGTTCATGCCCCTGGAAAGGGGGCTGAAGCCAGGGAGCAAAGTGGTCTCGCTTAGTGGGTCCCAATTCCATGGACCCCGGCAAGCTAAGAACCACTGGCTTGAAATTCTCGCTGCCAGCGCAGCAGTCTGAAGTAAACTTGGGAAGATAGAGTTTGATGGGGGAAGGGGCGTCCACTATTACTGAGGCTTGAATACGTGGTTTTCCCCTCACAGTGTTAAGGAAGCCAACGAGAAGTTCGGACTGTGTGGAACTCACCACAGCTCTGCAAAGTGGCTGTGGCCAGACTGGCTCCCTAGATTCCTCCTCACTGGGCAGCGTATCTCTGAAAGAAAGGCAGCAGTCCCAGTCAGGGGCTTACAGATAAAACTCCCATCTCCCTGGGACAGAGCACCTAGGGGACGAGGTGGCTGTGGGAGCAGTTTCAGCAGGCTTAAACGTTCCTGCCTGTTGGCTCTGAAGACAGCAGCAGGTCTCCCAGCATAGCGCTTGAGCTCTGCTAAGGGACAGACTGCCTCCTCAAGTGGGTCCCTGACCCCTGTGCCTCCTTACTAGGAGACACCTCCCAGCAGGGGTCGACAGACACCTCATGCAAGAGAGCTCTGGCTGGCATCAGGCAGGTGCCCCTCTGGGACGAAGCTTCCAGAGGAAGAAGCAGGCAGCAATCTTTGCTGTTCTGCAGACTCCACTGGTGATACCCAGGTGAACAGGGTATAGAGTGGACCTCCAGCCAACTCCAGCCAACCTGCAGCAGAGGGTCCTGACTGTTAGAAGGAAAACTTACAAACAGAAAGCAGTAACATCAGCATCAACAAAAAGGATGCCCACCCAAAAACCCTATCCAAAGGTTATTAGCATCAAAGATCAAAGGTGGATAAATACATGAAGATGAGGAAAAAAACAGTGCAAAAAGGCTGAAAATTCCGAAACCAGAATGCCTCTTTTCCTCCAAATGATTGCAACACCTCTCCAGCAAGGGCGCAAAACTGAATGGAGAGTGAGTTTGACTTTGACGAATTGACACAAATAGGCTTCGGAAGGTGGGCAATAACAAACTCTTCTGAGCTAAAAGAGCATGTTCTAACCCAATGCAAGGATGAAAAGAACCTTGATAAAAGGTTACAGGAACTGCTAACTAGAATAACTGTTTTAGAGAAGAACATAAATGACCCGACGGAGCTAAAAAACACAGCACAAGAACTTCACGAAGCATACACAAGATCAATAGCTGAATTGATCAAGTGGAAGAAAGGTTATCAGGGATTAAAGATCAACTTAATGAAATAAAACATGAAGACAAGTTTAGAGAAAAAAGAGTGAAAAGAAACAAACAAAACCTTCAGGAAATATGGGACTATGTGAAAAAAACAAATCTACGTTTGATTGGTGTATCTGAAAGTGACAGGGAGAATGGAACCAAGTTGGAAAACACTCTTCAGGATATTATCCAGTAGAACTTCCCCAACCTAGCAAGGCAGGCCTACATTCAAATGCAGGAAATACAGAGAACACCACAAAGATACTCCTCGAGAAGAGCAACCCCAAGACCCATAATTGTCAGATTCACCAAGGTTGAAATGAAGGAAAAAGTGTGAAGGGTAGTGAGAGAGAAAGGTCAGGTTACCTACAAAAGGAAGCCCATCAGACTAACAGCAAATCTGTCTGCAGAAACCCCATAAACAAGAAGAGGGTGAGGACCAATATTCAACGTTTGTAAAGAAAAGAATTTTCAACCCAGAATCTCATATCCAGCCAAACTAAGCTTCATAAGTCAAGGAGAAATAAAATCCTTTACAGACAAGCAAATGCTGAGGGATTTTGTCACCAACTGGCCTGCCTTGTGAGAGGTCCTGAAGGAAGCACTAAATATGGAAAGGAAAAGCCTGTACCAGCCACTGCAAAAACATACCAAAATAAAAAGACCAATGACACTATGAAGAACCTGCATCAACTATTACGCAAAATAACAAACTAGCATCATGATGACAGGATCAAATTCACATATAACAATATTAGCCTTAAATGTAAATGGGCTAAATGCCGCAATTAAAAGACACAGACTGGCAAATTGGATAAACAGTCAAGACCCATTGGTGTGCTGTATTCAGGAGATCCATCTCATGTGCAAAGAAACAAATGGGCTCAAAATAAAGGGATGGAGGAATATTTAACAAGCAAATGGAAAGAAAAAAAAAGCAAGGGTGGCAATCCTAGTCTCTGATAAAACAGACTTTAAACCATCAAAGATGAAAAGAGACAAGGGCATTACATAACGTAAAGGGATCAATGCAACAAGAAGAGATAACTATCCTAAATATATATGCACCCAATACAGGAGCCTCAGATTCATAAAGCAAGTTGTTAGAGACCTACAAAGAGACTTAGACTCCCACAAAATAATAGTGGTAGACTTTAACACCCCACTGTCAATATTAGAGCAATAAAACAGAAAATTAACAAGGATATTCAGGACTTGAACTCAGCTCTAGACCAGGCATACCTAATAGACATCTACAGAACTCTCCACCCCAAATCAACAGAATATATATACATTCTTCTCAGCACCACATAGCACTTAGTCTAAAATCGACCACATAATTGGAAGTAAAACACTCCTCAGCAAGTGCAAAAGAACGGAAATCATAACAGTCTCCCAGACCACAGTGCAATCAAATTCGAACTCAGGATTGGAATACTATGCAGCCATAAAAAATGATGAGTTCATGTCCTTTGTAGGGACATGGATGAAGCTGGAAATGATCATTCTCAGCAAACTATCGCAAGGACAAAAAACCAAACACCGCGTGTTCTCACTCATAAGTGGGAAGTGAACAATGAGAACACTTGGACACAGGAAGGTGAACATCACACAATGGGGCCTGTTGTGGGGTGGGGGGAGGGGGGAGGGATAGCATTAGGAGATATACCTAATGTAAATAACAAGTTAATGGGCGCAGCACACCAACATGGCACATGTATACATGTGTAAAAAGCCTGCATGTTGTGCACATGTACCCTAGAATTTAAAGTATAATAAATATATATATATTTAAAAATAAATAATCTAATAATAAAAATAAAAATAGGAGAAAAAAAAGAAACACACTCAAAACTTTACAACTACATGGAAACTGAACCACCTGCCCCTGAATGACTACTGGGTAAATATGAAATTAAGGCAGAAACAAATAATTTCTTTGAAACCAATGAGAACAAAGACACAACGTACCAGAATCTCTGGGACACAGCTATAGCAGTGTTTAGAGGGACATTTATAGCACTAAATGCCCACAAGAGAAAGCAGGAAAGATCTAAAATGGACACCCTAACATCACAATGAAAAGAACTAGAGAAGCAAGAGCAAACAAATTCAAAAGCTAGCAGAAGACAAGAAATAACTAAGATCAGAGCAGAACTGAAGGAGATAGAGACACGAAAAACCCTTCAAAAACTCAATGAATCTAGGAGCTGGTTTTTTGAAAAGATTAACAAAATAGGTACACCACTAGCCAGACTAATAAGGAAGAAAAGAGAGAAGAATCAAATAGACACAATAAGAAATGGTAAAGGGGATATCACCACTGATCCCACAGAAATACAAACTACCATCAGAGAGAATACTATAAACACCTCTACACAGATAAACTAGAAAATCTAGACGAAATGGATAAATTCCTGGACACATATCCCCTCCCAAGACTAAACTAGGAAGAAGTCGAATCCTTGAATAGATCAATAACAAGTTCTGAAATTGAGGCAGTAAATAATAGCCTACCAACCAAAAAAAGCCCAGGACCAGAAGGATTCACAGCCGAATTCTACCAGAGGTACAAAGAGGAACTGCTACCATTCCTTCTGAAACTATTCCAAACAACAGAAAAAGAGGGACTCCTCCCTAACTCATTTTATGAAGCCAGCATCATCCTGATATCAAAACCTGGCAGAGACACAACAAGAAAAGAAAATTTCAGACCAGTATCCCTGATGAACATTGATGGAAAAATCCTGAATAAAATACTGGCAAACAAAATCCAGCAGCACATCAAAAGGCTTATCAAACAAGATCAAGTCGGCTGCATCCCTGGGATTCAAGGCTGGTTCAACATACGCAAATTAACAAACGTAATCTATCACATAAATGGAACCAATGACAAAAACCACACAATTATCTCAATAGATGCAGAAAAGGCCTTCAACAAAATTCAACAGCCCTTCATGCTAAGAACTCTCAAAAAACTAGGTATTGTTGGAATGTATCTCAAAATAATAAGAGCTATTTATGACAAACCCACAGCCAATATCGTACTGAATGGGCAAAAGCTGGAAGCATTCCCTTTGAAATCTGGCACAACACAAGGATGCCCTCTCTCACCACTCCTATTCAACATAATATTGGAAGTTCTGGCCAGGGCAATTAGGCAAGGGAAATAAATAAAGCGTATTTAAATAGGAAGACAGGAATTCAAAATTTGTCTCTGTTTGCAGAGGATATGATTGTATATTTAGAAAACCCCATCGTCTCAGCCCAAAATCTCCTTAAGCTGATAAGTAACTTCAGCAAAGTCTCAGTATACAAAGTCAATGTGCAAAAAGTTTAAGCATTCCTATACACCAATAATATACAAACAGAGAGCCAAATCATGAGTGAACTCCCATTCACAATTGCTACAAAGGAAATAAAATACCTAGGAATACAACTTACAAGGGATATGAGGGACCTCTTCAAGAACTACAAAATGCTGCTCAAGGAAATAAGAGAGGACATACACAAATGGAAAAACATTCTATGGTCATGGATAGGAAGAATCAACAACATGAAAATGGCCATACTGTCCAAAGTAATTTAGAGATTCAATGCTATTCCCATCAAGCTACCATTGACTTTCTTCACAGAACTAGAAAAAACTACTATAAATTTCATAAGGAATCAAAAAAAAAAAGAGCCTGTATAGCCAAGACAATCCTAAGCAAAAAGAACAAAGCTGGAGGCATCATGCTACTTGAGTTCAAACTATACTACAAGGCTACAGTAACCAAAACAGCATGGTACTGGTACCAAAACAGATATATAGACCAATAGAACATAACAGAGACCTCAGAAATAACACCACACATCTACAACCATCTAATCTTCAACAAACCTGACAAAAACAAGCAATGGGGAAAGGATTCACTATTTAATAACAGGTGTTGGGAAAACTGCCTAGTCATTTGCAGAAAGCTGAAAATGGATCCCTTCCTTACATCTTATACAAAAATTAACTCAAGATTTATTAAAGACATAAACATAAGACCTAAAACCATAGAAACCCTGGAAGAAAACCTAGGCAATATCATTCAGGACATAGGCATGGGCAAAGACTTCATGACTAAAACACCAAAAGCAATGGCAACAAAGTCCAAAATTCACAAATGGGATCTAATCAAACTAAAGAGCTTCTGCACAGCAAAAGAAACTATCATCAGAGTGAACAGGCAACCTACAGAATGGGAGAAAAATTTTGCAATCTATCCATCTGAAAAAGGTCTAATTTCTAGAATCTACAAGGAACTTAAACAAATTTACAAGAAAAAAACAACCCCATCAAAAAGGGGGCAAAGGATATCAACAGACACTTCTAAAAAGAAGACATTTATGCAGCCAAATACATATGAAAAAAAGCTCACCATCACTGGTCATTAGAGAAATGCAAATCAAAACCACAATGAGATACCATCTCACACCAGTTAGAATGGTGATCATTCAAAAGTCAGGAAACAACAGATGCTAGAGTGGATGTGGAGAAATAGGAACACTTTTACATTGTTGGTGGGAGTGCAAATTAGTTCAACCATTGTGGAAGACAGTATGGTGATTATTCATGGATCTAGAACCAGAAATGCCATTTCACCCAGCAATCCCATTACTTGGTATATATCCAAAGGATTACAAATCATTCTACTATAAAGACACATGCACATGTATGTTTATTGCAGCACTATTTACAATAGCAAAGACTTGGAACTAACCCAGATGCCCATCAATGATAGACTGGATAAAGAAAATGTGGCACATATACACCATAGAATACTATGCAGCCATAAGAAAATGAGTTCATGTCCTTTGCGGGGACATGGATGAAGCTGGAAACCATCATTCTCAGCAAACTAACATAGCAACAGAAAACCAAACACTGCATGTTCTCACTCATAAGTGGGAGTTGAACAATGAAAACACATGGACACAGGGAGGGGAACATCACACAGTGGGGCCTGTTGAGGAGTGGGGGTCTAGGAGAGGGATAGCATTAGGACAAATACCTAATGCATGTGGGACTTAAAACCTAGATGACAAGTTGATGGGCGCAGCAAACCACCATGGCACATGTATACCTATGTAACAAACCTGAACGTTCTCCACATGTATCCCAGAACTTAAAGTATAATAATATAAAAAAAGAATCATTATGTTTATATAAATATTTTGTTTTTTTTTAAAGAAATCCAGTATGGCTGAAGTATAGAACATAGTTATTGGACATGAGATATTAAACATGGATGTATCAAGTAAAGCTGTTAGTTAGTTGGATATATGGCATTTAGATTTCAGAGCAAGCTTAAACATCAGGTATTAAATTTGGGAATTACGCATGTATGATGCACAAAACTCAAAATTGTGGTTGAGTACAGCTTGAAAATGGACCAAGTATGTGTGATATGTATAAACATGAAAAGTTGGTGTTTGTTTCTGTTGAGTTCCTCTTAGAGGCAGGTGCCAAGACGAGATCAGCCATACAAGAGATTTATTGGGGAAAATGCCGTGAAGGATAAAATAGGAAAGGAGCAGGAGTAGGCAAAGGGAAACTTTAGATTTAATGCAGGTCTGACGCATTTGAAAGGAGAAAGCAAAGGAAGAGGTATTGAGTAGGAAGCACCTTTGACTATAGCACAGCTCTGAGAAAGTCTCACCCAGTGGATGGTGAGTACCCAAGCAAAGATTGTCCATTGGAATACAAAGTATGCCCATGTTCCATATCGGGCAGAAATGGCCCAGCTCTAGAACCCCTACTGTGTTCTAGACTCTCTCTTTGAGGAGCTGTGGGGAAACATGACCTTGGCATGAATGTCATAGTGAGTCTGAAGGTGTAGCAGCTGGAGGCTTTTGGCCGGCTATCCTCTTCTCAGCTCTTCCCCAAGAGAAAGGAGATCTGGGTAGTGTACTCCATGGCCACAGCAGTGTTCAAACTATTCTTTATCACTGTTCACAATTGTTTGGCTTTGGAAATCTGACAAGCAAACTGTTCTATTTGCTCCCATTTAAATTGGTAATAAGTGAAGTTATTTTTTTGGTTTGAGGATTTTCTAATTGAATCCTCTATGATGTAATGAGATTGTATAAGATTGATTTAATTCATAAGGTCTCACTTAACAGTGGAAGGATGGATAGAGGGAGGCAGGGATAGATGGATGGGTGGATGGATGGATGGATGGATGGATAGATGGATGGCTGGATGGATAACAGTTGAGGCATTTCAGAAAAGTATTTTGTCCTCTGGGCAGAAGGTGAAAGTATTGTGTCTGGACTTGTGAGAGAACAGGCAAAAAAAAAAAAAAAGTGTAATTCCAGAGAGGAGGCTAGAATTAATGAATTAATAGATTCCAATGAAGACAGTGAAAGGAAAAGCAATGTAAGTCTCCCAACCCTGTCCTTCATTCTTCTCACACAGATAAAAGCCAGCTCATGAGCTGAAGTCAGTTCTTTTTGCCCAATCTTAACTGTGGCTCCAAAAGCTCCTAAAGTTGTTGTCCTGGTATTTTATAGTAAAAGAGGAGCCTGTGTGCCTGACACAGTTGATCTGAAAGTAACTTCTAATTGCAAGAAGATAGGGAGCAAATTGCAAGTATCATTAAGGAAAATGACTGGTTTCAACACATAGCTAAAGTCAAGTAGACTGAGACAATTAATTCTGTTACTACTCAGTGCTGGCAAGTTAATTTATGACCCAACTTTCTAACGCCTGATTATTTCATGACTGGTTTTCTTTCCTATCAATGATTTTAATCTAGGTTTATCTCAAACATTTTATCTTAGCAATCTTTTCTAGATCAGAAAAGAAAGGGAGAAAGATGCATACTAAGCACTTGGGTGCCAGCATCAAATTCTCTGGGTTTGAATTCTGACTTCACCACTTACTAACTGTCACTTTGGGCAAGTGATTCTACCTTCCTACACCTTGGTTTCTTTGTCTCTAAAATGGGGATAATGCATATAAAGCATTGTAGCATTGAAGTGGGCCATAATCAGGGCATTTTACAACATTTCTCTGATCAGCTTGCCACTTTTAGTGCAGTGGCGCGATCTCAGCTCACTGCAACCTCCAACTCCTGGGTTCAAGCGATTCTCCTGCCTCAGCCTCCTGAGTAACTGGGATTACAGGCATGTACCAGCACACTCAGCCAATTTTTGTATTCTTAGTAGAGACAGAGTTTCACCATGTTGGCCAGGCTGGTCTCAAACTCCTGACCTCAAGTGACCTCAAGCCTCAGCATTTTGCTCTTTTTGAATAACGTATCAATAGTATTAAACAAGAGGGCCGGGCGTGGTAGCTCATGCCTGTAATCCCAGCCCCTTGGGAGGCCAAGGCCGGCTGATCATAAGGTCAGCAGTTCGAGACCAGCCTGGCCAACATGATGAAACCATGTCTCTACTAAAAATACAAAAATCAGCCAGGCGTCGTGGCACATGCCTGTAATCCCAGCTGCTCAGGAGGCTGAGGCAGGAGAATCGCTTGAACTAGGGAGGCGGAGGTTGCAGCGAGCCGAGATCACACCACTGCACTCCAGCCTGGGCAACAGAGTGAGACTCCGTCTCAAAAAAAAAGAGAGAGAAACTTGGGAGAGTCGACTTTGATCTCGACACTCCTCCTATTTCCTTAGCTTGCAAGGAATAGTCCTGAAAACCTCAAAAGTGGCAAAGTTAGTGAGGAAAACATTGATCCTACCAGATTCAGATCTTGTCCTTCAGGAGATACTTTTACTGCGTTGCTGATGCTGCATAGGTGTTACATTCTAGCTCTATTGGCCCATATTAATGAAAGTGACATAATGGACAATTATAACTTGTGCTTGAGCATGGACCATACAGTTCCTTCCACATCCTTAGAAAACAAAATTAAATGTGAATTTTTATTTTATCTTTGTGTTAGTGGTTCAACCTAAATTGTACTTGGCAGACCCATTGGTAAAAGCCAAACTTATGTAGCATAGGATTTGCATTTGTGGAAATGAACAGGTTAACTGATTCATTATCTACAGTCAGCCTACAATTAAAGGTTGATTCACTGGTATAGTTATCTCCTCCCTGTTCTTCAGATTTGTTTCTACCTACCTCTGCCCAGAGCTAGCCTGACTCACATGGGCCTGACTGCAATGAAACTTGCATTTTGATATCTGTTGGGTGTTTTAACCATACACACATTCCTTATGTTTTTCTCCTTTAGAACATTATCAAACTATTCTCTGTGAATGAAAACATAAGTAATGGGAAAGATATTTATGGTAAAGACGCCACTGTGGAGCAAATGGAAATCTTCCTACTTCCAACATAGAAAAGGTTAGAGTGTTGTGTAAGTTCTTGTTTGGCTGAGAAAAACAAAACGATGGTAGCCTTGTTCCCAAACTAACCAGTAGTATACTGAACCATTGCTCTGTGGGACAGAGCTAAGATAAAGGTATCTGCAATCTCTTGAACCCCTTTTACTCTAATAACTCCATCATTACACACCAGAACATGTGTATTTAAAGAACATCAGTCTTAGCATTTGTTGACCAGCAGAACATTTCTATCTAAAATAATCATTAAAAAGCCAACATCTATTCTGTGAAGTCTCTAGATTTCTATTTGTTCAAAGAAGGAGAAGAATGTCAACATCCAAGAACTCTTTTATAAGAGTAAGTAACTGTGACAAAGAGAGGAGGATGTCATCCTGGTGGAACAGATGTACACCTGCTGTGGGAGAGTTGTGAATGCCTTGTGAATGCTCTCTGCCCGGGTCAGATGTCCAGCCTCTCTAGAGAACAGCCATCCAATCCCTGGGAAGGGACCATCAATCATTATCCATGGGTCAAAATTTCCAGCAGTGCTAGAGGAAACATTTTGATTAATGCCTACATGGTGACCTGGATGTGCTGAGGGCTGAAAGTTGTAGTGAAAATGAGGTAAGAAATAATTGTTTTTAATAACCTTGATAATTGTCCTTCTCATGGTTCTTATTATGAATTCTAAATTTATTCCACACTATTAAAACCCAGTCTAGATATGTTATTATGAATGAGTTCCTGTAAGCTAGAAACCACCATGAGAGAATGCTGGTTTGAGCCCCTGGAACCGTATGCTCTTGGTTTATGTATTTAAAAAAAAACATGAAGATTCAAATAAAACTAATTATATTTAGCCAAAAGGGGTATGAAAAGTATAGAGAGCAAGGAAGTTGATTTTAAACAAGATTTCAAAAGACTTCCTCAAATACTTAAGAAATCGGTATTTAAACAAGTCCCAGAATCACAGCAGAACACAGAAGAAGGTCTGTTAGGAGTCTTGATGGAAATATTGACTAACCTAAAAGAAAGGCAAGAGCTGCTGAATTCTCCTAGAGGAAAGGCAAGAGCTGCTGAATTCTCCTTCAATTACAATGCTTAGGGTTATGATTCTCTTAGGTGACACTGGTCTGAACTTCTTTTGTATAAGAATGTTTAAATGACAACGATGAATCTTTACCTACAAATCCTGATGTGTGAGAATTGTCCATTTTTCTGGTTTTAAAGAGAAGAATTTTAGCCCCTGATATGATGCAATGAGAAGACCACTTCATCTTGGTGGCATTTGTTCCAAAAATCCACATTCCCGGTGTAATCACCAGAAAAATATCAGACAAACTCACACTGGGGGACTTTCTATAAATACCTGGCCAGTGTTCATCAAGGCTGCCAAGGTAATGAAAAACAGGAAAGACTGAGAAACTGCCACAGACCAGTAGAGATGGGGAGACATGACAACTAAATGCTAGGTGGTACCCTGGATAGGATTCTGGAACAGAAAGGGGACGTCATTGGAAAAACTGGTGAAATCCAAATAAAGTCTGGAGTTGAGTTAATAGTAATGTATCAGTGTCAGTTTCTTAGTTTTGACAAATGTTCCATGGTAATATAAGATGATAGCAATAGGGAAATTGGGTCAGGTATATATTGGGGACTCTCTGTACTCTCTCTGCAATTTTTCTGTAAATCTAAAATTATTCCAAAGCTAAAAGTTATTTTTTAACAAAACAAACTTACATTAAACCATGAGCCCTGATTCCACTGGAGTAGCTGAAAATTCAGTCTCTTAGTCATTGCTGGGGCTCCCCATACCCTCACCTTGTGCCAAGGCATCAGGTTTTTGATCCATAACAGTTATTACTGCTGTGTTCATTGTCTACATGCACAAGGTTGCTTAAAACCAGCAACTGTGTTGTTGTGTTTGGGAGGCACAGGCAAGAATGAGAATTGAGCTAGGGTTCAATTTTCTTAAATATACATGTGAGGCATGCCCTTAAAACTATGGATCTATCTGTAAGAAACTGTCGTGGGGCAGGACACAGTCCCCAGTGCTCATGGAGCCTCCTGACTTGCATCCGCTTTCCAGTCAAGGGATGGAAAAAAAACCCTCTCTTTCTTTTCCTGCCATCCTCAAGTATAGCTACCTCTCCCTCCTCCTCTCTAGAAATACCTAACATCATATTTCCCCTAAGCTCAAGCTTTCACAGAAGAAAAGAAAGAGAGTCAACTTCCTGCCATTTCTTAATGGACCCTGCAAAATTCACAATACAAGGAATACAAAGACTGGCTGCTTGCTTGGAGTGGGTGAAGGGAAAGCTACAGCAAAAATAAGCACAAATTAAAAGATAAATAATCCTGCCACTTACGTAATTACAAACTGCCCTATTACAGCAACTCCAGTAAGAAGGAAGTACACAGTTAGGATTCTGCACATCTCCACTTTCAACCTTCATTGTGGAGCAAAAGTAACTGATACACAGACATTTCTCTCGCCTGGGGGTACTTACTTCCCTGAATCCAGAGTTAACTGCCATATTTCTGCTCTCAGAAGCGCTTCAAGACTTCCCTGTTACTCTCACCTTGCTCCTTTCCAAGGCAAGAGATTTAATGAGCTCACTCCGGACTTGGGAAAACCTTAATGCAAGGTAGAGAGCAAGCCCAGGAGGAATGGGAAACAAAGTAGGAGAATTTTGATGTAGAGGAGGCTGAGGTAGAGAAAGGTCCAGAGTAGTAAAGGAAGGAGGAGGGGGGGCTCTGAAAAGGCATAGAGACCCAGTTTGGTCTGAGGAGGACAGCAGCAGAGCAGGCTCCTGGGGCTGTGTAAGATCAGTGATAGATTGTGAACTGGATTCATGGGTGGTGTGTGCAGAAATGAATTATAAGTTCTTCAAACTCCCCACATCTTCTAAGTTTGCCAAGGTTAATTGGAGAGTGAATCAAGGTCCACAACATTTTAGCTATAAAAATAGAATTGCTCATGCCAAGTAAAAGTTTTTGCTGAGGGTGAATCTAGGAGGCAATACTGTAAATAGTCCCTCCTCAAGAGATATACGTCACAAATTGTGACTTTGGAAAGAATTTTTGTTTCCCTCAATTATGACCCTGACATTTGTGGGCCCTGGGGCAAGAGAATAAATGGAAGCCCATATACAATATCTCTAAATGTTTAAAGTTATAAATTCATCTAACAAACTATTAAATAAAACTAATTCTATCTTTCTACTTTGGCAAATATAACTTCATTATGCAAAATAAAAATATGTATGAAGGTATCTTTCTTATGTGGCTGATAGTTTGCCAAGTATTAAAGGCAACTGAATTTGATTGTTATTAAGTTGTATTCTGGGTGTTCAGTTATTAAGATAGTGATGTTTAGATGAGTAATAAAATCAGGAAATAATTATTGTTTGATTACATATTTATTGCAAAAATGTTTTGGCCTTGATTTTAGCAAAATTACTAATTATATTGCCATAATCATAATTTTACTTATTTTACATTCTATTGACAATGATAATCTAAAGGATTAGAAAATTAAATGGAATAGTATTCAATCTACTTATATGTTTAATATTTCATCAAAAATACAAATGAAATTAAATGGTAAAAACTGAACTTAAAGTCATTGTTAAGTGTTTTCAAAAAAGTTATTTTTAATTATTCGGAAGTATTTGTTAAAATTAAAAGTCAAAATAGTAATTATAATTATACATTTTAACTCAAGATTATTTTTAAAAACTAAAATCTTATGTTCTTTTTTAATTAAATTATCTTGACTGCATTTATAAAAATAATAGTATTTGTAATGTCAGGCTTCAGCATCCACTTAGTTGCCAGTATAAACCATTGGTGACACAGTTCATGCATGAGGTCTAGAGTAGACTGGTGTACATACATGTTTAGCAGCAATATGGATAATTTAATGTAGCAAAATATTCCTCAGCTTCCATAGGCATTTGCTGTCAATACCATGATAACTTGCAAATATTTCTAAAACTATAAATTGGAAAACCAAGAGTATAAAGAAAATGGATATTCAACATAAGTGGAAATGATGCTTTTTTATGCAGGAATATATTGCATTTTTACAATCTGAAGAATTTGTACAAGTTAATTTGCCTATCTCTGACCTAAGCTCTTCTAGCTCTCAAGACCTTCCCACATTCCATAGCAGCATCTGGCTCCTATGTCAGAAGCACTACAAACCACAATTTTTTCTAATTTATTTTTTATTTCAATAGGTTTTTGGGGAACAGGTGGTGTTTGGTTACATGAGTAAGTTCTTTAGTGGTAATTTCTGAGATCTGTGTGTACCCAAGCAGTGTACACTGTACCCAATGTGTAGTCTTTTATTCCTCACCCCTCTCCTACCCTTTCCCCTGAGTCCCCAAAGTCCATTGTGTCATTCTTATGCCTTTGTGTCCTCATAGCTTAGGTCCCACTTATGAGTGAGAACGTACGACGTTTGATGTTCCATTTCTGAGTTACATCACTTAGAATAACAGTCTCCAATTCCATCCAGGCTGCTCAACCCAAACATCTTTACGATATTTGGTAGAAATCATCTTTTGTTTGAGTACATCTTTTGTTTCTGCACATTGGAGATGTGCAGAAACATTTTCTGAGCCTGAATAGGGTCAGTCCCAGGAGGGGATGATTAAACTTATGGATCACGCTGCAACAGTGTGGAAGGCTAAATCCCAATTGACAGAAGGGCCACGTGTTTTTTAGTAAGTTTATTTTTTCAGTATTTTGATATGCGAGGCCACTAAAGTAAGGTTCTCGGGCCCTTGTTGTCCAAATCCAGGAATACTACTGGTTTCTTTTAATGATCTTGGTCACCAAAATGATTACTCAAATCTTGCATCATGTATCATATATTTTTAAAAACAAATCTTATTGTCTTAACAGGAAGGATTACATCAGAGTCACAACAGCTTAATAGACAAAATTAATTTGGAGTTAAATAGTCTTATGGTGCTAGTAATGGCAGAATAAATATAATGACATATATTTTTCCTTCTCCAGTCCCACCATTTCAGAAAGGTGTAAGAATCAAAGGTAATGAGGTAGTTTGTTAATGACAAGTGCTGGCACTCATGCCCAAAGTCACATAGCTATTTGTAGACACTATTTCCTCTGTTTGCTGGAAAATTTGATAGAATCCTAATTCAGTGTATGGTAACACTAGATAGTTGGGTGTCTCCAGGATTTGCCCTGTTTCCTGGGACATTCTGGGACAAAGGTACATCTGTCAAGAAGCAAAATTGCCCAAACTAACAGCTTGCCAAATGGCATACCTTTTCTTCTTTCCCACGAATCCCCTAAACCAGCCCCACCACTTTGAGGATCACCTTGTCATCTGAGATTACAGGCAGGATGTTGTGACTGGCAGGATTTGAATTACAATATCATTGAATTGAATTTCACGCAGTCAGGCAGTCCCTAAGGAGAGACAAGACTTTCAGCAACACAGGAAAATGAGATCCCAGAATCTCTGTTTCCTTTTCATGTAAGACATCGATGCCCTGTCCAGAATCATGTCCTGGCCCTTGTCTCCATAATCCAAGCCCTAAGACTTCCCCAAAGGCAGCTCCACATGAGTTTCAGCTGCAGTCTTCATATCTTCAGCGACGGGATCTCTATTTTTCTGAATAAATTTAGCATACAAGACACTTCAGTTTATGATTTTGCATGTCGTGAGTCAAAGGTCTCCAGGACCAATCTGCTATGATAGAAATACCTCCTCTTTAAGAATGCTATCTCAGGCCTCTCCTCCAAAATAATGTCATACCAATGAAAATTATGCACTGTTTAACTTAGCATCCCAAATCCATAAAGGCAATGTCTCTTAGTCGCTTATGCTTCCTACAGAGACTCAACTCTGCAAGTTGTGCCAGCTGCGATGAGTTTTACTAGGCAAGTATCATTTATTTTCAGGGCTAAGTTTTCCAGAGGGCTCAGCTGCTAGAGCTCTGAAGGCCAGCTAAGCCAGAATTTTCAGTCTGCAGGCTCAGGACCTACCTTCTGAAGTAACACAAGAAACCTGAACCCAATAAAAAACCACTAGGTACCCTCAACACACTCTCAGGGAAAGAGAGGTCTGAAAAGTCTTGGCCAATGTGGAGAACCGAAAACTGAGACCTTGAAGCATTGAGACTCATTGGCCTTCCTCTTTGTCTAAATGAATGAGATCCATTCAGACCAGGTAGAATGAAGTGATTGTTGCTTCTCTGGAGTCAGTAAGCAAAGGAACCTAGGATACTGGAGATTGTGAAGAAGACAGTGAGGCAGCTTTGGGCAAGGTGGGGAGCTCCATTTTGCTTAGAAGCATTCCAATGTAGTGTGTGTTTAAGAGCATGGACTCTAAGGCCAAACTTCCATAATTAAAATCCCAGTTCTGCCACTTAATAACCACACAACCTTGTACAAGTTATTTAAATACTCTGTGCCCTGAAAATGAAAATAATAATAAGTAATAGTAGCTACTCTTTGGGTTATCATCGGCATTAAATGACTCAGTAACTGTCAAGATTTTAGAACGATGCTTGGATATTACTAAATTTTCCATTAATATTATTTATCATTATTATTTGCCGTCATAATCATTACTAGCTCTTGGAGCTGGGCCATGGCAGTGCCTGGCTCCAGACTCGGCTTTTCATGCAAAATGATGACACTGAATGGAAGACTTCCTAAGTCTGAGTTGGTTCCTGGTCTTTGGAGGACTGATAAGCAACTCCATTACAGAAGATACACCCCCATTTTTAGGATTCCCAGCTGACTTAAACACCCAGCTGGCTAGTAAAGTCCTTTACTTTTTAGACATCTGCTTCTAAAGGGCATTAACATGTAGATAGGGTAGGAAAGGATTCGGATTCTTGAAATGCTATTGCAATCTGAACTCCTTCTCAGCCAGGAACTGTTCAAGAACAAGGAGATCCAAAACTTGCCTTTCTGATGGAGATCTTCTCTTCAGGACCCCACTCCATGATTTGGCCAAAGTTTACAGCTTATGGGTGTAGGAAGTGACCATTTCTACAGTTGTGGCTCAGCTGTCTGCTTCAACATGGTTCACCTCACTCACGATGTACAATACAATAGAGATCCCTGATGCTGACATTGGAACTCAGTTTCTTCATAGCAACAGCCATAGGCAGACTGTGGAACCCCATGATTTTTACTACATTATTTAAAGAGCTTCTATCATCATGCAGAAAGAAAATAATGCAAGATGAAAATGTGGAACTGCACAAAGAAATTCAGAACACCGAAAATGGTAACTATGAGAGTAAACATTAAAGATTTTTTTTTCAGACTGGGCGTGGTGGCTCACTCCTCTAATCCCAGCGTGGGAGGGTGAGGCGGGCAGATCACGAGGTCAGGAGTTTGAGACCATCCTGGCTGACACAGTGAAACCCTGTCTCTACTAAAAATACAAAAAAATTAGCTGGGCGTGGTGATGGGTGCCTGTAGTCCCAGCTACTTGGGAGGCTGAGGCAGGAGAATGGCATGAACCCGGGAAGCGGAGCTTAGAGTGAGTAGAGATTGTGCCACTGCACTCCAGCCTGGCTGACAGAGCAAGACTCCATCTCAAAAAAAAAAAAAAAAAAAAAAAAAAAGCCTTTTTTTCATTTTTAGCATTCTTTAAATATTTGACTATTTAAAGCAAAAATAATCATAAATATTTTTTACAGATTATGCAGTATGTAGACTATGCAGAAGTAAAATATACAACAATAGTACAAAAAGGGAGAAATTGAACTTTTCTGCTGTAATATATGAAGTAATATAATATCATTTGGAGATAAACTGTGATAAGTATGTGTTATAAATTCTAGCAACCACTCAAAAACTAAACAGCCAATGAGCCCATAGTGGAGATAAAATGAAATGATAAACAATAGTCAATCCAAAAGAAGTCAAGAAAATACTAATATAGAAACAAAGAACTGATCATACAAAGAGGAAATAAATAGTAAGATGGTAGATTTAAACCCAAACCTTGATAATTACATTAAATATAAATGGTCTAAAAAATCTAATTAAAATGTAGATATTGTGTAATTGGATAAAATATGAAACTCAATTATATGCCACTTAGAGAAAACTACTTTAAATATAAAGACATAGATTGGTTGAAACAAAAAGGACATATCATGCAAACACTAGTCAAAAAGAAGTAGGAAAAAGCACGGGCTAAGATTCAGGATTGAATCTTAGTTTTAGTGCCTAATCGATATTGAACTTGAACAAGTCACTTAATTTCTCTGAACTTAATTTTCTTCCATTTTTTAAAAATGGGAATAAGGTGCCTATCTCATAGGGTTGTAGTAAATCTTAACGAGTCAAGGTAAAGTATGTGACTTAGTTCCTAGCATATATTAAATGCCTAACACATATTAGTGTTGTTGAATAATAATTACTACTGTTTCTAGGTTCATTGTAAAAAGTTTAGATGGGGAGCTCTGAAATAGCTTGCCAAATAGTCAAGATGTCCAGAAAGTTTCCAATTTAGTCTGGGCCATGGGATTCCAAGCCCACCTGCAGAGGACATTTGTATTTTGGTGGCTGAAAAATGAAATTCAGTCTGCAGTATGAGCTGCTTAGCTGTGGAGCTCTTAGAAAGGATCGATTGGTCTTATCTTTAAGTGGAGCTGGGACCATCTGTGATCCCCAAGCTGACTGGAAGCTGGCTTCACTCAGCCCCCAAGGAGATGGGATGTGCCCCACTTGACAGGGAGATAGCTCGATAAGTGAGTGAAGAAAGGCAGAAAAGACACCTGGAAGCTGCAGGGCACATTTACTGTCAGTGGGCAAACAAGAAAAGAGCGCCCATTCTCCCATTTCCATTGTGATGTTACGTAAAGATAATGTAACACAGATGCTCAGGATAAATAATTCAGGATAAAACAAGAGACATAAAACCCGAGCACTGTGAACAGCAGCCAGGATATCTGTGGAAGCAGCTCTTGCGCACGCTCATTCTGACAAAGTCTGCTTTTGAACTTTATATCCAGATGTGACTCCTTAATAGGAAAGGGAAATCATAATAATTCCATGGGGCTGGAAGCTGTGTGATGGGTTTGGCTGAAACTGCTTACTCTAGCACCTGTTCGTCAGTATTTTGCCTTTTTCTTCTTGTGTGTATGTGAAACTACCTGCCCTCTCTCCTGTTTCCTCTTCACAACCTTCACCCAGAAAGCCCTAAGTTATTAGATGTCTTGATGTCTCTTTGGACAACAGAGTGTCACATCCCTATTTTATTGAATAATAATATTTGATAATTATACCGTAATAATAATACTCAGTAATCTTTATTGAGCACTCAGCACATGGCATTATACTAAGTGGGCCTGTTTTATCATGTTACATCTTCCCAAACACCCACCCTTAGAATAAGATCCTGTTGTTTTTCCCATCTTGGAATAGGAGCAAATTAAGTTCAAAGAGGTTAAATAACTTACTCAAGGCCATATGGATAATGTAGTTGAGTAATAATTAAAAGCTGGGCAGTCTGAGCCCAGAGTCTTTTCTCTATTTTACTACTGTATAAACTAATGCAACAGGAAAATTATTTCAATGCAAGATAATGATCCAGTGTTTGGCCAGTGTTTGTAGAGGTAAGCAAACATGCACTATAGTGATTAACAGCATGGGCTTCAGCGCCAGGACTTCTGGGTTTTTTAATGCCACTGCCTTCAGTTCCTAGATGAGGTCCTATGAGCAAGTCCCTTACCTCTTTGAGCCTCATTACCCATCAGAATAATAGAGGTTAATACCCATCCGAATAATAGAGAATAATACCCATTAGAATAATAGAGGTTAAGAAAATACCCACCCCATGCATCCCTTGGAGGATCAAACAAAATAACCCATGTATAGGACATAAAACTGTGCCTGGAATATACTCAGTAGTGATTGGTGAACAGCTGACAATGGATGAGGCATAAGTGGTAAGTAGTCACTCTTCAGGAACAGCAGCAAGCAGAGCTCAGCTCCTGACTTTCCTGTTGCATATGGGAATCAGCTGTGTAGTTATCCTGGAGGAGGCTAAACTGAAAGATGATATGAATAAATTTAAAGAGAAAAATCTGTTTCAGATAATAATCAGTAATTGTAATATTTTAAAGAAAATTATTTCTGAGGTGTTTGGGGTGGCAGATGAAGGTTATTAACAATTTTACCCCTTCTAGTGATGTAGTTACACTGCCACAGGGTGGCAGATGAAATCTTTTACTAAGATGGGATCTAAAACAAATATGACCATCATACTTCCTGGAAAAAAACAGCCTTATCAGGGATGAAGGTCCACTGAAGCAGTGGCCCAAGGTATTTTACATTGGGAGCCCGGGGGAAGGTGTATCAGAATTAAGATACCCACTAAGTTTGGAGAATGGAGTGATCCACAGGCCTTTTTCAGTATCCATTGACTTGATTGATGGACAGCCCTGAGCTGTGTTTGTCAGTGGTACATAGCAGGAGAAGGTAATCACCACAATACATGTCCATGAGCCAAGCTGCAATTTATGGTACAATCAAATCTAGATGCTACCTTTTTATCATTAAAATTATAAAGGGACTAGGAAAGGTCATAAAATCAATCAAATTTCATTACCAAAACCACTGATTGAGGAGGAAATAATACGACCTTAGTATTTTCAAACAATAGCAAAACATCTCTGCTGCATGGAGACCAACACACATCTTGGAAACACTTATTTTTATTAATCAAGTGGTAACACAAATAGATCAATCTTATTTGACCAAAGTCCCCAAACTATAGATTTTATAAATGATGACAAATAATGTAATTTGTAACAAGTTTTAATGTTTCATTTTGTATCCTTTTGTGATACAATATACTGAATGAAGAAGGGCTTATACTTTATATACACACAGGAGTGTTCCTTTAATTATAGATCAGAGGACTATTTTACCAGCCAGGCTGTCTAATAGAGGCCCTTTTTAATACTTCTATGATTAATCTCTTTAGATAAAGTCCTAATTTAATTCTCTTATAAAGCCAGTAAATTAATAGTGAGGTGTGAGTGTTTTCGTTTGTATCCCATAGCACTCACCATTTTTCCTCTAATTTGGCATTTGATTATTTCTTTAAACTCTTATTTTGTGAGTGTTTCTTACCCACCCCCACCCCCAATTATGTTTCAAGAAACGAAAGTTAGATTGTACTTGTATCTACATGGTAATAGCACTAGCAGAGTGTTATTTTCATATCAAAACTGTGTTGTATATACTTACTAAGTGAATAAGTGTCCTTATCAACCCATGCATACATTGATACACACACACACACACACATCTCAAGAGTGCAAACTGATAAAAAGAAATGGCAAGTAGAATTTTTCAATATCATTACATGGTTACATGAAAAATTACACGACGACTCATTTGCCTTAATTTACATACAAAGCAATGGAATTACATAAATTTTCTAAAAAAACAAAAAAAAATAGTTAATACTTAGCACTTAGCTAGGCACTGTGACAAGTACTTTATTTGCTTTATTTAATTCTATCCTTAAAACAATCCTGAGGTATGTTCTATAATCATCTCCACTTTACAAATGAGGATACTGAGGCTTAGAGGGGCTAAGTAACCCTCCTAAGTTTCTGACCTTGTAAAATGGGAGGGAAGTGATGCAAGTCCAAATCTCACTGTCTCCAAAGTCTGTTTTGTTAGTCACTTCGTTAATCTGTCTTTTTTTAGAGGTAATCTAGCCAACTCATTCACCTCTGGGTGAGAGCCAGAGAGGTGGAATGGACTGCCCACCATTTCAGAGCAACCTTTTAGAGACACAGCCAGAACAAGAACATACCTCCCCTGATTCTCCATCCAGTGCTTTTTATTGCCCCCCCTGGTTCTTGAAAGTTGCTTTTTCTTCTCCCTGACATTCACAAATATCCTCAGAGTGGCAAGGGCTTCAGATATTATTTCCGTTTTGTTTCCTTACCCTTAATTAGCAGTGTGCCATGGTCACAAGGGTACAAGGCTGGCTTTGGTGAACACCCTGCTTTTGATGAAGGCTGTGAGAGATAGCAGTATCTCTGGGAGCATGTTGAAACCACAGCAGATTCCCAGAGGACCCAGGCTGGTGGAGTACCAGTTGCTAATACCATCCTAAAATTCCCCTAGATCCTCCAAGATGTCTCAGGGCACGTTTAAGAGCCCAGGCCTGCACTTGCGTGTGCTGTTTCTCATGTACTAGACCAGATGCCATTCATTTTGGAATCAACATCTGGTGTTGTCAGGGTATTTAACAGTTGCTGATTGGTAATGTGAACAGAATATACTGATCACTTTTCCCCAAGCTTTTTAAAGGAGAAAGAGAAGGAGGAGAGGAAACAGAGAAAATGTTTACTTGTAACAATATTTAAATTTGTCATTTGTTTTGTCTTTCTCCCCTTTAAGCTGATCACAATGCAGCTAAATATTGTATGTAATTATCTGCTTAGCTCCTGTCTCCATCTCCATCACATACATTTCATGATGACAGCAACTATGTCTGTTTATTCACCAGTACTGCATTCCCAGCACCCAATTCTTGAATCAAACAGCACAACAATCTTACTTAAAAAGACAGGGTCTGAGGGTGACCAAGAGAGCAAGGCAACATTGTGGACCCATTTACTGAAGCTACAAAATATTGTCCTTTTGTAATAGGCTTTAGGTTGAAATTACTGTTGACTTCAGGGGTGCTGCTCAAACATTTGTTTTTGAAAATGTTCTGCACACACAGAAAGATGGAAAACACTGGTGTAAAATTGGAATAATGAATTCTTTTCACACTGGAAGGTAGAAGAGAACAAACTAGTTGAATTATAGAGTAGCAGCCTAGAGAAAAAGCTAATCCCTAATACCTGTTTCCTATAACACATTAGGAACAACTGAGTGTTTACATATCCCACGAGAACAGAGCAGCACCCTACAACTCTAGTGTGGCTTGTGTGCTTACACTAAAGCCTACAGAGTCATCATGTTGGAATAGAAATGTTCCTGGCTGACCTGAGAACTTGTATCCGCTGAGAAGTGGAAGGACGTATATATTTAATCCCACCTAGCAGCCTGCACACAGAAATGCTGACAGTTGCAGACAATTTTGGGTAAACCAATGGGAAAAATAGCCTTGTTCAAATTCTCACACAAACTCTTAGTCACTAAACCCAGTTGAAATCTCATCAATGCAAGAAGTAGAGATATGAGAGTCATGTGCAAGAGAGTTCCAGCATTAAATACTAATGGTCCTTCATTGGTAGAGTGAGTTCTGTTTTGCTGGGAAGGAAAATAATGATCAGTGGTTAATTATTCCTTTCATAGTACCATTTTTAAGTTCATGATTGTGAGAGAAAATATCAGATCTCTCCTCTGAAAAACAATACCAATAAAAAATATTTCAAAAGAAGATACAACAGTGGCCTCTCTTCCTAAAAGGTTTTATGCATTTCCTTTTTTGGATGAAGCTATAGGTTTTTATTCACATATGATAGAGGAGTGTTTGGTGGTTTTTGTGACCTTCTTATTCAGGGCACTGTTTTCTACTAGAACACTGAGAAAATGATGTCTCAAAAGCCTAGGATTTTTCTCCCCAATTTGTCCTCATTTGGTAGAAAATGTGAAGGAAAACTAAGAATTATGTTTTTGACCTTTTATTCTGGTTAGTGGGATTTCTTTTTATCCCAAGTCGCATTGGCAAAAGAATTCTACACTTTGATTCTACAGTGCAGTGGCATTAGAGTATGACATGGATGTGACATTTAATGTTTCACGCCTTGTATATTAATGGAGGGGGGTGTTAGAGAAAGATGTCCTGAGGGTGAAGCAAGACTTCTATTTTCTTCAAATCTTCATTGCTTTTCTGCTTTCATCACAGAGGGGGATTATAATGGTTGAACAGCTGCAGGCAGACATCTCTTGGAATCCAGCAGCAGCTCCGAGATTCCAAGAAAAAGTTTAAATAACATTTTCTACAGAATTCACATACTTACAGTTAATATTTTGGATCATTTCAAGAAAATGTAATCGTGAACTCTTTCCACTTTTTTTTGTATGTTGCCATGACAACTAGGATCAGATTGTGTTCATAAGTAACTCAGTGGAATTGCATGATTCGCCTTACCAGTAAGCAAATCACTTATAACCTCATCTTTCCAATGAAAAATATTGTGGCTACTCACTTATTTCCTGTTCCATCCTTAGCAGAATAGGTTGTTTTAAGGGTTTTGTTTTGATTTTTTTGTGGTGATATTTGGATTGATAGCCAGACAAATAACTAGTCACCCCTTTGAAAGCGTTAGGCAGATGGTCGGCAGGGGGTTGATAGGAGAAAATAAAGGTATAGATAAACTGGAAATTAATAAATCAGATACAGATCAAAGTTGTGACTCTGACATCATTAGCAGCCTGCTCTCATTAACAGAACTGACTACCCTTGTTCAGGTATATAAATTCTCCCTTTTTCAAATATTTAACATTTTGACTCTACATGGAAGCTATGTATGACAGTGCAAAGAGAAAAGAGGTTACGTCATTGAAAATGAAATCTCTCCATATTAGAACTCTTTTTTTGCCCCAAGAGGGTTTCTTTTCATACATCTGAAGAGAATTGGTATCCAGCTTGCTTATTAAAATGGCCATATCATTTACTAGGGCTAGTCTCAAATCCTAGTTACATCTACTAAGAAAATTATTCTCAGAGAGTGGTCTGGCCACTAAAAGTACCTGACCGATTTTACCTCTGCCACTATATAAGTGGTAATCTCTTCCAAGACTAGTATATAGAGAAATAGACAACCTATGCACAACTTAAATACCTAAGGGAGTGCCACATCTTGAAGATGAAGATTTGAGCCCCTCTTATGCAAAAGTAATATTTAAAAGTCTTCTATCTTAAAAGGAGAAAATGCCTGTTTGCCTTTTCCTTTTTATCTATCCCTGCCAGTTCCTAGGCACATGAAGTTCAAACTTTCACAAGGTGATATAGGATGAGTTATTTTAACAGCAATAACAGCTGCACACATCTCAACACTAGTTTCATTTCTTTTGGGGAATTGTAGTGGGGAATAAAGCATTTTATTTTCCCTATTCAGAAAGAGAGAACATTGTTGGGTTTTCAGGAGAAAATTAAGTTATCCTTTCTGTTTTGTTTTTCTCTGACACATTCTCTCTCTCTCTCTCTCTGTCTGTCTGTCTCTCTCTCTCTCTCTCTCTCTCTCACACACACACACACACACACACACACGCAACCCAAACTCACACATTCAGACATGAAAGATTTCGTTTTCATGTTTCAGACCTTCAAAGTCAGAGAAGATGGCTACCAGCACTGGAAGTTAGAGGAGGACAAGGTGGAGTGCCTTAAACCAAAATGGGGCTTTCCATAGAAGAAGGAAATAATGGGTTTCCAGCATGTCAAGGAGGTCATAGGGCCACAGTGAGGCAACACATCTATGGTAGAGACTGCACATTAGATTTTACATATTTGTGAACAACTGCAAAAATCTCCATGCCCCAGTTTGGCATAGAGGGAGTAGAGTTGTTCACCTTTGAATCATTATGAGAGTCTGAACAATGAGCATTGAGGTTAGGGTTCAAAGCCAGATTTTTTTTTTTTGAGATGGAGTCTTGCTCTGTCACCCAGGCTGCAGTGTAGTGCCATGATCTCGGCTCACTGCAACCTCCACCTCCCGGGTTCAAGCAATTCTCCTACCTCAGCATCCCAAGTAGCTGAGATTACAGTTGTGTGCCACCATGCCCAGCTAATTTTTGTATTTTTAGTAGAGACAGGGTTTCCCCATAATTTCCAGGCTGGTCTCGATCTCCTGGCCTCAGGTGATCTGCCTGCCTTGGCCTCCCAAAGTGCTGGGATTACAGGCATGAGCCACTGCGCCCAGCCCAAAGCCAGATTTAATTAATTGAAAATGTGATTTTACTTGCACCCAAGTGTAGGAAGTACATTTAAACCAATCCTAAAAATTATTGACAGTGGAGTGTAGTTGTATTTTCACCTGTGTATTAGTATATGTCTTAGGGTTCTCTAGAAGCAGGTCTTGAGACAAGAATTCGAGTGCAGATGTTTTATTTCAGAGGTGAATCTAGAAAATCCCAGTAGATGAATGAGTAGTGACACAGGAAAGGGGAGGTAGCCAGTAAAATGTACATTGTCAAACCAGTTGTCATGTGAGTAATGGAAACTCAGTCCTGCTGGGGAATCCTGAGGATGTCCAACTTCAGAATTATCCTACCTGTAGAGTAGAGAACTTGGACATTTGTCTACCAACTTACAATAGTCATTGTTCATGGCTGCTTCCAAGAGGAATTATTCTCTGGATTTCCAACCTATTCAATGGGGCCAAGGAGCCTCTGGCCACCAGAGAAAGCCCTCAGGCCATTGGAATTTGAGGGTGCACTAATTCCAAGGAGACAGGAGTAGCTTCCCCACTTCCACAGGATCTATTACAGTTTATGATGCAATCAAATAGCTCTCCATTTATAACAAGTCAATAGCCTGGTTTTATTTCCCAGGTGGAATCTTTTCACGCAAACAATGAAGATTTCAAATGTTACATTTCAAGTGTAGGAAACACAATCTTAGAGATAGAATGGATCAGAAATAATCTAGGTTTTTTCCATTCATTTTATCAATAAGGTAATGGAGGTCTAGAGAAAAAAATATGTTCAGATTTCCTCTCATGATTGATATACCCCATATTAGCAGCCAGAGGTTCTGATTTCCAGCCCAATATTGTTTTGACCAAATTATACGGGGTTTTACCACCTCTTGTGTGTAGCTATTGGTCAAAAGTGGAAATGAAGCCATATATTACACAATATATGACCTGAGCTGGCACACTAGTAAGACTGTTATTGTCACTGGGTCATTAGAATATAATGTCACTCTATTTTCTATTTCTCAATGTTCCTTCCAAGTTACAGTGGGATTATAAACCATCCCCCTTCCCCAAGTCTTACATTTTCCACGTTCTGTGGCATTGCTGTGTCTCCCTCAGATGGTGTCTTCCTCTGCTTGAAATGGAGTTCCACATTGTAGCCTCACCAGATATTTTGTTAGCAGATAGGTGCATATTGACCTTTTCAAGTTCATCACAAATTTATTACTTTGATTCCTGCCAAAAAGCACTTCACTCCCACATCTCTTATAGCATTTATGCTGCAGTTTGCATGATTGTTTACCTGTTTGCATCCATGCATCGATTCCACCATTGTAGATTGTTTTGAGAGCAGCAGCCTAACATCATTTAGGATATCCCAGGTTGTGCTGAGGTAGTAAATGACCCCAAATCTAAATGACTTATAATAAACAGTTGATTTCTTGTGCACATTTTATTGCCATCAAAAGTCAGCTGGGGTCTCTCCTGCACATTGCCATCATTCTCATTCAGAGACCCAGACTGGCCGAGAAGTTGCTATCTGTAACATCGTGCATTGTTTTAGGGGGGAGAAGGAAAGTATAGTGTATTAGCCCATTTTCACACTGCTATAAGAAATACCTGAGACTGGGTAATTTATAAAGTGAAGAGGTTTAATTGACTCACAATTCCACATGGCTTAGGAGGCCTTAGGAAACTTATAATTATGGCAGAAGGTGAAAGAGAAGCAAGTACCTTCTTCACAAGGCAGCAGGAGTCAGAAAGAACAAAGGGGAAAGTGCCATTTTTAAACAATCAGATTTCATGATAACTCACCATCACAAGAACAGTATGGGGGAACCACTCCCATGGTCCAGTCACTTCCCAGCAGGTCCCTCCATCAACAAGTGGGGATTACAGTTTGAGAGGAGATTTGGGGACACAGCCCACCCAAACCATATCAAATGGCAAAGTATAGAGTGGCTTTTGATCCTCCTACGTGGCAACAATGTATGTCATTGCTCTGTTTCATTGGGTAAAGCAATTCTTACTATATGCTAGAATATTTGTGAGCTTTCTTAATGATTGTCTTTGTATTCCCCTTACCTGGCAAACTACAGATGTTTAATAAATGCTTGATGAATAAATAAATGAGTAAATGAACCAGTGAATATTTATATACATTTCTTATATTTGTTTGAGATGTATAAACTATATTGGGTAACGTAAATTGACATATGCTAAGGTTATTATTTTTTTCCTTCAATAGCAGATTCATCATCATCCTGGTGATCATTGAGCCTTGTGTGCCAGACATCCAGCCAAGTGCTTTAGAGATTCATTTAGTCATCATAACAATCCTGTAAGATATCTGTTATACCATTTCTATTTTATAGTTGAGAAAATCGAAGTACAGAAAGAGAGGTTATCATTTACTCAAAGTCCTATTGTGAAAAAGTGGTGAAATCAAGTCTAAATTCATGTCTATCTGGCTCCAAAGCCCCTGTTACTAGCCACTTCTGTTATACTGTTCTCCCTTAACTTCCCTTTCTGAACTTTTCATAGCCTAGGTAAGGATAGTTCCAAAAATGTGCTAGCAAGCCCATTTATTGCAGTCAGTCCACAGGTAAATATGAAATCAATCAACATAAGTACAGTGGCCAAGAGAGGCATTTTCAAGCTGGCACTGTCCAAAGCTCTTCTAATATTTGGTATTTTACACTTTTTCTAGCTCTTGACACTGTGGTTACCAAATGCAAAAAGCTAAGGTGTCCACTGGATGCTTTTACAAATACTTGAAAAGGTCCAAGATTCTTATCTGGGGCAAACATGGACACTTGGCCCCACTGGCTGCCTATTCTGAAGCTACAGAAGTTGAGCTGGCTTTCTGCCTGTCAGAATCAGGCTCAGCTTATAAACAATCACAATGTAATGACCACCCTGCCCCCTAGTGGAAGGGATGTGTGCCGCTGTCCTAGGTTCTGAAACAGCAGTTAGCCATGAGTCACAGCGGTTTCTCACATCCTCGGGTTCCAGGCGAGATCCTAGTCTGACCTATGACAGTGCGCAGAGTGGCTCATCATTTCTTTTGTCCATCGTGATAAATAGTAGAACTGATTTCATGTAAGCTGTATGGTTCTGTGTCTTCTTAAACTTACTAATTTTGTCTAGGAAGTGGAGAACACTTCTTTTTTTCCTCTGTGTATTCTCATCTTAAATGTTTATGTCTCCTCAGGTCTTGTGCAATTGTCTCAGTAAAAACATGGAATAGATATAATAAAGGTGGTAGAGTAACCACAAAGTAGTAGATAAAAACACAAGCTTTGGAACCAGTCCGACCATAGTTGAATCTGAGCTCTCGGATCCTTACTAGCTGGGCAACTTTGGGAAACTTTCCTAACTTCTCTAAGTCTCAGCTTTCTCATCTTTAAAATGGGAACATGACTGTGCCTAACTCAGAAACTTATGGGAAACCTTAAATGAAATAATGTTTGTAAAATGTTCGACCCAGATCTTGCCTCCTGATAAGTATGCAGTAGTTATTAGCTGCCACTGTTATTTTGTAGCAGTTGTTGTTTTTACTAGTCTAATTATATTTTTACTAGTCATGAAATTAATTGTGATATGACACCTGTCAAAGGTCTGCTTACTGTAATTAATATTTTGAGGAAGAATCCGTGGAAATTGTTAACTATCCATTTCCCCATTCTGTAACCCACTGTTAAATAAGGTATGCAGAACAGAGAATACCTAGGTCATATTATCTCAACTGTTTCTCCCCCCCCCTTCCAAAAATGCCAATTTCATTTTCACTCCCATTTATTATAGAAGATTGTAAAAAAAAATTCTTTCAGGAGTCCTTGCTTCCTGCAAAGTTGAAAATATTCTTCACTGTTAGCCCATGAACCTTTTACAAGGATCAGTTGTAAGAAAGTTTTTCTCAAGGACAATTTTCTATCTTCTTTTGTTCAAAAAAATGAATATTATGTAACCTAGTGTGGATGTTGCTCTGTCTTAGCAGCTAGGAAACGTATAGCCAAACTCAGTTTCTGATAGTAGTAGTGAGTTCATCTCAGATGCCTGATATTACCTGCACCCCATGCTCCTGCAGATAATCCTTATTCTGTTTTTATCATTAACTGATTTGTCTTTGCATGCACAACCTACCAAGGTTCATTTATTTATCATTTATAATTCTTATGGATAATCAGTCTATTTTGCACTAAATTTTGTCAGCTGCTATAAATATTTTAATATAAAGGGAGTACATATTCTAGATATATAAATAAACCATATTCTTAACTAACTTAATATATTCCACATAACAAGTGTATTTAAGGAGTTATTATGGAAAATAAGCAGCTAATTTTTATATTACTATGAATGAAACAAACTAGAACTAGAAAATTAGGTCAGCATGGTTCACTCGGTGTTGTTTCTTACATAGGCAATTAAAGTATACAGCAGCAAATACCAAAAGAAAAGCATGCTGGTAGGGTTAAGAACCTGGGCTCTGACTCAAAATGTCCACAGTTTTCTTTTGTTAGCTGTGTGATTTGGACAAGTTACATGATTTTTGTGTTTGTTTCCCCTTATCTGTGAAACAGAGTGGTTATGAAAATTAAATGAGATATAAATTAAAGAGGCCTGCTACATAGTAAGTACTCAATTAATGTTAGCTGCTACTTTGCCTAGAATGACCAAAAACAAGAGCTACTATTAGGCTGGGTGCAGTGGCTCACGCCTGTAATCCCATCACTTTGGGATGCTGAGGTGGGCAGATCACTTGAGGTTACGAGTTCAAGACCAGCATGACCAACATGGTGAAACCCTGTCTCTACCAAAAAATGCAAAAATTATCCAGGCATGATGGTGTGCACCTGTAGTCTCAGCTACTCAGGAGGCTGAGGTGGGAGAATCTCTTGAACCTGAGAGGCAGAGGTTGCAGTGAGCAGAGATTGGGTCACTACACTCCAGCCTGGGCAACAGACTGAAACCCTGTCTCACAAAAAAAAGAAGAAGAACTACTATTACTGTTATTATTATTACTGTTGTTATCCTTCTCTGGCCACCCTGTTTCAAGTTGCAAGACAAGCAAACAAAATCGAACAGCATTTATTATCTCCCTTCCCAGTTTTATTTTTCTCTATGTAATATTTATCACCATCACACATACTACACATTTTACTTATTCGTTTGCTCATTTTCTATCTCCCCTACCAGAATGTAAAATGTAGACAGAGATTTTCATTTGTTTTTTGTTTTGTTTTCTTTCATATTCTCAGCACCTAGTACAGTGCATGGTATGTAGTAGACGCTTAGTATTTAATGAATAAGTAAACAGTTCAATGAATGGCCTATCAGGGGTAAGTACTTGTAATAGCATTTGGTAGGACACAGGACTCATTAACCCAGAATGTTAAAGTGATAACAAAAAGGTTAGATGAGACTACTTGAACCCTAGATAATTCCTCATACAGCCAACCTGAGCATTATTATTTGTCACAACTGTGAAAATCTAAATAGTGAGTTTTGAAGATCAATTTTAAGATTCTCCTTTGTAATAAATTGGTGAACATTTTAGCCAGTATGACTGAGAGAAGTTCTTACCACATTACATGTTGATAGCATGTTCTCTGTTATTAGAGATGGTGAAGCCTATATACGTCAGCCATTTGAACAGGGTGTCTGTGTCTGCTGCAAAATCTCAATTAACACATTTTGTTTCATCATTTAATTTCTGCGTATCCCTTGCAAGTTTCTTGCTTTTCTGCCTAGCCATGGCCACTCCTTTTATCAGGGTTATTATTATACTCTTTATCTGTGCCCTCAAAAAGTTCAGGCTATATGAATGTAGAACCCTCATTGAGCACAATGTTCAGGTAGAGACCTGTGTTTGACTTCTCACTCCACCACTTACTAGCTGAGTGGCCTTAGTCAAATTATTTATATGCAGTACTTTGGGAGGCCATGGCGAGTGGAATGCTTGAGCTCAGGAGTTCAAGACCAGCCAGGACAACATGGCGTAAACCCTGTCGCTACCAAAAATACAAAAAATTAGTCAGGCATGGTGGCTCATGCCTATGGTCCCAGCTATGCGGGAGGCTGAGGCGTGAGAATCACTTGAACCCAGGAGGCGGAGACTGCAGTGAGCTGAGATCGCACCACTGTACTCCAGCCTGGGCAACAGAGTGAACACCTTATCTCAAAAAAAAAGACTTATATATATTACTGTTTATTTATCTGTAAAATGGGACTGAGGATCATCCCTGATTCATAAGACTTTTGTGAAGATTGCATGAAATAAAGCATCTAAAGTGCCAAGTGTATGATAAATGTGCAATGTTAGCTTTTATCATGCATTTCTAATTATTATGTATGCCTAATTTGACACAGCATAGTTTTTAGAAGTCCTGGGAGTGATAGGTTGACCACTAGCAAAATTGTGACATTGTATGCTTGATTTTGGTCTCTTCAGAAATATATCTGAAGACAATGGGTACAAAGAAAGGGAAAAAAGAGGTACGTCTTGAATTTGGAAATCAAAACCAAACCTCAGGGAGAAAGCTATATTTATTAAAGAAAAAACTTCTCAAAAAATTAATGATCAACTATGAGACCCAGAGTAGCAGTCGCTTTCACTGTAGCTCTGACTACCCTGTTGTGAGCCCCCAGGATCTACCGACCAGAAGCATGCTCTCCCATCAATCAGCCAGGCAGTTTCGGCTAAAGATTGTACTTAGAAATAAACAAACTGAATCTAAGGAGAAATTATTTATCAAGCATTGATAAATTACTTGTAACTAAGCAAGGGCATTCAAGAATTTGATCCCTGATGACAATACCAACCAGGAAATCTTAAGTATGTCAGAAAAAAAAAAGGCACATGAACGAAGCCAGCTTTTGGTAGTCAAAGGTCAGGATTGGAATTAGAGAAGGTACTTAGGGAATTTTCTTTGTGTTTTGTTTGAGGAGATGCTGATTTATTTTATTTAGTTAGTTTTCTTCCTTGAAATCATCTAGATAAGAGCAAGGTTGAACTCTAGTGGTGAAAAGCCCAAACTGCAAGCTATTTAAAAAAATCCCTCTACATATGAAATAATGGCCCTGGAATGCTGTATCTAAATAAAGAGGTTCAGGAGGCTGCAAGCTCCAGCGACAGCAGCAGACTTGATTTTAAAAGAGGAGTCTGTTTGAAAGTACCCAGGTTTCCTCCCATATGGTATGACTGTTATGGCTGCATCAAGGCAGCACACTGTTCTAGGGCAAATGCCAAGTGACGGTATTTTTAGATTTCTCAAAAGCAACCACTGAATATATATGAATCTACAAGGATAGCATTCATGAAGTAATGTGCTGAAAATAAATTTTATTACAAATTCCTTAAGCCAACCTTGACTATAACCATGTTAATAAGGAACAGGACCAGCCTGAGTTTCATTCATTCCACAAACCTGAATTAAGGCCCTTCTCTAGGTAAGACACTGTTGGAGGACATAAAGAAGCATTAGGCAAGTGTCTTGCTTTCCTGGGTGGAGGAAGATTGCCCCTTGTTGCTTCTGCAGAAACACAGGTGTAGAGAACTTGCATAGTCAGGTTCATCAGACTAAAGAGCCTCTAAAGACTGCTGTGAATAGCACCTACCCCCAGCCCTTGGAATTGTGTACTTTAAACTTGTAAGTGCTCACCTTGGTCTTTGCACAATATCACACTGTATCTGATTATCTTACTCTTGTTGGAAGCTAAGAATCTATGTAGATTTCATCCATGAAGGAGTAGAAAAAAATCTGTATATCATTCAGAGACAAGGGCACCATTTGCTCTTGTTGGTTGGTTAGTTGGTTGGTTATGTGTTGTCCTTTACAATTTTGAGTGGGCTAGTCAACAAGTCAGGCTTAACTGCTGAGGTTTGTCATTGGGCATTATGTAAAAATGGTATTGAGTGTGTATTAGTGAGCCGATCTTTAAAAAAAAAAAAGAAATTTTCAAACGTCAAGACAGGGGTGGATCTCGCTTCAGAAATTGACTGGATTTAAAGACTTAAATGCCATATTATTATCCCTATTAAGTCCCTATTATTCTCCATTATTTACTTTTTCCTCCTCTTTTTCTCTCCATCTCTCAGCTAATTCTCTTGTTGAGAATTATGTTGGCTCCTGTCCTGCCATAAACAGACTTTCTCCATGAGACAAGGAGTATAGATTGGGCTTCTTAAAAGTCACAGCCTTATATAAGAACGATACAGTGGACTTTGGGGACTTGGGGGGAAGAGTGAGATGGGGTTGGGGAATAAAAAACTACAAATATGGTGCAGTGTATACATGAGTGACGGGTGCACCAAAATCTTACAAATCACCACTAAAGAACTTATGTAACCAAATACTACCTGTACCCCAATAACTTATGGGGGGGAAAAGTTATAGCCTTAGATCCACAGCCTGCGAGGCAAGGAAAGTCTGTCTCTCAGATTCATCATTTAATTCTCAGATGTCCTCTAATTGGCCTGGCTTAGTTCACATGTCCATCTGTTAGACAAATTGTGAGCCACAGAGGCATACCTCTGTGCTAGGATATACCATGCCTATATCAGAAGAAGGTGGGATAGAATTATTTCACGTCAGGCCACCACCTTAACTTGAATCTACTCTGAGGAGCTCTTTAGAAAAAGAATTCTGTGCTGATATATATTTAAGTTTTTTTTAAGTCTAGTTTGTTTATTACAGGGTGGCTCAGAACCTTAAAGATGCTACCGTGTGTTGTGGATCTTCACGAAATGAACATGGAATGCAGCATTTAGTATTAATCTTTTTTTGTCCGAATGAGCCTGCCACTGCAAATTGATAAGACAGTTTGGTCCATACAACTTTAGAGAAACAATACTGATAGGCCATTCCCCTTCCAAATGTTATTAATAAGCACTGTCCTCCTAGATTTCTGTTTCTTATAACCAGGTTGTCTGATTAATAGAGCTATTCTGATTTATATTTTACATTTTCTCATCTGTTTAACAAATGTTTATTGGGGGCCTAGGCATGGTTCTCGGTGCTGTAGATAGCAGTAAATAAAACAGACAGCATGTGGGCCTTGGCAGAATTACATTCCAGTAGGGAGACTAACAAAAAAACAAAACAAAAAATATTCAGTAAGTCTTCACTTAATATCCTTGATAGATTCTTGGAAACTGTAACTTTAAGTGCAATTACATACAATGAAACCAGTTTTACCTAGGCTAACCTATAGCAACAGGAGTTAAGTTCCTTTGGCATATTTCTAGTCACAAAATTGCCAGACTTCTAAAGAAAGACCCGAAAGCCTTTTAATATTAAACATTGAAATTAATGTGAATTAAAGTTTTAAAAACTTCACATTTTTAAAAGATTACTCAAAACAAGTAAGATAATGATTTATCCAGTTTTTCCAGTTCAGGATCTCAGGTGGCTGGAGTCTGTCCCAGTGGCTCAAGGCACGAACCAGCCCCAGACAGGACACCAGCCCACTGTAGGGTGCACTAACACACCCACACATATTCAGATGGGGACCATTTAGACACACCCATTAACCTGACATGCACAGCCTTGGGATGTGGGAGGAAACCGGAAGACCCATAGAAAACTCACACAGACATTGGGAGAACATGCAGACTTCACAGAATCAATTACTTTTCTCATCAACATTGTAATGAAACATTGAACAAAATGGTATACTTCAAGGACCTGCCGTATAATGTGAAGCAATGATAAATGCTTCAAAGAAAAATAAAGAAGAGGGGAAAAGAGAAGAAAGGGAGAGCTAGATCCAGTATTCTGTTCATGGAAGGCTTCTCTGAGAGAATGAAACTTGAGCATAGTCCTGACTGCTACGTGGGAACCAACCACTTGGGCATCCCAGGGAGAGGGACTAGTGCATGCAAAGCTTAAGGGGTAAATACATACCAGCATGCTTGGGAAAACGCAAGAAGGCCAGTGATTAAGAGAGGTAGGAAACCTTTATTATTATCATGTGGTGGGGAAAGGGTGAAAGTTTTAAGCAAATGAGCAAGAATTTGAGTTGCTGAGCATTGCTAGGAAGACCAACTCAGCAGCTATTGGGTGCATTTTGGAGGTGGATTACAGGAAGGAGGAGCTGGGAGACCACAGTGGTTTAGGTAGTGTGGACATAAGCAAGGGCAGTGGCAGTGGAATGGAAGGGAGGCAATCACTGGGCTTCATGTTACTGGGTTGGTGTATTCTACACAGGCTTCAAGGCAGATGAAAGGTTGAGAAGCATGAGTGAAGAGCTAGACCACCTAGATCCCACTGGGAAAGATGCCTCAATCACAAATTAGGAAGTCAAGAAGACTGGTGCAAGAAGGGCTCAGAGACCAGTGGGTAGTAGAAACCATGTAGAGGCTATAAACACCCAAGGAGTTGAAGATCAAGTCACAAAGGTAAGTTAGATACAAATTGCAGGCTGAGGAGTTTGCATTTGATGCCTAGACAACTGGGAAGCCACTGAAGACACTGGACCTAAAAATGACATGATCAATGCAAATATTGGTAGCAGATGGATGCCATCTCTTCCCCAGCCTATATCAGCCCTACAATGTTCTATGTCCTACTCCCTGGAGTAGGACAAGGTACTAATCATTCATGATACCTAAATTCCAGAAGCTGCTGCTTCTGTACTCTG
Organism: Homo sapiens; assembly: GCF_000001405.40. NCBI lineage: Eukaryota > Metazoa > Chordata > Mammalia > Primates > Hominidae > Homo > Homo sapiens. Next base: position 67,106,296 of record NC_000003.12, on the reverse strand, counting down.
TAGTATTGGAAGTAAGTGAATGCTATTTCAAGCCCATTGGCCCCACAAATTAGGGCCATACTAGGAGACACTATAGCACAGTGGTATACAATGTGAACCTGGCTTGATTCCACTGTTTCGTAGCTATGTGAACCTTGCCAACCTCTCTGTGTGCCAGGTACCACATCTATAAAATGGAAATCATTATAATAGGATTTTATGACAATTAGATAAAGGAACCCATGCAGATTCCTTAGAACAGTGTCTGAAACTCTACAAAAAGAGGGTGCTGTCTTTATTCAGTAGACTTGTCTACTTATCCCCACTCTTCCTAGCTCATATCCACACCTTCCACCATAACAGAGCATCAAATAAAAACTAAGAGAGAAAGTCTAAATTGATCCTTATAACAAAGAATGGAGAGAGAAGCAAAGGGCACTAGATCTGGGGTTGGAGACATTTGCAGGAGAGAGGAACAGAATTTAATGTTTTAAAGCTGGACTTGCTGAGATAGCAGCCACTAGACACATGGTGCGTATTTAATTTTAAATTAAGTTAAATTGAAAATTCAGTACTTCAATCACACTAGCTATATTTTAAGTGTTCATGTGGCTAGTCACTCTCCCAGTGGACAGCCCAGCTCCAAAGTGTCAGATTCTACCTCATGCACGGTTCTCTACAACCTAGTCTAGTGGCTTGATAGCACATTCATTTTTTCTGAATGACATCCCATTGTCTGAATGTATCACAATTTATCCATTTACCTATTGAAGGACATCTTGGTTGCTTTCAGTTGATGTTGATTTTAAATAAGGCAGTTGTAAACATTCACACGCTGGTTTTTGTGTGGACATGGGCTTTCATATCAGTTGGGTAAACACCTAGGAGCATGAGTCTTGGAACATATGGTAAGCCTATTTTAGCTTTGCAAGAAACTGTAAAACCTCTTCCAAAATGACTATACCATTTTGCATCCACTGCAACAATAGGTGAAATTTCCTGTTGCTCTGAATCCTTGCTGGCAATTGATGTTGTCAGTTTTTTGGATTTTAATCACTCTAATAGGAATGTAGTGGTATCTTATTATTGTTTTAATTTGTACTTCTGTGATGGCAAATTATATTTAGCATCTTTTCATATGCTTCTTTGCCATCTTTATATCTTTCTTTCTCAGTTGTCTGTTTAGATCTTTTGCCCATTTTTTCATTGGCTTGTTTATTTTCTTATTGCTGAGTTTTAAGAGTTCTTGTATATTACAGATACAAGCCCTTTGTTAAATATGTTGTGTTAGGCCATTCTTGCATTGCTATAAAGAAATACCTGAGACTGAGTAACTTATAAAAGAAAATTAATTGGCTCATGGTTCTGCATGCTTTTATAAAAAGCATGGTCCTGGTATCTGCTCAGCTTCTGGGGAGGCCTCAGGAAGCTTACAAACATGGCAGAAGGCAAAGGGGGACCAGATGTTTCACATGGTAAGAACAGGAGCAAGTCGGGGACGAAGGTGCCAAACACTTTTAAATAATCAGATCTCAGGAGAACTCACTATAGTGAGGAGACCACCAAGCCATAAGGAATCCACCTTCATGACCCAAACACCTCTCACCAGGCCCCACCTCCAACATTGAGGATTACAATCCAAACTCATTATCCTGCTCCTGGCCTCACACATCTCATGTTCTTCTCACATTGCAAAATACAATCATCTCCTGCCAATAGTCCTCCAAAAGTCTCAACTCATTTCAGCATTACTCAAAAGTCCTAAGTGCAAAGTCTCATCTGAGACAAACCAAGTCTCTTCCACCTACAAGCCTGCAAAATCAAAAATAAGCTTTTTACTTCCAAGATACAAGAGGGGTACAAGAATTGGTAAACATTCCTATTCCAAAAAAGGAGAAATACACCAAAAGAAAGTAGCTATAGGCCCACACAAGTCTAAAACCCAGCAGGGCAGTCATTAAATCCTGAAGCTCCAAAATAACCTCCTTTGACTCTATGTACCACATCTAGGGAACACTGCTGCAAGGGATGGACTCCCAAAGCCCTGGGAAACCCTACCCCTGTGGCTTTTTCATGCTGAGGTTGCAAGTTGCTGGTGGCTCTACCATTCTGGGATTTGGAGGACAGTGGCCCCCTTCCCACAGCTTTACTAGACAGTGCCCCAGTGGGGACTCTGCATGGGTCCCCAACTCCACATTTCCCATCTGCACTGCCATAGTAGAGGCTCTGTGTGAGAGCTCCACCCCTACAACAGACTTCTGCCTGGACACCCAGGCTTTCCCATAAATTCTGTGAAATCTAGGCAGAGGCTTCCAGAGCTTCTTCACTCTTGCACTTTGTGAGCCTGCAGGCTTGACACCATGTGGAAACCACACAGGCTTATGGCTTGTGCCCTCCAGAGCTGTGGCCTAAGCTATAACTGGGTCCCTTTGAGCCATGGCTAAAGCTGGATTGGCCTGAATGCAGGAAGCAGTGCCCAAGGCTGCTCAGGGCTGCAGAATCCTGGGCCTGGTCAACAAAACCCTTCTTTCCTCCTAGGCCTTTGGGCCTGTGATGGGAGGGGCTGCTTCAGATGTCTCTGAAAGTCCTTCGAGGACTTTTTCCCATTGGTCTTGGCTATCAGCACTTGGCTCTTTTTAGTCATGCAAACCTCTCTAATAAGCTCCGCAGCAATTCATCCCCTCAAAAAAGCCCTTTTTTTTGCCACATGTTTAGGGTGTAAAATTTTCCAAACTTTTACACTCTGCTTCCTGTTTAAATATAACTTCCAAATTTAAGTCATTTATTTGCTCCCACATCTGAGAATAGGTTTTTAGAGGCAGCCAGGACAACTCTTAAACACTTAGAAATATCTTCTGTCAGATACCCCAAGTCATCACTCTTAAGTTCAAACTTCCTCAGTTCCCTAGGGCATGAACAGAATGCAGTCAAGCCCTTTGCTAAGGCATAACATGGGTGGTCTTTGCTCTAGTTCCCAATAAATTCCTCATTTTTATCTGAGACCTCATCAGCCTGGCCTTTGCTGTCCATATTACTATCAGCATTTTGGTCACAATCATTTACCCAGTCTTTAAGAAGTTCCAAACCTTCCCTTATCTTCCTGTCTTCCTCTGAGCACTCCACACTCTTCCAACCTCTGCCTGTTACTCCGTTCTACATTTTCAGGTCTCTTTATAGGAATACCTCACTCCTGATACCAATTTTCTGTGTTAAATCATTCTTGCATTGCTATAAAGAAATAACTGAGACTGAGTAATTTATAAAGAAGAGAGATTTAATTGGCTCATACTTCTGCAAGATTTACAGGAAGTATGGTGCTGGCAACTGCTTCCTGAGGCTTCTAGGTATAACATGGATGGCTTCTAGGGAAGCCTCAGGAAGCTTACACTCATAGTAGAAGGTGAAGGGGGAGCAGGCATCTCACATGGTAACCAGGAGCAAGAGAGAGATAGTAAAGTGATACATACTTTTAAGTAACCAGATCTTGCAAGAACTCACTTACCACTGTGAGGACACCACCAAGCCATGAGGGATATGCCCCCTGAGGTGACCCAAAGACCTCTCACATCCCCACAACATTGGGGACTACAATTCAACATGAGATTTAGAGTGGACAGCATCCAAACTATCTCATATGTGTTTTCAAAATGTTGTCTCCCAGCCTGTGGCTTGTCTTTTCATTCTCTTAACAAGGTATCTTGCACAGCAGAGCTTTTTAATTTAATAAAATGTACGAATCAATTTTTCTTCCATGCATTGTGCTTTTGGTGCTGTATCTAAAGATTAACCACCAACCCTAAGGTCATGTAGATTTTCTTTCATGCCTTCTTCTAAAAGATTTGTAGTTTTGCCTTTTAATTTAGGTCTACAAACATTTTGAGATAACTTTTGGGAAATGTGTAAGATTTGTGTCTATTTTTATTTTTTATAGAGAGACATCCAATTGTTCCCACACTAATTGTTGAAAAGACTGTCTTTTCTCCATTGAATTACCTTTGCATATTTGTCAAAGAGCAATTGACTACATTTGTGTAAGTCTTTTTCTGTTTTATTGATCTGTGTGTCTATTCTTTTTCCGATACTATGTTATCTTGATTTCTAGCTTTTAGAAAGTCTTAAAGTTAGGCGTTGTGATTCCTCCATGTTCTTCTTTACTATTGTTTTAGCTATTCTAAGTTTTTTTGTCACGTAAACTTTAGAATCAGTTTGTCAATATGTGTAAAATTTCTTGCTGGAATTTTGAGTAGAATTATGTTGAATCTATAGATAAAGTTGGAAATAATTGCCATCTTAATAACATTGAGTCTTCCAATCCGGGAACATGGAAGATCTCTCTATCTATACCTTCTTTGATTTTTTTAAATCAGAATTTTATAGTATTTTGCATACAAGTCAATAAACGTGTTGTTAAATTTATACCAAGTATTTATTTTTGTGGGTGTACCACTGTAAATAGTATCTTTTTAAATTTCAAATTCCAATTGTTAGCTACTAATACATAAGACAACAATTAACTCTATCTTAACCTTTCATCCTGCAAACTTGCTATGCTCACTTATTAGTTCTGTTAGCTTTTTGTTTATTCTTTCAGTTTTTCTACATAGATGATTGTATCATCTGCAAATAAAGACCATTCTATTTCTTCCTTCCTAATTTGTATACATTTTATTTCTTTTGCGTGTCTCATTGAACTAGCTAGGACTTCCAGTATGACATTAAATAGGAGTGTTGAGGGGAGATCCTTGCCTTGTTTCCAGTCTTAGAGGAAAGTGTCCAGTCTCTCACCATTAAGTATGATGTTATCTGTAGCTATTTTGTATATGTTTTTGATTAAGTGGAGGAAGTTTCTCTCTATTCTTAGTTTTCTGATAGCTTTTTAAATGACTATGTTCCATTTTGCTGAATGGCTTTTTAGCATCAGTTGATATGATGATATAACCTTTCTTCTTTAGCCTATTGATACAGTGGGTTACATTGACTGACTTTTTAATGTTGAATCAGCTTTGCATACTTGGAATAAATCCAACTTAATGTTGATGTATAATTTTTTATACATTGTTGTATTACATTTGGTAATATTTTCTTGAAGATTTTTGCATTTTTCTTCATGAAATATATTCATGTATATTTTATCTCTCTTGAAATGCTTTTGATATTGGAGTGATACTAGATTCCTAGGATATTTCAGAAGTGTTCCCTCTGCTTCTGTTTCCTAGAAGAGATTGTGGAGAATTGGTATAATTTCTACCTTAAATGTTTGTTAGAATTCACCAGTTAACACATCTAAGTCTAGCTTTCTTCGTTAGAAAGGTATTAATTATTGATTTGAATTATTAAATAGACATAGGGCTATGCTGGTTATCTATTTCTGTGCATTTTGAAAGTTTGTGTCCTTCAAGAAATTGCTGTTTAATCTAAATTATCACAGTGGTCATAGAGCTGTCTGTTTATAGTATTCTTTTATTATCCTGTAGATATCCAATGGATCAATAGTGATGAACTTATGTTCATGTCTAATGTTGCAACTTGTGTCTTCTTGTTTTTCTTTTTTAATGGTTAGCCTGGCTAGAAGTTTGTCAATTTTATTGATCTTTTCAAAGAGCCAGTTTTTAAATTCCATTGATTTTTTCTTTTGTGTTTTTACTTTTATTGATTTTTATTTTAATTTTTATTATTTCTTTTATTCTGCTTGCTTTAAATTTAAGTTGCTCTTTTTTGCTCAGTTTTCCATAGCAGAACTTTAGTATACAGAATTTTGATGATTCTTGTTTTTGAATATGTACATTTAGTGCCATAAATGCCCCTCTAAGAACTACTTCCTCTGTGTCCCATGTGTTTTCATAAGTTGTATTTTCCTTTTCATTTAATTAAAAATATTTTAAAATTTTCAGTGAGACCTCTTCTTTGACCCATGGTTTATTTAAAAGTGTATTGTTTAATTTTCAGATATAACGTTCTGTTATTGATTTCGAGTCTGATTCTCTTGTGGTCTCAGGACACATTTTGTATAAATTCTATTCTTTTAAATTTATTCAGGTATGTTTTATGCTTGAGGATGTGGTTTATCTTGGTGAATGCTCCATGTGAACTTGAGAAGCATCTGCTGTTGTTGGATGGATTATGCTATAAAATATCAATTAGACCAAGTTGATTGATGGTGCTGTTCAGATCATTTAGAATCTTATGACTTTCTGTCTGCTTAGTGTATCACTTACCAATGGAGAAATGTTGAAATCTCCAACTATGATAGTGGATTTATTTGTTTCTCTTTACAGTTATTCAGTTTTTGCCCCATGTATTTTGGTATTCTCTTTGTAGGTGCATATACATCTTAAATTGTCATGATGTTTTTGAAGAATTGCCCCCTTTACAATTATAATAATGCTCATCTTTGCCCCTGATAACCATTCCTGTTTTCAAAGCTGCCTTGTCTGAAATTAATTTAGCTGCTCCAACTTTCTTTTGATCGATATTAGGTTGGCATATCTTTTTCCATTTATTTTCTTTCAGCCTGAGTCTTTATACATAATGCGGGTGTCTTGTACACAACATATAGTTGGAACTTGTTTTTATGTCCACTGTAACAATCTCTTTTTAATTAGTGTTTGCAGAACATTCCAATTTAAATTCATTGTTTATGTGGTTGGGTTATCATCTACTATGTGTCTGTTTTCTATTTATTGAATTTGTTTTTTATTCCCTTCCTAGTGCTCTCATTTTTCTGCCTACTCTGTTTCAAATGAGCATTTTACATAATCTTATTTTATCTCCTTTCTTAGTATATCAACTACATTTAAGAATTTTTTGATGGTTGCCCCAAATTTACAATATACATTTTAACTTAATAGAAGCTCACCATCAAATAACACTGTACTGTTTCACATGTAATGCAGGCACATATAAATAGGATATTTCCAATCCCTCCCTCTTGTGCCATTGCTGCCATTAATTCACTTATCCATATCCTGTAATCACCCGGTATATTATTGTTATTATTACTTTCAATACATACTTGTCTTTTAGATTAATTTAAAATAATAAAAATACAATATTTTATTTTGCCTTCATTGATTTCTTCTCCAATGCTATTCCTTGTTTTTACATAGTTCAAGTTTCTTACCTATATCATTTTTCTTCTACCCAAAAAACTTACTTTAACATTGCCTGCAGGACAGGACTTTTGGTAAATTATCTCCGTTTTTGTTTATCTGATGAAGTCTTTCTTCTTCACTTTTGATGGATAATTTCACTGTATATAGAATTCTGGATTGGTGTTTCTTTCTTTCAACACTATATTGCTGCTTGGGCTGCCATAACGAACTACCATAGACTTGGTGTCTTAAGCAACAGAAATTTATTTTCTTATAGTTCCAGAGGCTGGAAGTCCAAGACAACTTGGCTCCAGCTCATTTGGTTTCTAGTGAGGGCTGTCCTCCTGGATTGCAGATAACCACCTCAATATGTCCTCACATGGCCTTTCCTTAGTGCGTGCAAGTGGAGAGAGAGAGAGAACTCTGGTATTTCTTATAAGGACACTACTCCTACCAGGTCAGGGCCCCACACTTATGACCTCATTTAACTTTACTTCCTTAAGAGGCCCATGTCCAAATACAGCTGCAATAGGGATTAGGGCTTCAACGTATGAATGTGGGGAACACACAAACATTCAGCCTATAACACATACTTTGAGTATTTCATTTCACTCTCCTCTTATTTGCATGGTTTCTGACAAGCAGTCCACTGTAATTCTTATTCTTGTTCCTCTGTAGGCAAAGTTCTCCCCAGTCCCTGCCTTGGTTTCTTTTTATTTGTTTGTTTTGCATTTTGGAATGCCTTATAATCTTGAAAGAAGAATAAATCAAGATTTATTCTTTGTCTTTAACTTAATTTAAATATGATATGCCTAGCTATGGTTTGTTTAAAAGTTTTTTTGTTTTTTGTTTTTTGTTTTTTTTTGGTTGTGGGGAGTGGGTTGTTTATGCTTTACACTGCCTGGTGTCCTCTAAGCTTTCTGGATATGTAGTTTTGTATTTGTCATTTTTTTTTTTTTGAGACAGAGTCTCACTCTGTTGCCCAGGCTAGAGTGCAGTGGTACGATCTCAGCTCACTGCAACCTCCGCCTTCAGGGTTCAAGCGATTCTCCTGCCTCAGCCTCCCAAGTAGCTGGGATCACAGGCAACTGCCACCACGCTCAACTCATTTTTGTATTTTTAGAAGAGACAGGGTTTCACCACGTTGGCCAGGCTGGTCTCAAACCCCTATCCTCAGGTGATCCGCCTGCCTCAGCCTCCCAAAGTGTTGGGATTGCAGGTGTGAGCCACTGCATCAGGGCTGTCATTAGTTTTGAAAAGTTCTCAGCCATTATCACTTCAAATATTTTTTCTTCTCCATTGTCCTTTTATTTTCCTTCTGGTATTCTAATTATACATGTGATATACCTTTTGCAGTTGTCCCACAGTTCTTGGATATTCTATTTTGCTTGTTGTTAAAGAATTGTTTTTCCTCTTTGCATTTCAGTTTGGGGAGTTTCTACTGACATATCTTCCATGCTGTCACTGTGATTCTTTCTTCACCCGATGGATGGCATTATTCATTTCTGTTATACTGTTTCTGATTTCTAGTTTTGATTATTAGTACCGTTTCTATTTCCTTTTCATTATTTCTCAGAATTTTCATCCTTCTTTTTATATTACTTTATGCTCTTGTAGGTATGTTGTCTACTTTTCCATTAGAGCTCTTAACTTCTTAATCTTCATTATTTTAAATTCCTTGTTTGATAATTCCAACATCTATGTCATATCTAAGTTTAGTTCTGATGCTTCCTTTGTCTCTTCAGACTGTGTAGTTTTTTGGCTTGTTTTTGTTTGTTTGTTTTGCATTTTGGAATGCCTTATAATTTCTTGTTGAAACCTGAACACTTATTGGTTATTAGGAACTGAATTAAATAGCCCTATAGTGTGAGGATTTATGTTAATCTGGCCAGAATATCAGTTGTGTGCAACGTTTGCTGTACCTATAGATGCCAGCAGCTTCAAATTCCTCTAACGTCCTTGTTTGAGTTTTTCTTCTCTCTTGACTTTGGGCTTCCCCCAGTACTCCGTCTCAGAGAGAGTCTGTGTCTTGCAACTCAAACATAATCTGCTGTTATGATACCAGAGCCCTGTTAGTGTGGTAACATAGTGTAGGTAAGGGGGCACATTCTATGTCGTTCCAATTAGATATCAGTGTTTTAGTGGACCAGTAACTTGGGCTCTGACTTTCACAAGTGTGTCTCCTTCTATTCCCCTGCTGAGTAAATTTCATTATGTGGAAGCCTCTCGGCATATTTCACAATGATTACTCTTCCCCTATTCCTTCCAAAGTCATAGAGCATCTTTCTTGGATCCTCACTGTGAGAATCTGGCAGAGGTTCCTAGACACATCTAGGAAAGCCATGAAGGTATGAGTCCCCCTTAAGATGCAGCTCCCAGGAATTTCTCACTCTTAATACTAGTAAACATTCAGCTTCCAGCAATTCATCAAACTTTCCATTTTAAAGTTCCTACCAGTTTATAGCTCTAGCTTTTGCTCCAGAAAGCAAATCTCAGCTGTGTCTCTCTGGACAACCCTATCTCTCCTGATTTTGGGGTGACAGTTTGTTTTGCAATTGTGGTACTCTGATGCATCCAAAAAAAGGTGTTGATTTCCAGTTTGTTCGTATTTTGCTTATTGCAGAAGGAGGATGTTGACTCTCAAGTTCTTTACATGTCCAAGCTCAAACCAGAAGTGACGGCATAGATTTAAATGAAATCACCATAGCTAACAGAACTAGGATGAGTTTCATGGCTTAGGTGAGTTAACACAAGAGGAGGGATCCTGGGATCCTCATCTCATCTGTGGCCTTTATTCAATTTAAAATACACATCCAAAAGCTGAAACAAAGAACTGTTTTATCTGTTTTTTGGTGCTGCTGTTAATATTGCGCTATTCAGAAAAGGGACACTATTACTTTCTCTTTCCACCATGAAAGTTGTAACCCTGAGGTTACATAGATGGTTGTTTACGTAGATCCCTAGAAAATGGCTTATGTGACTTATTTTCTGCTCCCTATGCTTCCCTACACAAAAGATTGAGTAAATTTATGTTTATATAATGTCCTGAGACTCTTTTGTTGTTTAACAAGGTAGTCAGCCCCAAGCAGCATTCTATTTTCCTCCAAATAGATTCTGGAGAAACCTCAGCCTTGACTCTGACAGTGACAGACACCTCATTCAAAACTCTTACAGGTTTCCCTTGTGCTCCATGGCTGTTTCTATGGAGCAGAAACATGTTTTGGGGACCTATTTCTTATTAGCTTGTTCTAAACATATTCAAAAGCTGCCAGGTTATTACCATAGAAGGTAGAATCACATGCAGTAACCTCATCTATAAAAACAGTCTCTACAGAATACAAGCATGTGTGGCTCAATATGAGTATTAGCTGGGGAGGGCTATTTGTTACTTGCAAAAAGCCGCAGGGATCATATAACAGAGCACAGACATAACACCCAGACTCTCTGTGCTCTGTACAAAATGAAAGAAAAGTCATGGGAAAAAAATAGGGTCCATCACTGGTACTGCACTCTAAGTTGTCTGGGTGGTTTATGATCATTCATTACTTATTCTTCACAGCACACTTGTGAGAAGAAGTACAGGGTTCATTCAGAGGGAAGAGCGTAGACCTTGAATTAAGCATTGTAGCTTTTCACTCCTTTTCCATCCTGCCCTGCAAGAATCCCTGGATGGGTATTGCTCTTAGATGATGGAGAGCTCAGATTAAAAGAAAGGTATGAATTTTCTGTTCACAGCTTGCATTTGGCAATAAAAATTCTCCTTCAGAGAAATACAGAAAGAATATATGACTGCAGCCTATTGAAACTGAGGATGCTTTTTTTCAGGCCTCCAACCAGTTTTGCTTCTGGATCTGGGCCCTGGCATATCTTTTCAGAGCCATCTTGCTGCTGAGTTGTTTACAGTTGTTTGCAATGGTAGATACTCTCTCAATGGACACAATTTAAAATTTTTGTCAAGATGAAGAAGAGTCTGGAGTTGGACAATTACAGTACTTGGGTAATAAGAATATTGTAAGACATCAATATCATTAATCTGAAGATTTTGCCTGAGCTGTTTCAGAAAATTGCTTCAGCTCTTCATTTTACTCTTTGTAGGAAAACACCATCCAGATGTAAACAGGGGGCTTATGCTGTATGAGTGTCTGGGAGAAGCGCAAAATGTGCTCTGTTCTGAAAGCATGCTCAGAAGTGGCTGTTCCAGAGAACTATGCTGCCTGTTTCCAAATGAAGCCAGATCTGCAGAACCAGGAAATCACAGCTTCTTGGAAGAGGGCCAGAGACAGAGCAAGTTCTATGAGCTCTGGATTGAATCAAGGGGTTTATGAGTACTTTGGAATTTTTTAGAAGAGCAGAGGGCTGTCCATCCTAGGAGCCAACCTCCTTCTCAAATTTGGGGTATGTTCTGATTTGAAGACAGATCAACTCCTGTTAACTTAAACCTTATAAATTTTCCCATAACATCTCAGGTGCTCAACTCAAATCTCCTAAACAGGATACACAGCCCCTAGGGAGAGGAGGCCTTGGCTTCCCGCAGAGTGATATAGTTATTCATTCAAAGTACCAAGTCATTTCCTAGTTTTGCCATGCATTTCTTATATGTGGTGGAGAAAGTTATTTATTGCCTCTAAATCTCCATATCCTCATCTTTCAAATGGGGTAATAAGAGAATCTATTGTGGGGAGCTGTAAGATTTACATTAGACAATGAAGCAGTGTATTTTCTGGAACATAATTAGTGCTCAGTAAATATTTAATGCTACTGTAGTTCCAGCAGCAGCAGCAGGGATGTTGCTGTCATCTTACTTGGATGAATTGCCTTGTGAAAATATCTCACGCCGTATGCTGGTTTGGGTGTGCCTTGTTAGCTCAGATCCTGAACAGAACTGAGAAGTAAGCATTTTGATTACCCTTTCTCCGTTCTTTCCGGTGGCAGGGGTTGTCTTTCCCTTTCACACTCAGTCTCTCTCTTGGCGAGGACAGCAATACTAACAAGTTGTTCATAATTTATTATAAATTACTTCAAGTAAAAATCCTCCCAGGCATATTTGCATTTGGAAAACAAAAAGAAGAGTTGATTTTAAGAGATTCTCCCGCCTACCTCCAATACGTACAGTAGAAGTTCAGACACAGAAATAGTTATCAGTGAGATGGAGGAAATAACAACCCACAAATAACAACAGGCAGGCACACACAGATGGCACATACCTGAAGATTAATTCTGTGTAGTATAACATTTGCTGACTGCTGTCATATTGCTTATTTCTAGGAGACAAGTTTGAGGTTATAATGTTGTTGAAGCCCCATGGCTTCTTGAAGAAGGTTTAAATAAAACTATATTCTTACTAAAAATGGTGTTTATCAACACTATGCCCATAAAAAAATACCCCCAAGTAAGAAAATAATATTGGCTAAAGATCAGATATTAAGCTGAAGCACAGCTTTTCACTCTAGCTCTTTTGTGGCAATTGGCCGATTTTTGCACTTGTGTGTCTCCTTGATCTTATATATTAATAAAATCTTCGGTGTTAGAGCCACTTAAAGGCAACTGCCATGTCAACCTAGTTTGAAAAAGCCAAAGTTATGGAAATAAAGTTATCTCATAATTGAATTAATCATCGATGATTTGAATGATGAAACAGTGAGTACACTATAAGATGCATGTGATCTATTGAGACTTTGAAAATATTGTTTTGATGACTTGACAAGAAAAGAATGCTTTGGAAGTTGTTCTTAATTGGACAGGCATTCTTTGTCCAATTTAGTTCATAGCTGAATGATTTTAAATGGGCCTAAATGCTTCTTCAAATTGGAGAAAGTTTCTGTTTTGGAGCTGAGATACATACATTTTCAGAAAGCCATGTGCAAAGTAAACTCAAGCCTCTCTGGAAAGAGTCTGCTGTACTTGTTGAAATTTAAAATATGTTTCTGGATACTTTTCAGTGTGAGAATATCTAAATGTTTAGTTTAAGGCTAAGTTTTTGTCACACAACTCCCCACATATTGGTTGATGTATTGACATCATCCATCCTAAATTACAAGTTAGTTTGTTGAAATCATTTACTCCTCTCTGGAGTTGAGATCCTTACAATAAGTGGTTGAGAGTTCTACTGAGCTGTGGTCTCAACCCATTGTCCTCTTAGGCATTGAGCACCCACTGCCAGATTCCCACCTTGACCTCTAGTTGTTACTAAGATTAATTCCCAGCTTTGATGAGTAAAGCGGCCCCCTCTCAGACACTTTGGGCCAAATCCCCCTTGGACACTAAAAAAGGTGACAAACCTATACATTTTTCTGGAAAAGACAAGAGGGAACCTATTAAACAGAAAAAGATGCAATGCAAGATGAGAAAAATAACAGAGCGTGACTCATCTGGTCTACAGTTCTGTTCCTTCACTGTTCCTTGACTACATTATCCCAAAGAATGCCCCAGGACGCTCTGTTTCTGGAAATTCATTTGGGGCAAAGATCTATTACTTAGGTTGATTTCCGTTTTCTTGGTTTCTCTGCACAAAAAATTATGAAGTCATTTATTTATGGTTGAATTTTTCAACAGCTTCAGGTCTATGGAGGAAATCACTGTTGGTTACAGGTACCACCTTGACTGGTAACACAAGTAAGAAAGAGCAGCAGGAATATGGTGAAAGTAGGTGTAGCAATCTAGTCTCTTGTTATCTGGTATGCAGAAACAAGTGATCCTAATGGATTGCAGGTAAGCTGAGTGACACTTTAGCCCCTGGCTAGAGCCTGAAGTAGCCTCACCCACTTGCCCCATGTGTTATATATAAAATTATAATTTTTGATGTATCCATAGTTTAAAAAGATTAGGAAGGATTGCTCTTGATCAGTCATTCTTAATATTTAACATGCATCAGAATCACATGGCAGGCTTGCTACAACAGATTTCTGTCCCTTTCTCCAGAGTTTCAGATTCAGTAACTCTGAAGCTTGAGAACTTGAATTTCTAACACATGTCCAAGTGGTGCTATTTCTACTAGTCTAGGCAGCAGTTTTGAGAACGACTGCTCTAGATGTTCTTAGAACCAAGCAAAAAGAGTGTGATGGAAGAAGCAGACAGTAGGATGAAAGAATCTGAGTCATGTCTTATCATATCTTGGATTGCTAGCAAGATATTAAATGAGATGCAACTCTTTATCTTCAAAACTTCAATTCTGGGAATCATGTGCAGTCTATGATCCTCTGATTGCTGTATTTCTACAGTTAATTTTTTTCTGTCATATTTTGCATATCTATTTTCCATCCTTAAGGACTTACCCTTACTTAATTCCATTCATCAGTTTTCAAAATTGAATCTATTTAAACTCAAATTCTTTGAAATCTTGGTTGGCTGAGCAATGGTTCCAGGACTGCAGGGATTTCTAGGAACACAGAATTTTCAGTGCTAAAATCAGGAAAGTCCCAGGAAAACCAGGATCAATTGGTCACCCTACTTTGTAGTCTGGTCAAATTTTAATCAACCCTGAACTTAATGAGCATATACTTTTTTCATTCTAAATCACTTCTAAAACACTAAGTAACACCTTCACCAGGAATACACAATATTCTCTTTTGTCTAAAGATCAAGTTGAATAAATAAATGTAAAGGCCTTTTTATAACATCTCTTATCTTCATATTTTCTTTCTATTAAAAAAATCTTATCTATTGCCCTTAACAGATTATAGGAACCATCTGACAAGGAAAATGATTTCTATGCTATTATGCTGTAGATATCCTGTATATCTGGTGGGGAGAAGAAGATATTTGACTTTATACAGCTTTCTAAAAGACAAATTTGAAACACTAAATTAACCCTGACCTATAGTTAAAATTGGTTCTTAAAACTCAGATGTTTGGGAGTAAACAAAACCATTTATTTCTGAAGGCTTTCCACATCATCTCTCTTCTGGGAGATTAATTCCATGAACTTTTCTAAAATAGTATGATTTGCCAGCAGCAGGAAAAGTGTAACCAATTAATTATAGATGTATGTTAAATTACTTTCATTACCATCCCTGGTTTAGGAACAGGCTGGCATACCTGAGTGGAATGACTGATCAAAGAGTTTTTTGGTCTGTCCATATGGCACTAGGTACTTTTGTTCTGTTTGTAATGCTGTTCTCAGATAAGGGAGGAAACCAAGCCTGGATGTAAAGGGCTATTTGCAGATTCCTGAAAAGGGAAGGTATGACAGGTCCAACATGAGGAATTCAAGTATAAATATAGATGTAAGCTTCATTCCCATGGGTTCTACTAGTCTGGTGTCTTAGTCTATTTTGTGCCGCTATCACAGAATACCTGAGACTGGATAATTTATAAAGAATAGAGATTTATTTCTTACTGTTCTGGAGGCTGGGAAGTTCAGGGTCAAGGGTCTCACATCCAGCAGGGCCCTTTCTGCTGCATCATCCCATGGCAGAAGGCAGAAAGGCAAGAAAGTGTGCTCAGAGAGGCTCAGGGCAGGAATTACATTTCTCCTGCCTTTTTTATTCTATCTGGGCCCCCAGCTGATTGGCTGCTTCCTGTCCATATTGCAGGCAAATCTTACTCACTCCACTGACTCACATGCCAATCTCTTCCATAAACACCCTCAAAGACACACTCAGAAATAATGCTTTATCAGTTATCTCAGTATTCCTTAACCCAGTCAAGCTGAAAACTAAAATTAACCATCATCCTTGGGGTTTCAGTGGTCACATAAACACCAAGACTTTCTCCAACTTCAAGTAAACCTTCAGTCCTCAGTCCTCACTGCCTTTTTTGAAGCCTCAGTTAATCTGTGGAAGGCCCTAGGATCTCTCACACGCATTCACAAGCTGCCCTTTCCATTTCTTCTGCTCTGTCCTCCTAGTTATATTGTAGTTGCTGTTGTTTTTATTTTTAATTTTTGTGGGTACATAGTATATGTGTATGTTTATGGAGTAAATAAGATATTTTAATACAGGCATACAATGTGTAGTAATCATATCAGGGTAAATGGAGTCTCCATAACCTCAAGCGTTTATCCTCTCTTTGTGTTAAAAACAATCCAATTATATTCTTTTAGTTATTTTTAACTGTACAACAAATTATTATTGACCTAAAGTCTGTTGTGCTATCAGGTGACTCTGTTGTGCTATCAAATATATAATCTTATTCATCTGTCAAAACTAGATGTCCTTACCCATTGACCATCCTCACTGTCCCCCCACCTCCACTACCCTTCCTAGCCTCTGGTAACCATCATTCTATTCTCCGTCTCCATGAGTTCAATTGTTTTAATTTTTAGCTCCCAAATGTGTGAGAACATACAAAGATTGCCTTTCTGAGCCTGGCTTATTTCACTTAACATAATGACCTCCAGCTCCATCCATGTTGTTGTAAATGACAGAATCTCATTCTTCTGTATGGCTGAATAATACTACATTGTGTACATGTACCACATTTTCTTTATCCATTCATCTGCTGATGGACACTTAGGTTGCTTCCAAATCGTGGCTATCGTGAATCTTGCTGCAATAAACATTGGAGTGCTGATATCTCTGATATACTGATTTCCTTTCTTTTGGATATATATCTACCAGTGGGATTGCTGGATCATATGTTCTATTTTTAGTTTTTTGAGGAAATTTCAAACTGTTCTCCATAGTGGAAGTACTATTTTACATTCCCACCAACAGTGTACAAGGGTTCCCTTTTTTCCTTGCCAGCATTCATTATTACCTCTTTTGGATAAAATCCATTCTTACTGGAGTGAGATGATATCTCTTTGTAGTATTGATTTGTATTTCTCTAATGATCAATGATGTTGAGCACCTTCTCATATACCTGCTTACCATTTGTATGTCTTCTTTTGAGAAATGTCCATCCGATCTTTTGCCCATTTTTAATCGGATTAGATTTTTTCCTATTAAGTTCTTATATATTCTGGTTATTAACCCCTTGTCAGATGGGTAGTTTGCACATATTTTCTCCTATTCTGTGGTTATCTCTTCACTTATTTGATTGTTTCCTTTACTATGCAGAAGCTTTTTGACTCAATGTGATCCTATTAGTCCATTTTTGCTTTGATTGCCTATGCTTGTGGGGTATTACTTAAGAAATCGTTGCTCAGACCAATGTCCTGGAGAGTTTCCCCAATGTATTTTCTAAGTATTTTCATAGTTTGAGATCTTATATTTAAGTCTTTAATCCATTTTGATTTTATTTTGTATTTGGTGAGAGATAGGAATTGTTTCATTCTTCTGCATATGGATATCAAGTTTTCCCAGAACCACTTATTGAAGAGACTGTCTTTTCCCCAGTGTATGTTCTTGGCACCTTTGTCAAAGATGAGTTTACTGTAGATATATGGACTTATTTCTGGGTTCTTTATTCTGTTTCATTGGTCTATATGTCTGTTTTTATGCCAGTACCATGCTGTTTTGGTTACTATAGCTCTATATTATAATTTGAAGTCAGGTAATGTGATTCCTCCAGTTTTATTCTTTTTGCTCAGGATACCTTTGGCTATTATGGGTGTTTTGTGGATCCAGAAAAATTTTAGGATTTTTTTTTCTACTCTGGGAAGAATGTCATTGGGATTTTGATAGGAGTTGCACTGACTCTATGGACTTCTTTGGGTAGTGTGGACATTTTAACAATATTCATTCTTCCAATTCATGAACATGAAATATCTTTCCATTTTTTGGTGTCCTCTTCAATTTCGTTTATCAGTGTTTTATAATTTTTATTATAGAAATCTTTCACTTCTTTGGTTAAGTAAATTCATACGTATGTTATTTGATTTGTAGCTTTTGTAAATGGATTTACTTTCTTTATTTCTTTTTCAGATTGTTTGCTGTTGGCATATGGAGATGTTACTGATTTTTGTATGATTTTGTATCCTGCAACTTTACTGAGTTTGTTTAGCAGTTCTAATAATTTTTGGTGGAGTCTTTAGCTTTATCCAAATATAAGATCATATCATCTGCAAACAAGGATAATTTGACGTCTTCCATTCCAATTTAGATGACCTCTATTTCTTTCTCTTGTGTGATTGTTCTAGCTAGGATTTCCAGTACTATGTTAGATAACAATGGTGAAAGTGAACATCCTTGTCTTGTTCCAGATCTTAGAAGAAAGGTTTTCAGTTTTTCCCCATCCAGTATAATACTAGCTGTAGGTCTGTTGTATATGGCTTTTATTGTGTTGAGGTATGTTCCTTCTATACCCAGTTTATTTAGGCTTTTATCATGAAGAGATCTTGAATTTTATCAAATGCTTTGTCAGCATTAATTGAAATGATCATATGGGTTTTGTCTTTCACTCTGTTGATATGATGCAGCACATTCATTGACTTGTATATGTTGAACCATCCTTGCATCCCTGGGATAAATCCCGCTTGGTCATGATGAATAATCTTTTTAATGTGTTGTTGAATTAGATTTGCTAGTATTTTATTAAGAATTTTTGCATAAATTTTCTTCAGGGACATTGGCCTGTAATTTTCCTTTTTTGATATGTATTTGCATGGTTTTGATGTCAGGGTAATACTGGCCTTGTAGAATGTATTTGGAAGTATTCCCTCTTCCTCTATTTTTTGGAATAGTTTGACTAGGATTGGTATTAGTTCTTTTTTACATGTTTGGTAATATTTAGCAGTGAAGCCATTGGGACCCACGGTTTTCTTTGCATGGAGACTTTTTATTGAGGCTTCGACCTCATTACTTGTTATCAGTCTGTTCAGGTTTTGAATTTCTTCATGGTTCAATATTGGTAAATTGTATGTGTCTAGGAATTAATCCATTTCCTCTAGGTTTTTGAATTTATTGGCATATAATTGCTCAGAGTAGCCTCTAATGATCCTTTAAATTTCTGTGGTATCAGTTGTAATGTCTCCTTTTTCATCTCTGATTGTGTTTATTTGGGTATTCTCTGTCTCTTTTTTTTTTTCTGAAGGTCTGGCTAAATGTTTGTCAATTTTGTTTACTTTTTCAAAAAAATAAGTTTTCACTTTATTGGTTTGAAATGAAATTTTTAAGGTTTTTTATTTAAATTTCATTTACTTTTGTTCTGATCTTTATTTTTTTGTTATTGATTTTGGGTTTGGTTTGCTCTTCCTTTTCTACTTTTTTAAGATGTATCATTAGGTTGTTTATTTAATGTTTATCTACTTTTTTCATGTAGGTGCTTATTGCTATAAACTTTCCTTTTAATACTGCTTTTGCAGTATCCCATAGGTCTTAGTATATTGTGTTCCCATTTTCATTGGTTCAAAATTTTTTTCAATTTCCTTCTTAATTTCTTCATTGGCCCACTAGTCATTCTGGAGCATATTGTTTAATTCCTGTGTGTTTTCATAGTTTCCAAAATTCCTTTTGTTCTTGATTTCTAACTTTATTTCACTGTGGTCAGAGAAGATACTTAATACGAGTTCAATTTTTTCTTTTGTGGTCTAATATATGGTCTATCCTTGAGAAAGATCCATATGCTGAGCAGACAAATGTGTATTCTTTAGCTGCTGGATTAAATGTGCTGTAAATATCTATTAGGTCCATTTGGTCTATAGCACAGATCTTCTATAAGTTCAATGTTTCTTAGTTGATTTTCTGTCTGGATGATCCATTCATTGCTAAAAGTGGGATGTTGAAGTCTCCAGTTATTATTGTATTGGGGTCTATCTCTCTCTTTAGCTCTAATAATATTTGCTTTACGTATCTAGTGTTCCATTGTTGTGTACATACATACTTAAAATTGTTATATCCTCTGGCAAAATTGACCCCTTTATCATTACATAATGACTTTCTTTTTCTCTTTTTATAGTGCTTGTCTTGAATTCTATTTTGTCTGATAGATACTACTGAAACTTTGTCTGATAGATACTACTTGACATCTATTTTGTCCAATATATACCTACTCTTGCTCTTTTTTGATTTCCATTTGCATTGAATATCTTTTTGATATTCTTTGTTTTTAGTCTATGTATGTCTTTATAGGTGAAGTGTGTTTCTTGTAGGCAACAGATCGTTGGTTCTTTTTTAAACAATCCATTCAGCTACTCTATGTCTTTTGTTTGGAGAGTTTAGTCCATTTACATGCAATTTTATTATTGATAAGAAAGGACTTACTCCTCTCAGTTTGCTATTTGTTTTCCGATTGTCTTTTGCTCTACTCTCCTTTCTTCTTTCCTTGCTATCTTCCTTTGTGTGAAGGTAATTTTCTCCTTCACAAAAGGTATGTTTTAATTTCTTGCTTTTTATTTTTTGTGTATCTGTTGTAGGTATTTTTTATTTGAAGTTGCCATAAGCCTTGCAAATGACATCTTATAGCCCATTACTTTAAACTCATGAATACTTAACACTGATTACAAAACAAATAAGCAAAGAGAAAACTGATAAAACTGATAAAAACTCTACACTTTAACTCCATCCCCCCCACTTTTAAACTCTTTTGTTGTTTCTATTTATATCTTATTATACTGTCTATATCTTCAAAAATAACTTTGAATAAATAGTTATAACTTTTGAGTAAATATATAATAGATATTATAATTATATAATATTTATAATTATATATAATAATTGATTGCAATAATTAGTTATATATAATATATTATATAATAACATTATATATTAACATATATAATAACATATATAATTATATATTATATAAGTGTTATATATAATATATAATATGTCATATATAATTATATAAGTACATTATATAATATATAATATAGTATAATAAGATATAAAAATATATAATATAATATAAGATATGTATTATATTATATATTATAATATAATCAGATATAATATTATAATATAATATAATATATAAGATATAAAATATATAATATAATATATATAATATAATAAGATATAAAAAGTTATTTACATTTTTGATAAGTTCATCTTTTAGTAAATAGTTCATCTTTTAGTAGTTATTTACTATTTACTTTATATATATTTATATATAAATATATATTACTTTATATATATAAATAGTAATACTATTTACTATTTACTTTATTTACTTTTAGTAAATAGTTATTTACTATTTTTTATAGGTTCATCTTTTAGTCTTTCTACTCAACATAGTAGTTTACACACCACAATTACAGTGTTATAATATTCTGTGTTTGTCTGTGTACTTACTATTATCCATGAGTTCTGTACCTTCATGTGATTTCTTATTGCTTGTTAATCTCATTTTCTTTAAGATTGAAGAACTCCCTTTAGGATTTCTCTTAGGACAGATCTGATGTTTATGAAATCCCTCAGCTTTTGTTTGTCTAGGAAAGTCTTTATTTTTCCTTCATGTCCGAAGGACATTTTTGCTGGATATACTATTCCAGGATAAAAGTCTTTTTCCTTCAGTATTTAAAAAATATCATGCCACTCTCTCCTGTCCTGTAAGTTTTCCATTGCAAAGGCTGCTTCCAGAAGTATTGAAGTGTCTTTGTATATTATTCGTTTCTGTTCTCTTGCTGCTTTTAGAATCCTTTATCCTTGACCTTTAGGAGTTTGATTATTAAATGCCTTGAGGTAGTCTTCTTTTTTCTTTTGAGACGGAGTCTTGCTCTGTTGCCCAGGCTGGAGTGCAGTGGCGCAATCTCTGCTCACTGCAAGCTCTGCCTCCTGGGTTCACGCCATTCTCCTGCCTCAGGCTCCCGAGTAGCTGGGACTACAGGTGCCTGCCACTATGCCCAGCTAATGTTTTTGTATTTATTAATAGAAATGGGGTTTCACCGTATTAGCCAGGATGGTCTCGATCACCTGACCTTGTTATCCTCCCACCTCAGCCTCCCAAAGTGCTGGGATTACAGGCGTGAGCCACCGCGCCCAGCCGGTAGTCTTCTTTGAGTTAAATCTGCTTGGTATTCTTAACCTTCTTGTGCGTAGATATTGAAATCTTTCTCTAGGTTTGGGGAGTTCTCTATTATTGTCCCTTTGAATAAACTTTCTATCTCAATTTCTCTCTCTACCTCCTCTTTAATCTGCCCTCCTAGTTTTTGTTGTTTCCTAGTCTTGGTCTGGGCCTCAGGGATTTGTTTTACTTTGTTCTTTACAGTTAAGCTAAGGCTAGAATTCACAGGCAATATAGTCTTCCTTAGCCACTGAGTGCAGAACCTCACGCAACTCAATACACTTAAGCCTCCATTTTGATGGACTGAAAATACAAATGGACAATGGCCAGATCATATATAAAAAGAGAACTTTGCCCCACAGTCTGCAGCAGCCAGTCCAAGAAGTCAAATCACAATTTCTGTAGCCATCAGCCCAAAGTAGTCAGTACTTAATAGCTGACAGCTTCCCTAATTTTTGCCACTGTCCTCCCACTTCCTACTTAGAGCAACACAAAAAAAGTAAAATATGCTCCCCAACTCAATTACATTGGAACTCCACCTCCAGTCAGCCCACCTCCAGCTTTCCCATGCCAACAGCCTCCAATCAGGGCATACCTGAAGCCTCCTCCTTTTCCCTGTACGCTTTCCCTCTCCTCTGCCTGTCTTTAAGTCCATGTGGAGCACAAGTGATGGTGGCTGACTCCTTTGTATAGCAAGCTCCAACTAAATAATCTGTTTAATTTTCGTTTGGGTGGTCTTTGTCTCTACAATTTTCTTTTCTGTAAAAGAAAGCTTTTTGAAACAAAGAAAGGACCAAAAGACAAGTGAGAATCATTTAGAAGAGCAATTAAAAAACTCAATTCCAAAGAGGCAAAGAGATTCCTCAGCAGCCTGTGAGAGGCTTGGAGGTGGGCAGGTCACCACTTCCTGTGTACTCACTTCCTGCATACTCACTTCCTGCATATTCACCACTTCCTGCATATACCACTTCCTGCATACTCATCCATTTTACATATAGTGGGTCCGTGGAGGCTTGGATGGGAGAGTCTCACAGCTAAAATAAGTTTATAAAACTGTGAAAGTATAGTTTTCAAAGAGGCAAAAATTATGACTCTCAGGTAAATGTAAAATGAGTACATGCCAAATATTTTTATTCAATTCATTCATTAACAAAAGTCCCTTGACATATTAAAACCAGTTCAAAGAACATTTAAATGCCAGATGTTTGTAGGCAATACTAGGATAAGACTTCTGGGTTGGATACCAAATGGAATAATGTCCAAGAGAAGCATAACTGTCAGCTTTGGGGTGCTCTATTCTATCAAATAGAAATTATTTGCATTCCATAGGACAAAAATCTACAAATCAACCTCTGTCCCTACAGAGTTGTAAAATAGCCAAGCTAATAGAAAATCAAGCCCAGCATAACACTGAAGGAATATCTACTAATCTTTTTGCCTACTTCTAAGTTTCAGATACTTGTTCTGACCAAACCTAAGTCCAGATGAGAAAAACTGGGGTTTGGGAGGATTTATAACTGGCTCAAAGTCACTGGGCTCCTAAGTGCTAAGACTGATGTCAGAGCTAGTGACTCTGCAAAAGAATAAAAGTGAAAGCATCACTTCTTTTCCCTGGCCATGTCTTGTTCCACACAGAGGGGTGGTCGGGGCCTTCCTCCACACCCAGAAGTCTCCCACAGACAGTTCCCATCCACCGAGCATCGCCATTCCTCTCTGCCTGTTGGCATTTGCAGCCTGGTCATGGGGATGGCTGAAAATGCCGGAAGTCAATGTCCCTTTGATGACCTTCAAATAATATAGAGAAGTGTTGGTGCATAAAAAGAATTCACTGTCCTTATTCACTTATTCACTTCCTTGTCCTTAAGTGGGTCATTTCCCAGGCATGTTCCACACAGTCTGTCTGGTGGTCTCCAGAGAGAACAAGATCCAGATTGCCCTCAGAAGGAGCCTGATCATGAACACCTGCTTCAAGCATTCCTCGATTCCCTGACTCACTCCCCATGTCCTCAATATGTCTCCTTGGATTACCTCCCAAACAAGTTACTTGCACCCAAGTCCTTGGTTTGCGGTTTGCTCTAGGAGAAATCCAAACCAGGACAGAGAAGCAGCTTGGTTTTAGATATAATTCAGTATCCCAACATGACTAATCAAAATATTCATTGTCTATAATGGTTTGAATGAGATGGAAACATAATCAGATAGGAAAATGACAGATGTTGCAGAGAATACAACTTGTCAGTAAAGATGCTGTTTAATAAATCATCTGTCATCAAATTACATAATCTTATTTATTAGGGTTTTGGAAGTAGAAGTTACAAGTCTGTCTCTGTCTCTGGTGTGTGTGTGTATGTGCATGTATGTGTCTAAATCTTTTAATCCTATGTAAATATTCAGAATATTCATATTTCCAGATGGGAGAAATTTAATTAACCTTTGATGATTGCACTTTTCACTCCCATTTTAAAAGCAAATATTTTAAAACTTATGAAAGATAGTAAAATCAAAATTTCAAAGACAGTATAAAATATCTCATGAATACTTTCATACACTAGCCTTCAGAAATAGACATAACCCTAAGATCACATGAAAAGGAAGTAGAAATCTCAGCTGTGTGGAGATTGAAAAAGTGTTTAATTTCTGAAATGAAACAATTACATGTTCAGAAGTATATTTTTAAATAAAATATTGATAATGGTGAGTAGTACTGGATAAGTACCAACTAAGACTTAGTGAGTTCCCCCAAATGTCTCTGATGAGAATTGGTCCTCTCCTAATGACAAGTATAATTTTTTTTATTTGTGTGCTTCACATATGATATTTAATTTGAGATTCCTCTCCCCACAGTAGTTATTATTCAATAATGAAATAATGAAACAAATTAGGAAATACATGTTCATTTGTATGAATGTATATGTATGCAAGTATACATATGTGTATCCTTATTACAAAAACACCCATTTGAAAAGCACTTAAAAAGAAAAATAAGAAAAGAACAGTGACCCCATGATTAAACTCTTCACAAGTAGTTAATATTATTTAACATATATATTTCCCAACTTTATTGTAGTTTTAATAATACATATCTTATATGTAAATATACACATATATACACATAATTTGGAACAAAATATATTGACTGATATCTTGAGTTTTTCACTTATTGCATTGTGGTGTTTTTACATGTCCTCATAAAGTATTTATTGAAAGCAATCTATGGTTTACTTCTTAATATCTCATTGTATTTATATCTTTTAATTTATTTAACCTTCTATCATTGGACATTTGTAGTGTTAGCACATACATACCATTTTAAATAATGCTGCAATTAACATCTTTATATCTTTTTTCTTTTTTTATCTCTTAATGTTTTATATGATAAATTATTATAAGTGGAATTTCCCGAGACATGGTAATGAACATTTTAAATTCTTGATATACATTACTAAATCAGTCATTTATAACTTACATATTATTTTCGGCAATGGATAACAGTTACCATTTATCCATATCCTTAACTTCGTATATTAATATTTATTTGACCCTTGTCACTTTAATACATTAGAAAGAACTCCTAATTTTTAAAATCAGATGATTTGCTTATTAGTGAATATTGATTTCTTTATGTCCTTTGCCCATGTATCTTTATAATCTTAAGAGTTTTATATGGTCTCACAATATTAATCCTTTATCTTCATTTAACAAGTATTTTTGACCATCCACTTTATGCCAAGCTTTAGGCTAGGTACAGGAGGCGCAATATTGAGTGAAGTATAGTTTCTTCTTTTCTCACGGGCTCAGAGTTTGCCTTCTTTTCTCACAGAGAAAAGAGTTTACCATCTGTGGGAGACAGGCAGTTGAACAGTGGGTTTATAGGAGAAATATAAGGTGCTAAGGAAACTTAAGGGATCGGCACTGTGCAGAAGAGCTATTATAACAGGGCTGGAACTGCTGTGATAACTTGCAAATACCTGCTTTCAAGGCTGCTCCTGGACTTCGTGAGAGTTACAACTGTTCCCCGATAAGACTGGTTCATTGTGCCTAAACTACTCATACAAATAATGTGCTTTATTTTTAAACACCTGCTTTCTCTTGGGGAGTCTGAAATCTAGGTATACGGCAGACAGAAGCTGCCCACAAGACCAGACCCCAAGAATACCCCTGGGCACTTAGTTTGTAATGAGCTTCCCTGGTAGACAATATTTCACACATGTTGTCCTGACTTGTTGCTGGGAGAATTAAGCACATCCTGTGTGACTCCACTTGGAGATGTCTTTGAGCACCTGCACCCAGTTTGTTTCAGATTTCACCCCAAGTGCCCTTTTCCTTTGTTGATTTTGATTTCTATCTTGTTGCTGTAATAAATCTTCACAGTGAGTACAGCATATAGAGAGTCCTGTGAGTTCTCCTAGCAAATCATGAACCTTGGGGATGATCTTGGGGAGCCCATGCACAGATACCTAAGCCAGTCATACTACATGCTTTTTGGGGAGTAGGTGAAAACATATGGAGAACTTAAAGACTCAGTTAGAGCACCTCAGTAGTGAAGAAAATTAACCCTAGACCAAACACTGCTCTAGTCCTCACTAACAAAGCTTAAAAGCAAGACCTGAAAGGGCCACAGTGTTTCAAAGCAACTTAACCTTGTTTCAAAACAAAGCTGGAGAATAGTTTTAGAAGGAAATAATCCAGGCTGGGCGCAGTGGCTCGCCCCTGTAATCCCAGCACTTTGGGAGTCCGAGGTTGGCGGATCACGAGGTCAGGAGATGGAGACCACCCTGCCCAACATGGTGAAACCCCGTCTCTACTAAAAATACAAAAATTAGCTTGGCGTGGTGGTGTGTGCCTGTAATCCCAGCTACTCAGGAGGCTGAGGCAGGAAAATCGCTTGAACCCGGGAGGCAGAGATTGCAGTGAACTGAGATCGCGCCACTGCACTCCAGTCTGGTGACAGAGCGAGACTCCAAGGAAGGAAGGAAGGAAGGAGGGAGGGAGGGAGGGAAGGAAGGAAGGAAGGAAGGAAGGAAGGAAGGAAGGAAGGATGGATCGATCCAGCACCTGGCTGGGCATGGTGGCTCACACCTGTAATACCAGTATTTTGGGAGGCCAAGGCAGGCAGATTGCTTGAGCTCAGGAGTTTGAGATCAGCCTGAGCAACGTGGTGAAACCCTGTCTCTAGAAAAAATACAAAAATTAGCCAGGCGTGGTGGCATACACCTGTGGGCCCAGCTACTTGAGAGACTGACGCAGGAGGATCACTTGTGCCCAAGAGGTCAAGGCTGCAGTGAAATGTGATCACACCACTGCACTTTAGCCTGGGTGACAGAGCAAAACCCTGTCTCAAAAAAATAAAAAAGAAATAATCTAATACCCAATAAGCTAAAATTCATAATATCTGGCATCCAACAAAAAATTACCAAGCTTGCAAAAAAGCAGAAAAATGTAACCCATAGGAGAAAAATCAATAGAAACTCATCTAGAAATGCTACAAGTGATAAAAGTACTAGACAAGGACCTTAAAACTGTTATTTAACTACTCCATATACTCCAGAAGCTAGAGGAAAGATTGAATATGTTAAGTGGGGACATGAAAGACATGAAAAGATACAAATCAAACTTCCAGGGATGAAAACTACAGTGTCTGAGATGCAAAATACACTGGATAGGAAAACAACTATAGCTTAGATATTGCAGAACGAAAGGTTAGTTAACTTGAAGTCATAGCAAATAGAAATTGTCCAAAATAAATCATAGAGAGATAAACAGCTCTAAAGATTAAAAAGGATATCAGTGAACTATGGGGAACTTCAAGCAGTCAAATATATGTGTAAATTATGCCTTAAAAAGGAGAGGATAGAAAGGAAACGGAAAATAAAATTTGAAAAGGTACCGAGTGCCACAATAGAGAGGTGTGGACAAAATAGCTGCCTCTGAGGCAAACTTTGGCCCATGAAAAGGCAAAAGATGAGCAGGAACCATTGGAAATGTCCTTATCTATTCCTCATTCTACTCTGGAATACCTGTGTTCTGTACAGGTTTTCAAGGGAGAGGCCACTTGGGTGAGTGACTTTGCATCTCACAAAGCAGCAGATGGCTGAATGCTGCATCACCTATATCTGCTTTCCATCTGTCTTAGTTTATTTGTGCTGCTGTCACAAAATACCACAGACTGGATAATTTACATACAACATAAATTTATTTCTCATGGTTCTGGAGGCTGGGAGGTCCAAGATCACGGTGCCAGCAGGTTTGGTGTCTGGTAAGAGCTTCGTCTCCCTTTCCAAGATGGCGCTTTCTTGCTGCATCCTTCAGAGAAAAGGAACACTATGTCCTCACGTGCTGGAAGGGATGGGAGGGCAAAAGAGAGCTCCCTTCAACATTGAGTCCTTTTATAAGGATGCTAATTCCAGTCACTAGGGCAGAGTCCTCATGACTTCCAAAGTTCATATCTCTTAAAACTATTGCATTGGTGATTAAGTTTCAATATGAATTTTGGAAGGGACACAAACATTCAAACCATTGCACCATCCTCTGACTCACACCATCTTGGGATTACACTTTCCTATAAAGCATTAGCATTTCTATGTTACCTCACCTTTGGTTTTAGCAAAACCCCAACTAAAACAGTACAGTGCAGGAAAGAAAAATACTTGGACTTGATGGAAGAAGGTTGAGGTAATTTTCCTCTGATTACTTCTAGTTTTTTTTCTCTGAAGATGATGATGAGATAAGGAAATGAAGCCTTGACAAGAGTGGAGAATATTTTACTTAAGTGCTGTAAAAAATAAGCAAAAGAGACTATATAAAACTGAAAATAGTATTATTAGAGAAAAAGAACAAGCCATTTGAGGTCAGTGACCACAATCATATATTAGCCTTAGTTTGCACAGTTGTATTCAGCACTTCCCAGAAGTCTGCATATGAAAAAGGTAGATTCTGGGATTTGTCCAAATATAGATGGAATTTGGTCAGTCAAGTGCAAGAAAAGGTTAAGAGGTCAAGGGAGTTCAGAATATTTGTAAGACAGTGATTGAAGAGAAGCAAATTCTAAGCTGAGCAGTGAAAAGTGAAATAAATTAAGACAGAGGAGCCTGGGAGGGAAACCAGAAAGGACTGTAGTCCTGAGTGTAGGCAAAGGCTGATTTCTTGGAAAGAATAGAGAGAATTGAAAGAAAAGAAGGTTGTGATCTGGGAACGCAGTGTCTAAATTGACAATATCAGGACTGAGTAAATTTCACTGACAGATGTAAAAATGTGATTATCAATGGGTGGCTAAAGTGGTGTGAAGAGAGTGACTCCAAAAGTCATTGGCAATGTAAAATAAAACTGGTTTGTAAAGCAAAAAACAGAAAATTAGAGCCAACTCTAGAATATTTTATCTCTTTTATGTTCTTTAACTAGGTTGCTTATTTTTGGACTAAATATCAACTGCCTTTCTTTACTAATTTGCCTTCCCCATATCAAAAATACTAGCTTGAGTTCAGAAGAACAAAAGTATATTTAAGTAAATAGAAGGTGAAATGTGTGGAAAAAAGGACAGAGGAAGAAATACTTCCGTTGGCAGGGTCAAAAGGGACAGGCAAAAGCCCAGTAAAGTTGAATGAGTCACTCACCTTGCCTCACTTTTTAAAGGTTTCACTTTCCTTGTATGTATAAAATAAAAATACTACTACTTATCTCATTAAGTTGTTTTAAAGATTACGTTGAGCAATTAAAATTATCTAATGCTTGACATATGAACTTATATAAACCTACAAATACACATGTGTTTAAACTAGGTTCTATTAGTATAGTCTTATATTAATGTGAGTTTTTAATGATAGAGTATAAATGCTTATAAACTGTTATTTGTATTACTGAGGTGCAAAAGGAATAATCTTTTAAAGCAAAACATGCACAATAAAACTCTGCTTTCTGTTGGACTGTCATAAGATATGTGATACCTAATTTGGAATAAGATGTGTCAGATGTCACTGTTAAATATTTCTTAGATTGTTTTATTTGGCAGCCCATTTCCATAAGTAACATCAGCCAGTTTGAACCTCATATTTTTTAGAGTCTTGTGTGGTACATAATTAATTCCCAGAGATTCTGTCCCTGGAGACCTGTTTGAAAAATAAAATAAAATGTAAATGATGTTATTTAAATGAAAAGCCCATAGGTTAAAGCTTTCATTTCTAGTGAAGATAGAATAAATACTCTCAGGCGAAGAATGAGCAATACCCACGCAGAAAGAATAGCAATGGCACGGCGGGAGGGGCCTGAACAAGGGAAGTGAATTCGAATGAACTCTACTGCTCACCTGCATTTCCATCTACTGCTTGGAACGTCTTGAATGGGACACTGGGATGCCAAGCTTCAATTTCTCCACCTTAAAAAAATAACCAACTTGTTGCTACCTATCTCCAAAGCTTTGTAGATTCCCAAATAAAATGGTGCATGTATAACCTGAATTTTACAAGTACACTATCAAAAAGGAGATATCATTCATCAGAGGCAACCTGGCCCCAGTGTTTTTCAGTTACATTTGATCTTTCAGCTGTTTCATGGCAGAACCATCTTCCCCAACCTTTTTATTTTTTTAAATCACTCTGTAAAACATTCTAGTTTACCGGGTGGTTTTCTTTACATTGTAAATCTCATTGTTTGCTGTTAACAGGAGTCTTTTTTTTTCTTCCAAAGTAAAGACAAAATACCTATTAAATGCAAAAATAGAACTTCTTTCATAGGGTAGGAAGTGGATTTGACATGAAATGAGCATCTAACCTGGCACATTTAATTGCAGTACTGAAGACCCAGAGATTTACTTGAAAATAAGCCAAGTACATTTAAAACTCTTATTACCCAGCAACGGGCAGTTCGGGGTTACATGCATATTAATCAGCAGAGACTGCTGGGGATCCAGGTGTGCAGGTGTTTTCCCTATATAAATGTGCATGTAAAAATGATTTGCATATTTAATTTCTCATAGCAACTTATTGAGTCAGCCAGTAGTCAGGTACTTTCCTGAAAATCTCAACTGAGAGTTTTCATTTCTTTAGGTCCATAGAAAACACAAAAAGAGGAAAGCAGCTTCAAACTGGAAAGCAATCCTTGGTTTCCTTGAAAGACTCCATAGGCCTTAATTCCTTAAAAATGTGTGTGCTGCAAAACATTGATTCCATGAATATAAATTCAGGAAAACTAAACAGAGGACTTATGTAAACTGTGGATAAAATATGAACATGAAACTAGAGGTAAAAGTGGTGGCATGAGATTCTTGGCTCCAACAGTTTTACATAGTCTCACTGAACATGGATGGACCAAGAAATTGTGTATAGGATTTCGCTGAAGACTACAGTGCACCATCAGATGATCATATCCATTCAAAAGCTGTAAGATTGAATAAGTAATTTGAAAGATGGCAGCTAATGGATTCTTAATCACTCTGGTTGTTTTGGGCTCTGGAAAGCATTCTTCTTATTCGGTTACAACATGTGTGTGTGTGTGTGTGTGTGTGTGTGTGTGTGTGTGTAATGGCCAATGAGATTATTGATTTTTCTCTTAGAAAGGTGAAAAAGTCAACTTATTTGGGGAAACAAGTCAGACTCTTGTCTATCAAGCCATCTACTCCACAGTTTGATCTTGAAAAATCTTAGTGATTTGGCTGTGCAGTGATACATTTTGATACTGGAGATAATAATGTGTTGTGGAGAATCTGGTCTTGGGGATATCACATGAAATAAAAAAAAAATAAAACTCTACTGCCCAAGCAGAAACAGAGGAGAAGTTACTTAATGGATACGATGTGTGTTATTCTGTTGATGGATACACTAAAAGCCCTGACTTCACCACTATGCAATATATCCATGTAACAAAATTATCCTTGTAACCCATAACTGTATACAAATAAAATTTTAAATAAAAATAAAGCCATTGAGCATTATTCCATCATCTGTGTGCTAGGTGTGTGTGCACAAAGTAGATTCATGGCTTGCATCTTACCGCATTCATCCATCTTAGCATATGCATGAGAATATGAGCAGGTGCCCTTCCATGTTACAAATTACTGGGATTATACTATCACCCAATGCTGTCACAAAGGAATCCAGCAAGAGTTTTTATCTCATTTCTACTGAGATGTTATATGTCATTAATGTTTTATTAATAAGCTTCTGGATAGAATATGATATTTGTCTTTTTGTCAATGAGAAAAGCTACAAATATAATGGCATATTCTCAAAGTTTCATAACAGACAGCATGGTGAAAACTAAGAAAATATTTAGATGATCTTTTTTTTATTTCACATGACACTCTTTCAACTGCCATGTAAAATCTTCATGTTGAAGATTCACTTGTCTCTACCTAAACAGATTCAAATCTTACATTCACCTCAAAGTGCTATTTATTGCATCATCAGTGTAATTCTGAAATCACACTTATGTAGTTATTGTATTGGCACTTTAAAGTAGCAATCTAGAAAGAGATGCCATGCCAAAAAAAAAAAAAAAAAAAAACCAAAGTATCAATGAGCCACTCATGAGCCGTAGAACCATTATTAAAAATTGCAATTATAACATAGTATAACTGTAGCAAATAAAAGTGGGAAATTAACTAATGAAAATGGCAATAAGAAAATGATGTGAAAACACATTAGTGAAATGATCTGCACCCTGTTAACTAAAAGTTACTGAGAACTAATCAGGCTTCTGTAGCCCAGACCTCAGAACATATGGGAAGGAGGATTTTATAATATTTCTATAACATTCATATCCTATATTTCAAAATCACTGAATATGTTTAAGCACAAAACACTTTTGCTTATTATTTTTATTATTTGTGGTATTATTTTTATTTCTGAGATAACTAAATTTCTGATAAGGCCCTCAATAAACCACCTGGGCCCCCATAAATCCCACTTGCAGAACTCTCACTCCAAGGAATTGATATCTTTTTCTCTTTGCAACTAAGGAGACTAGATCCAGTTAATTAGTCAAGCTACTTCCCCAAGGTCACACAGCTAATTAATTGCAGCTGACAATACATCCAGCATCCTCATCTCCTGACTGCCATTACGCCACACCTTGATTGAATCTTGCAGTCCACCCAAATCAGTGGTTTTCAAACATTAGTGAGCACCAGCATCACCTAGAAGTCTTGTTACAATATAGAGTAGTAGATTCCACCTGAGTTTCTGATTTAGTAGATAGAGCTAAAAATCTGCATTTCTAGCTATTATTAAAACATCAAGAAATAACAGATGCTGGCAAGGTGTGGAGAAACGGGAACACTTATACATTGTCGGTGGGAGTGTAAATTAGTTCAATCATTGTGGAAAGCAGTATGGTGATTCCTCAAAGAGCTAAAAGCAAAATAACCATTCGACTCAGCAATCCCATTACTGGGCATATACCCAGAGGAATATAAATCATTCTACCTTAAAGACACATGCACACAAATGTTCATTGCAGCAGTATCCACAATAGCAAAGACATGGAATCAACCTAAATGCCCATCAATGACAAATGGGATAAAGAAAATGTGGCACATATACACCATGGAATACTATGCAGCCATGAAAAGGAACAAGATCATGTCTTTTGTAGGAACACGGATGGAGCTGGAGGCTGTTATCCTCAGCAAATTAATGCAGAAACAGAAAACCAAATACCACATGTTCTCACTTATATGATATGAACTTATGAACACAAAGAAGGAAACAACAGACACTGGCGTCTGCTTGATGGTGGAGGGTGGGAGGAGGGAGAGGAGCAGAAAAGGTAACTCAGGTACTGGGCTTAATACCTGGGTGATGAAATAGTCTGTACACCAAACCCCTGTGATTCATGTTTACCTGTTTAACAAATCTTCACATGTACCTCCGAATCTAAAAATAAAGTTTTAAAAATCAGCATTTCTAACAAATTCCCAAGTGATCCTGATGGTTTTGGTCCAGGGACTGTAGTTTGAGAAGCACCGAGGTTTTGCTCTTCCCTGATAGTCCTCTGAAATAAAGCTTCTCAAATTTTTACATACATACAAATCACTTCAGGATTATGTTAAAATGCAGATTCTGCCGCTGTGATGAATTCCTAGATAATGCCAACAGATAAGTCTGTTCGTTGGAACAGACTTTGAGGAAAACTCCAAAACATACTCAGCCATCAAGTAAACCCAAGGAAGAAAAGAAACATGCAGATCGGGCCAGAAAATTCTAAAATTCTTCAAATATAGCATTACTTCCAAGGGGATGTGCTTGGATATACACATGAAGCAAACCCCATCAATTTTAGGAAGCAGGGAATGTCATTTATTTCCAGTTATTCTGTGTCATCACAATCCCCACTTCCAAAGAGTCCCTAAGGCTCCTGATTTGATGTCCGTCTTACTCTTTTACCTTTCCTTGGAGTACAGTAGCAATTTTAGATGTTTCCTAGGGGCATGTAGCCCAAATGCAGTGTGAAAGGAGAGTGTGTAGAAGATGTTGTTTGTATCTTGACCTGGTACTAAACTGCGTGTCTTGTGAACAAGGATCAGACCTGCCTCGTTATATTACCCTTTAAGTTCAGCAATCGATAACAAAACAAGCAAGCAAACCAGGTGTATGGGGCCTACATACCTCCACTTTCTGAACCAGCCTTAGAATCAAAAGTGCTTCATGTAATATTTACTCTGCAATTCAATAGGGCAGATCCTTCCACCTTTCCTCTCTCTTAACCTTCACCAATTGCAACTTTGACGTTGGTTTAGAAACATCCCCAGTTTTTCATCCTAAAATGCTGAGAACTCTGCCATTTGCAGGTTAAATTTGAGTGAATGGGTTTTGCCTTAGCATACTCCTCCCTTCTCATTCATTTATTTATGTTTTCAGCAACCCTAAGTGTCTTTCACCCAGCAATGCTTTGTGTCATTTGACTGTCAACTCTACGCATCATTCTTAGAGAAATATTTACTCTTACTCTGTGTCATGCCCTGTACTAAACACTGAGGATTCACTGTTCTAGGCACTGAGGACACAGCAGGGAATAAAACAGATAAAAGTCGGTGCCCCATGCAGCTTACTTCTACTAGGAAAAAGAAACAATAAGCAAGGTGTGAGAGTGTGTGTATGTGTGTGTGTGTGTGTGTGTTCAGATTGTGATAAAAGCTAAAAATGAAGCAAGAAAGTGGAACAAGAAACATTAGATGTAGCTCACATTTTAGGTATGTAGACATTTTAGACCGGGAAATGCTTCTCTCAGGAGATGAGTGGGGTAAAGATTGCAGGAAGTGTGGGAGCTAGCCCTCACTGTCTGGAGGAAGGGCTTTCCAGGCAGAGGTCACCACAAGTGCAAAGGTCCTGAAACAAGAGCACAGCTGACAAGTTCCATGACCAGCAATGGAGCCCACATGGCTGCAGCAGTTAGTGAAAGGGAGTTCTGTAAGCAATTTTGTCAAGAAGATAACAGGGGTACAGGTCACGTAGGGTGCTTAGATCATGGGACATCTTTGGAAGAGTCAGAACAGAGGAGTGACGTGACCTGATTTATGTTTTAAAGGACCACTATGTCTACCTTGTTGGACATATTTTACAGCTGGATAGTGGAGAAGCAGTAAGATGAATTAGCAGGTGATTGCACCAATCCAGGTAAGCAAGAAGGTGGCTCAGACGAGGAAGGTAGCAGTAGAGATGATGAGAAGTAGTCTGACTCTGGGTATATTTTGAAGGCATAGCTAACAGGTTTTTCTATGAATCTGATGTGGGATGCAATAAAAAGAAGTATAACACCATTGTTTTGGGTCTAAGCAAATTGAACTTAAAATTTCCCATTAACCTGACTGAGGCAGGCTACAGGAGTGAGCTTTGGAAAGAAAGTCAGAAGCTTGGTTTTGGACTGCAGACATCCATGTGGAATTGTCAAGAGGCAGCATATACAGGGCCCTGAGGCAGAGAACTGGAGATTGAAATGTGAGAGTCATTAGAATATACGTGACATTTAAAGTCATGAAAATGGGTGCAATCACATAGAAAGAGGATGTAGATGGAAGAGAAGAGATCCAAGGTTTGGGTCCTGGAGGATTTCCCCTTTAGAGATCTGGGACATGAGAAAGAACCAGTGAGCCCTCAAAAACAGGCAAACGATTGAGAGCCAAGGATGTTTGCCATACATTGTTCATGCCTCTGTGCACTCTTAAGGATCTGGGTCTGTATAGCCTCACACCTGCAAAAAAACATCCCCACTCTGGAAGACCAGCTCATCTTTACTGGGTGCTTACATGTGCCAGGAATTGTTCTGAGCAAATACAGAAAGTTAGAGCCACTTTTATTGTCATTATATACATGAAAAATGTATAGATTGAAGGGACTAAATAACTTGCTTAGATTCTATCATTTACTCATTAATTCTTTGGACTTGTGAATATTACTAACCTCTTGGAATTTTAATCTCTTCATCTGTAAAGTATATCAGCTTTTCCTGCATGGATATGGAGCATCTAACAGATGGAATCTCTTATTATTCCTTAGTGTTATCCTATAGTTTCTCCTCCTCACCACCACAACCCATTCAATTGATTCAACCTTCTGACTGGCTTGAATGTGTCTCTCCCTTTCTATCCTCACACCACCAGAGTCTCTTGTCTCTTCACTGGATTTCTTTTCTCCTGATCTCTCTCTCTCTCTCTCTCTCTCTCTCTCTCTCTCTCTCTCTCGTCTCTCTCTCCCTCCCTCCCTCCCTCCCTCTCTCTCTCTCTCTCTCTCTCTCACCACAAAGCAGCCAGAATTATCTTTCTAAAATGCAAATCATATCACATCACCTACACTGCTTGAAACATTTCAATTACTCCCTGCTACCCTCAGGGTAAAGCTGTTTGGAAGTCACTTCTTTAACCTTTTCCTGACCTAAGCTATATTAGGCCCCTCTTCCATGTGCTCTGTCTGTATTTTTAATAAAATAGCACATTGAGAGATGGATGAATACTGTTTACAAGCCCGGGCCCCTTCTCTTCCCCTACATGCCCTCTAAAATACTGTAAATCCCTATGAAGGCAGGATCATACTCCAATGAATCCTCCATATTTAGTACAGGGCATGACACAGAGTAAATATTTCTGTAAGAATGATGCATAGAGTTGACAGTCAAATGACACAAAGCATTGCTGGGTAAATGACACTTAGGGTTGCTGAAAGCATAAATAAATGAAAGAGAAGGAAGGAGTATGCTAAGGCAAAACCCATTCACTCAAATTTAATCTGCAAATGGCAGAGTTCTCAGTTCAAATGAGATCTGGTTGTTTAAAGAAGTCTGGGGGCCAGGCGCGGTGGCTCACGCCTGTAATCCCAGCACTTTGGGAGGCCGAGGCGGGTGGATCATGAGGTCAGGAGATCGAGACCATCCTGGCTAACAAGGTGAAACCCCGTCTCTACTAAAAATACAAAAAATTAGCCGGGCGCGGTGGCGGGCGCCTGTAGTCCCAGCTACTCGGGAGGCTGAGGCAGGAGAATGGCGTGAACCCGGGAAGCGGAGCTTGCAGTGAGCCGAGATTGCGCCACTGCAGTCCGCAGTCCGGCCTGGGCGACAGAGCGAGACTCCGTCTCAAAAAAAAAAAGAAGTCTGGGACCTCCTTCTCTCTCTCTTGCTCCTGCTCTTGCCAGGTGACATGCTTCCTCCCCTTTCACCTTCTGCCATTTTTGAAAGCTTCCTGAGACCTCACCAGAAGCCAATTGGATGCCGGCACCACCCTTCCTGTAGAGCCTGCAGAACCATGAGCCAATTAAACTTCCTTTTCTTGTAAGTTACCTAGCCTTAGGTATTTCTCTATAGCAATATAAAACCAAGACCAGACAAACACAGTGGGCATAGGTGATACAGTTTTAGCATGTTTGTTACAATAAAACATTGGAGAAGTTTCCATAATTCAGATATTTTTGTATCACTTTGGACTACAAAATTGTTCCTACATATGATTTTACAAATCCTGTGTACATCACAACATGTGATAACCTTGTGGTTCAAGAGTGGCCAAATTATAATCTGATGACTCTTACAGTTCAATCTCCAGGGGAGCTGCCACATGTTAATATGTGGCCAAGTAAGTAACACTTATTTATATTGATGTGAGTAGCTTCTTTGGTGTGTTTTTGTAATTTCCCTTAAGATTAAGGTGACTGTACAGCTCAGTGTGCCTGGGAGAGTCCTAGGTTGTTGTCTCATTCTAAATAACATAGACCCCTCTTTCATCATCAAGTGCCCAGTTCAGGTGATACATTATATGGTTACCATACTTATGATGTAAAGGGCTAAGATTTTATATTTGTCCTTTGTGCCAAATAACCTTCTGTACAGGAATTTAAATTACCTCCTTCCTCTCCATCTTTCGGTGGGTTTTTAAAACTTATTATTGATTTACATACATTAAAATTTACTCTTTTTAAAGTACAGCTTTATGAATTTTGGAAAATGCATCAATTCCTATAACCACCGCCACAATCAAGATTCCTGATCCTTAACCCCTGGCAACCATTCTATCCCCTATAGTTTTGCGTTTTTCAGGATGCAATGTAAATGAAATCTTGTAGCCTTTGAGTATAGTTTCTTTTGCATCTGAGATGCGTTCAAATTGTTTATGTGTCAATATTTTTGCTTTTTATCACTGAGTAGTATTCCACCATATGAATGCATCTCAGATTATCTATTGGCTCACTGAAGGGTTCCTTCCAATTTTTTATGATTATGAATAGAGCTGCTATAAGCCTTTATGAAAAGGTTCTTGTGTGACCATGTTTTCATTTCTCCTCGGTAAATAGCTAGAAGTAGAATTACTGGTTCTATGGCATAAGTGAACATGTAACTTTATAAGAAACTCTCAACCTATTTTTCAAAGTGGCTTTATTATTTTAAACTCCCCACAATGTACGAGAGTTTTAGTTTCCCTGCATCCTGGTCAGTACTTGGTGGTGTCAGTTTTGTCATTGTTGTTTTCGGTACTGTTTCTTCGTTGGTTATGTTAGCTATTCTAATAGATATGTAGTGGCATTTCATTGTGGTTTTAATTTGCATTTCCCCAGTGACTAACAATATTAAACACCATTTCATGTGCTTATTTGCCATATCTTCAATGGTGAATTGTTTGTTCAAATCTTTCATTCATTGTTTAAGTTGGGTTATTTTCTGATTACTGAGTTTTGAAAGTTCTTTATATATTCTGGATACAAGTCCTTTATTAGACACATGACTTGCAAACCTTTGTCTCAATCTGTGGCTTGCTTTACAATCTCTTAACAGTGTCTTTCCCAGAGCAGAAATTTTTATTTTGGTGAAATCCACTGAAATGCCTTTGTAATTTTATCAAAAAGTAATTGAGCATATCTGCATAGGTCTATTTCTGAACTCTCTATTCTGCAGCATTAATTTATGCTGTTGGAAATTTTAATTAGACTTTAAAAGTTAAAATTAAAATCTTTTGTTTATTAACTCAGAATTTATATTTTACAAAAACAGTTGAAATTTATTTTGTTCCAAGCTAACCTGCAAAGATAAATGACTATATTAATAGAGAGTTGAAATTTATGTAATATCACTTGACCTGAGATTTAAATGAGCCCTCAATAAATGTATTCTATAATAAAGTTGGTGACATAAATAGGTACCACACCATGTCCCAAAGCATTTGTCACAGATCTTCTATGAGGTGCACTACCAAGAAACAAACAATTTTCCACCATCAAAACTATTTCAGAAGCCCTGCTTGCTCTTATATGTAGCTTCTCAGTAATGAACAATGTACATATCACAGGCTCTGAGTAGTCCTACAGTGAAGGGCCATTTAGTGTTGTATAGTCCAGAATGTTCCAAATATACTACATTGATCTTCCATCAACCCTTATCAACATTTTCCAAAAGACCATTTTGGTCATTCTTCACGTATTTGTAGGTTTGTGTTCTCTCCGGTGGAGAATTCCCAACATGTTTTTCATATACATTTTTTCTCTTTTTTTTTGAGATGGAGTCTCGCTCTGTTGCCTAGGCTAGAGTGCAGTGGCGTGATCTTGGCTCATTGCAGCCTCCAACTCTCAAGTTCAAGCAATTCTCTTGCCTCAGCCTCCCAACGTAGCTAGGATTACAGGCCACGCCATCACTCCTGGCTAGTTTTTGTAATTTTCGTAGAGACCAGATTTCACTACGTTGGCCAGGCTGGTCTTCAACTCCTGGCCTCAAACAGTCTGCCTGCCTCAGCCTCCCAAAGTGCTCAGATTACAGGCGTGAGCCACCCCGCCCAGCCTCATATCCTTTTTTTCAATATAGTTTGAGCATCCTTTTTAAACCTACTTCTCTTCCACTGATTATTAATTTAATTTTTTTAGTTCTTTGTAATTGAGGCTTTTCTGTGGAAAATGAGTGAATCATTTAGGATGCAACAAAGGACTTAAACTTGAACATGTTGTAACGTTTTATGCTTTGTGCAAACAGAAATAGCTACTACACTTAATTACAAATCAAACTCCTCAAATGGCAGACCTCATAGTATTTATTAAAATCAGGATATGTTGATGTTTTAAGGCATACTATCATCACAATACATTCTTAACTCTGTGAAATAACAAATAGAAAAACAAAATGCAAATTACTACCAACAAATCAAACTGTTTTGAAAATTGATTATATGATGTAAAGTTTGAAAAGCAATGAAGATAATCATTATAAGAAATAAAGTTAACTACATTTTGTATTTCTAGCCACAAATATGCTGCATATTTAGTGTGCAGTCTAAAATTAACAAAATTGTCTCTGAACAGTTGACAGTCCAAAGAATAATTCTAAATTGGTTTTAGAAAAAAAAGCTGCCGTGTTCACATTTCAGAGAAGAAGATGTTTGTAGAAAACTACACAAGTTTTAAAAAGTATTGTCTTGTTAATATCAATTAGATAGAAAAATAGCTTGTATAATTAGAACATATCCATATATTTTAATATATTTATCCACATAGTAAATATTTCTAACCAACTAATCAAGGCATGTATTTGAAAAGGTATCAGACTATGTTATCACTTGGAATGGAAAACAGAGTCTACTAAAACTGTTGATCACATAGAAGAGGGGAAAACTTAAAGTGGAAATTAGCAATGATTCAAGGATTTTCTACTAACTGAAAATGTCTAGAATCTAGAATATTTCACAATGAATGTTTCAGAGCACTGGGCTTATCTTTTGGGAATCTAATACAGCTGCAATAATATGGTTTTAATTCCAAGGCAACTCTGATATGTCAGGGCTACTTGTTGGCTGACATGTATATCCAGTGAATTGTTATCTGCTCCATGTAATATCAGTATTAACCTGATATTAATCTGATATTATTCACATTTATGCTTCTGATTTATGCTTTTGCCTTCTTGTGTCCTTTCAGCACTCACTTCTATTTCTTCCTCTTTTCTCTTTTTTTTTAATCATTCGGTTATTATAGGCCATCATTAGCAGAAAAAATTCCAGAATCTAATTCAATTATACCAGGACAAATAAACACATAGCTGTAAGATTCATAACAATGTGTATTCACTCCTATAAGTTACAACATAAAGTTTAGAAGGTAGAAAATGTTATTTCAAGGGAAAACATGAGATTTCTACATATATTTAAAGACTTCTTTTGGTTCTTCACATCTTGTTGTTTTGTGTTGTTTCTAGTGGAAGATTATCAGCACGTCATGTGGAAAGATGTGGTAAATGAGTATTTTCCTTTAGTGGATTATGTTTTAACATATACATATTGAATTGTAAAATTCATTGATAGAATTTACTGCTCTCC
The DNA here is from genome assembly GCF_000001405.40 of Homo sapiens. Classification (NCBI taxonomy): domain Eukaryota; kingdom Metazoa; phylum Chordata; class Mammalia; order Primates; family Hominidae; genus Homo; species Homo sapiens. The sequence continues at coordinate 67,064,641 of NC_000003.12, read as the reverse complement.
TAATAAACATATAATTTTTAAAAGATATGTATAAATAACTAATAAATTTTTAGGATACAAAGTTTCGATATGTACTGGAAATTTGCACATAGTATATTCTGCTGCAAGCAAACATTCCCAAAAAGTCACATACTTCTAAAATAGTTTTAGGCCACACGTATGAGTATAATATATTTTCAATCACCACAGTTTAAAAATCAAAATTTTGGAAATATGATAAAAAATGTGCTCATGTCAGATACCATTCCATCTTTTCCTTAACAAATTTAGTTAGGCACTGATTTCCAAGCTTATATTTCCATGACTTCCTTTATGAGTCATCCCAGGTTATTTCAGGATGTGGGATGGAGGAAAAACCATTTTCCAAGATTGGATGACCTAAGCAACTCTCTCCCTCAAAGGCACTTTTCTGGCTCAGATTCCTTATGCATATCGGGAAGTTCATTTAATGTTAACTTGGTCTTCCAACCAAAGACGTTTTTTGTTTTTAATCCTCATTATGATAGTGAATCCACCTAGTGATATAATCAGCCTTTTATCACATGGGCAGCTGGGCCTCCCCTTCATAAACTGATGGAGTTTCCAGGTGTGCAGCATGCCTAAACCAAACCGTGAGGTATAATCACCCTAAGATTAGGCAGTGAGGTGCGGTGGACACTGCGTGGCCTCTGATACCAGATTACCTAGGTTCAAATCCTAATTCTATCACTTTCCAAATGCACAGCCCTGAGAAAGTTACCTAACTTCTTTTTGCCTTAGTTTCCACATATTAAAAATGAGGATAATAATAATAATTACATAGGGTTATGGAGATTACATGAGTTAATTCACATGAAGCACTGATAATAGTGCTTGATATGTAGTAAGTCCTCAATAAATGTTAGCAATTATTATTAAGACCTGATTTGATTTTCAGCCTAAAACTGTCTTACCTCATTATTAAACTATCCAAAATGTTCTAGCCCATGAGGACCTGAGTTGGAAGGCCTTTGAACTACCACAGATACCTGAAAATGTTTCTAGTGTTGTTAGAGCTCTGGCAGCTTCCTAAATTAATTTATGGTACCCACATAACCAAAAGAGAGATTGAAAATTTGTCTTTTTCCTGACAGAAATTCTTCTGGAAGCAATGTGTTTGTTTTATTTTCCAAGGAAACAACCTCTAAGCATTGTCTATGCTATCATTTAACCCCAAATGTTCCTGCTTTATTTGCTGAATAAGCATAGGTCCTGTGTCCTTGAAAGGAAAACCCAAAACTTCATCCAGAGTTTGACCTATGGAGGCCTCGCTTGATCTGGACCTTGCCTTGTTCCCCAACTTCATCTCACTACACCCACCCTTCTCACTTCCTTCTACTCTCAATTTCTTATTATGCATCATTGACTTTTTTCATTCATTAAATACTCCAAGTTCTTTCCAGCCTCAGGACTTTGCTCATGCTGTTCCTCTACTTAACATGATTCTCTGAATCACCTAGAATGTGTTATCCTTTAGAGCTCCTCATCAGAGAGGTTTCCCATGCCTGTACTATATATAGTAGGTTCTTTTCCTCCATGCTCTTTTCTTATGTCTCAGGCTCTTCCGGTTCCTGTGTAGCACTTATCTCAAATTGCTTCAACTTTATTTCTGTCAACTTCAGAGAGGATGGAGTCAGGAGGAGAGCTGGATCTTCTACCACATTCCATGAGAGCCTTGTCTACCTTTTCATTGTCAGCATCTAGCACATCGATTGGCATGAAATAAATGTTTAATGAAGAGATGAGTGACCAATACATATCTTGATACATGTTATTAAAGTGTTTCCAAATGGAAAAGTGGCCTGCTTTGAAAGATAATTAATAATAATCTAAATTAATAAGTCAGCTGGTTGTGGAGGAGCACATTATAAACCCAGTGCTTTGGGAAGCCAAGGCAGGAGGATCCCTTGAGCCTATGAGCTCAAGACCAGCCTGGGCAACATTATGAGACTCCATCTCTACAAAAAAAAATTTTTTTCATTAGCTAGGCATGGTGGCGTGCACTGTGGTCCTAGCTACTTGGAAGGCTGATGCAGGAGGATTCTTTAAATGCAATAATTTAGATTTGCAGTGAGCTGTGATCACACCACTGCACTCCAGCCTAGGCAATAGAGCAAGACCCTCTCTCAAAAAAATTAAATATATTAATAATTTGTGTGTGCATATCTTTTACAGTTTGTTCCTGAGAATTTACTTATTCAATTAATTTGCTCTGCAAACAATTTTAAAAGAAATATAAAGAGAGTAATGATAAACTTTGGCTCATTCTTATGAGAATAATGACATTCTAAATTGTTACGGTCTGAATTTAGTTGTTCTATAGAATTAATTTAGACACTTAATTACATCACCTCCCTTTGCTCCTAGTTTATAAATAGGAAGTGTCTTATGTAATAACCATGGTGCCAAATATAACATAAAGTATCCATAATCTCCAAACTTTATGACAATATTGACTATCTTAAATGACAGGAAATACTACTCAATAATTATTTTTCTATTAAAACATTGCTAAATTATTATTACCACTTTTAATATAATTAACTTCCTTAAATCTGGATTTAAAACGTTCTTAAAAATGTTTGTTTATATTATTAACAGAGCATCAACCTAAAGTCAAAAATCTTATGTTCATATCTTACTATTTTAAGGAAAAATATACATAACTATTGAATGTTTTTACATAAAGAAGAACCAAAAACAGTTACTTTACCCTCACTCTGAAACATGTGATCTTGCAATGACTTCCATTTTCAAAAGTAACATGGTATTTTCACTTTAAATGCTTTTTAGAAGGAAAACTATATCTACCTGAAAGTGATAACAATTGAATCATTTCAATTTTTTAGACCCGAAGAGCTGGCTGGTTTCATCCTTGGGAGTTTCTGGTTAACTGATCTAGCATTCGTGCTCTTGTATCCTGACAAAGTTTCTTTTATTTGTTATCTATGTTTAGCTACATTTAAGAAAAGAGACACGAAGAGAAATAGAGCATCAGGTAGGGATAGTAAAACATTTCCAGCAAGATGATTCTCATCAGTGCTTTCCTATCAAGTAGCTCTCATCATGACTGGGAGAGTTTCGAATGGAGGTGAATTAATCACCCCAAAATAGATGCCATTAGCACAAAACAGGAAAAGCACTTCTAGAATGCTGGAATAAGGACCTCAGGAAATCAACTCCTCCACAAAAGCAATGAGAACACTGGCAAAAATCATGAAAATCAACGTTTCAGAACTCTGGGCATTAATCAAAGGCTTACAACAGTTCTTTGGCTATGTATGTATTTATTCAAGAAAATGGCTGAATCTCAGTAAGAACTACAAACTTCATGACTTTCTCTCCTCTTGTTCCCATCCCCATCTCCCCAGTGCTGCCATAGCCTTGAAAAATAACAGCCTCCCAACCACAGCAGGTATGAAAACCAGCAGCCTAGCAGCCTTTGGAGGAGGCAGAAGACGTTCAGAGCCCCCTACAAAGCATCATCCCCAGAGAATTGTCACTATCTGGCTTGTTTGAAAGCTCCCTGGAGATGCTCTATTATTAGGGCTTGTATTTATTTGACTTGATTCAGAGTTCACTGTGTGGGAACAGCCCCATCACCAAGGCATTGATTATGAAAATAAAAAATTAGCAGCAATTGTTTAACATCATACTTGTGTGAGGTGATGATATCAGCTGAGGCTAATGAGCCTGACAAAAATACTTAAAGGCGAAAACTTGGGAATTAGGTATCCCTAGGGGGCTTTGAAAATCTCAAACATTTTCTTGGGAATCTAGATGCACATGAGCCTACGCAGGGCTCTGTGTGTGTTCAGGAAAGACCCAAGTATTGGGGGAAATTCAGCCAGATATTGGGAGAAATTCACCCCTGATATTTCACGTAGGTTCTTTTCTATTTTCCCTAAGTGTCAGCCGGTCTGAGAAATAAAGGAACAGAGTACAAAAGAGAGAAATTTTAAAGCTGGGCGTCTGGGGGAGACATCACATGTCGGCAGGTTCCGTGATGCCCCCTGAGCCGTAAAACCAGAAAGTTTTTATTAGTGATTTTCAAAAGTTGAGTGAGTGTACGAATAGGGTGTGGGTCACAGAGATCACATGCTTCACAAGGTAATAGAATATCACAAGGCAAATGGAGGCAGGGCAAGATCACAGGACTACAGGACCAGGGCGAAATTAAAATTGCTAATGAAGTTTCGGCACGCATTGTCATTGATAACATCTTATCAGGAGACAGGGTTTGAGAGCAGACAACCGGTCTGACCAAAATGTATTAGGCGGGAATTTCCTTGTCCTAATAAGCCTGGGAGTGCTACAGGAGATTGGGGCTTATTTCATCCCTACAGCTTCAACCGTAAAAGATGGCCACCCCACAGAGCGGCCATTTTAGAGGCCTACCCTCAGGGATGCATTCTCTTTCTCAGGGATGTTCCTTGCTGAGAAAAAGAATTCAGCGATATTTCTCCCATTTGCTTTTGAAAGACGAGAAATATGGCTTTGTTCCACCTGGCTCACCGGCGGTCAGAGTTTAAGGTTATCTCTCTTGTTCCCTGAATATTGCTGTTATCCTGTTCTTTTTTCAGGGTGCCCAGAATTCATATTGTTCAAACACACATGCTCTACAAATAGTTTGTGCAGTTAACGCAGTCATCACAGGGTCCTGAGGCAACATACATCCTCCTCAGCTTACGAAGATGATGGGATTAAGAGATTAAAGTAAAGACAGGCATAGGAAACCACAAGGGTATTGATTAGGGAAGTGATAAGTATCCACAAAATCTTCACAATTTATGTTCAGAGATTGCAGTAAAGACAGGCATAAGAAATTATAAAAGTATTAATTTGGGGAACTAATAAATGTCCATGAAATCTTCACGATTTATGTTCTTCTGCCATGGCTTCAGCAGGTCCCACCGTTCAGGGTTCCTGACTTCCTGCAACACCCAAGAAAGCCATTTTCTGTCACCTGGGGCTGACCATGGGCTCTATGTAAGCAGGAAGTGAAGACTAAGGCAGAGTTTCAAGCTGTCAGCCTGAGGATTAAAGGCATGCTGCAATACACACAAAGAACCCAATTGCAGAAGCCAAAAGACTTACTCTTTCAAAGCACTTAAGGAAATCTCTGTTTAATCATTACCTAATCACTAAACTACACAAACACAATCTTCAGTGACTTCACATGACTAAAATTACAGAATTTGCATAAATTGACTGGGAAAGTCACAAAACAAGTAAATGGCAACAACAATGACGGTAAACAGCAACAAACCCTAAAAGTGGAGAAAGAATCTCATTGATAGAAATGTGACATTACATTTTTAACATGCTTTTTTGTTGTTGTTGTTGTTAAAAGGCAGACATGATATATCTGGTAAAAGGAACTGAGATGAAGAGGCTTTTTGTGTGTGGCTTTATATTAATCTGAGTTAGGATGTATTTACTGTTTGCGGCAGCTGTAGGTATCAGAGGCTAAAATTTTCTCTGGTTACTTTGGGTTTTCAGTCTGGCAGATAAGGGGCTTGAAACTCATCACTTCAACCTAACTAATAAAAAGCTGCACAAATTAAAAATCAACAACTCTTCTTAGATACAGCAGAGAATTGAGATCACAGGGCAAACTACTGCCCACAAAATGGGAAAGACAGACCTGTGGTGCTGTAGTTTGGATGCTTGTTCCCCAAAATCTCATGTCAAAATTTGATCCCAGTGTTGAAGGTAGCCCCTAATTGGTGGCGTTTGGGTTAGCAGGGACAGATCCCTCATGAATGTCTTGGTGCCATCCTCATGGTAATAAGTGAGTTCTTGCTCTATTAGTTCCTGTGAGAGCTAGTTGTTATAAAGAGCCTGTAACCTCTTTGCTCTCTCTTGCCACAAGATATCTGCACATGCCAGCTCCCTTTCACCTTCTGCCATGAAGAAAAGCAGCCTAAGTCTATTACCAGAAGTAGATGCTGGCCCCATGTTTCATGTACAGCCTGCAGAACCATGAGTCAAATAAACCTCTTTTTAAATTTTACCTAACCTCAGGTATTCCTTTATTGTGACACAAATGGACCGAGGTGTATACAGAGAATCACAACTTACTGGGGCAGAAACCCACAACCAGAAACTTCCATGGAAACCAGTGCCAGGGTAGGAAAACCTGAACTATTATTGTCAAATTGCTGGGGGCTCAGTATGGACAAGTCTGAGAGTTAATAACTTCAGGACTTCACAGTCTTATGGAGTCCCACACTTTTGTGAGTTTTACCTTCAGGAGCTGTACCAAATTCTCATAGTGAAGATTAGCATGAGGGAGGGGGAAAGCAACCATTTTGAAATAAGCCAGAGCCTTCTGTTCTTCTAAGTAAGGTCTGCCCTCAAGAAAAACTATTTTACCAGAGTCTAATTTAATGAGGTTTGCCAGAGATTAACTGACCTTAGGAAAGGGAAATATCCAACTTTAACCATCCTGTCCCACCAAAGTGGAGAAAAAGCATAGAAGCACCTGTGAAATTCACATCCAAGGGGCACAGGCTAACTAAAAGCCTGGGACCTAATCATGAGACAACAGAACACTTCTCTCTCTCCATGCCTTACCACCCACATTACTAAATACCTATTTATTGCAGTTCCTTTTATCCAGTACATTATATTCAGTATATTATTTCAAAATAATCACAAGGCATACAAAAAGACAAAAACACAGTTTGAAGAGACAGCGCAAGCATTGGAACCAGACTCAGATATGGCACAGATGTTCTGATTATCAGACCATGAATTTAAAACAACTATGATTAATATGCTAAGAGCTCTCATGGAATAAATAGGCAGCATGCAAGAAAAGAAGGGTAATTTAACTAGAGAGATGGAAAGAAAGAATCAGAAAGAAATGCTAGTTTGGTTGCTCAGTAGTAGACTGGACATGGCTGAGGAAAGAATCTCTGAGCTTGAAGATATGTCAATAAAAATTTCTGAAAAGCAAAGAGAAAAACAGTTAAAAAATGTAGCTGAATATCCAAGAACTAGAGGACACTTAACGGAATGAGTAACATACACATAATAGGAATAACAGAAGAAGAAAAGAAGCAGAAAGAAACCAAGAAATAAATATTTGAAGCAATAATGACGGAGAGTTTCCCAAATTAATGTCAGATGCCACACAGATCTAGGAAACTCAGAGAACACCAAACAGAATGAATGCAAAAAAAAAAAGAAAGAAAAAGAAACAAGAAAAAACTGTAACTAGGCGTATCATATTCAAGTTGCAGAAAGTCAAAAATAAAAAAATTAAAATAATCCAGAAGAAAAAAAAACTCCTTAAAAAGGAGCAAAGATACAAATTACATACAATTTCTTTTTAGAAGCCATGCAAATAAGAAGAGAGTGAAGTGAAATATTTAAATTTTTGAGAGGAAAAAAACCTACAAACCTAGAACTCTGTATCCTGCAAAATTATCCTTTAACAGTGAAAGAGAAATTACACTTTCTCAGATTAACAAAAAATGTAGGGAATTTGTTGCCAGTAGATCTGTCTTGCAAGAAATGTTAACAGAAGTTCTTCAGGGAGAAGGAAAATGATGGAAGTCAGAAACTCAGATCTACATAAAGAAAAGAAGAGCATTAGAGATGAAATAAGTGAACATGAAACAAAAACTTTTGGTTTCCTTTTTTGTTGTTGTTTTTGAGACAGGGTCTCACTCCATTGCCCAGGCTGGAGTTATATGATCATAGCTCACTGCAACCTTGAACTCTTGGGCTCAAGCAATCCTCCTGCCACAGCCTCCCAAGTAGCTGGGACTACAGACACATGCCTCCACACCCAGCTAATGTTTTTATTTTTTAGTAGAGAGTAGGTCTCATTATATTGCTAAGACTGGTCTCAAACTTCTGGCCTCAAGCAATCCTCCTGCCTCAGCCTCCCAAAGTGCTGAGATTACAAGCATGAGCCACACAGCCTGGCCTTGTTTCTCTTACTCTTAATTACCTAACAATTAAAACTTTGGCCAAAATAATGATAGCAACAATATATTCAATTATTATAGTTTATGTACAAGTGAAATGAATGACAGCAATAATGCATGGGGTGGGAAGGAGAAATTAGGAATCCTTTTTATTATAAAGTACTTGCACCACCCATGAAGTAGCATGGAGTTATCTGAATGTGGACTTGAATTAATCATAAATGCATATTACAACTCTAGGGTAACTAAAAGACTTTTAAAAAATATAATTGATATGCTAACAAAAAAGTAGAATCAAATAAAATCATCAATTAAAACCACAAAAGGAAGAAAAAGATTGGAAGACAAAAATAGAAACAAAGGTTGGAAGACAAAAATAGAAATAAAGGACAAGAGCAATGAATAGAAAATAGTAAAAAAAATGTGATAGATATTAATAATCATTTCAAACATTAATGGTACAAATATACCGGTTAAGACAGTCAGTGTGGATCAAAAAACAAGACCCAACTATATGTTGTCTACCAGAAACTCACTTGAAATATACACATATGGATTAAAAGTAAAGTGATACAGAAAGATATGCCATGCTAATGTTAATCAAGCTAAACTAATTTCAGACAGAGAAAATTTCAATGCAAGAAAAGTTATCAAGGAGAATGAGGGGCATTACATAGTGATATGGATCAGTTCTCCAAAAAGACATAACTATCCATAATGTGCACATGCCTAACAACAGAGCATGAAAATATGAGATAAAACCGATAGCTCTGCAGAAAGAAGTAGAAGAATCCACTATTATAGTTGGGTAACTTCAACACCCCTCTTTCAGAAATGAACAGATCTTGCAGACAGAAAATCAGTAAGGACGCATGCACTCAAAAACATCATAGTTGAACTCAAAAACATCATCAATTAACTGAATATAATTGACATCTCTACATTACTTCAACAACAGAATGTGCATTCTTCTCAAGCTCATATGGAACATTCACTAAGGTAGACCACATTCTCTGCCATAAAACATACCTTAACAATTTCAAAAGAATAAAAATAATACAGTGTATTATTTCTCTCAGACCCACTAAAATGTCTAAAATTTAAAAAGAAGAGCTATAACAAATGTTGACAAGAATGTGGAGAAACTGTCACCCTCATACATTGCTAGATGAATTATAAAATGGCACAGTCACTTTGTATGTATCTATGTATTGTAGAGAAGGCTCTAGCTATGTTGCCTAGGCAGGTATCAAACTCCTGGCCTGAAGTGATCCTTCTGAAGCACTGGGATTACAGGCATGAGCCACCATGCCCAACTTACACAGTCACTTTAAAAAAACAGTTTTGGAGCTCCCAAAAATGTTAAACATAAAATTACACTAGAACTTGTAAATTAACTATTTGGTTTATGCCCAAGATAAGTGAAAACATATGTCTACATAAAAATTTATACATAAATATTCATGGCAGCATATGGCCATAAAAGTGGAAATAATTGAAGTGACCTCCATCTGATAAATGAATAAGCAAAATATAATATGTGCAAACAAAATATTATATATTCATGCAATAGAATCTTATTTGACAATAGAAAATAATGAAGTAATGATACATGCTACCACATGGATGAACCTTGAAAACATTATGCTAAGTGAAAAAAAGCTAGTCACAAAAGGACAAATACTGTATGATTCCATTTATATAAAATGCCCAGAATAGACAAATCAGTAGAGACAGAGACTGGATTAGTGGTTACTAGGGGCTGGGGGAAGGAAAGAGGGGAATTACTGCTAATGGGTATGGGTTTTTTAGGAGTGATGAAAATGTTCTGGAATTAGATAGTGCTTGTACGACTCCATGAATATATTAAAAACTCCTGAATTACACACTTTAAATAGTGAATTTTGTATGATACAGGAATTATTTCTCAAAAAAGCTATTGTAACAGAAACATAATACACTGAGTAAGTATAGGTTCTAAAAAAGTATCTCATCTACATGGCTCCTATATACAGAATTATCAGGCTGTTATATTATGAAATTAAAGACTGAATCCCTCTTAGACTTTGCTAGTATTCCAATGCAAGGTCTGGAAGCTATGTCCACCAAGGCACTAATGCTTTGAGAAGTTGAAACAAATGGTTCCTTCCAATGGACTGGCCAAGCTATCAGAAATAATATTGGGCCAGGCTCATTGGCTCACACCTATAATTCTGACATTTTGGGAGGCCAAGGTGGGAGGATTACTTGAGCCCTGGAGTTTGAGACAAGTCTTGGTAATATGGCAAAACCCCATCATGAAACACACACGAAAAATAGCTGGACTGGGGTACGCAACTGTAGTCCCAGCTACTGGGGAGGCTGAAGTAAGAGGATCACTTGAGCCCAGGAAAATTTTATTTTAAAAACCCCATAGAGTCAATTAAAAGTCTGTTCGAATTAAACACACACACCCTAGTAGCTTTTCAATGTATCAATCAGAAAATATAATTTAAAAAGAAAAAGACAAATCTCACACACTATCCATCTATCCATCCCATTAACAATAAAAGCAACGCTGTATTCCTAGGAATACAACTTACAAGGCGCATGAAGGACCTCTTCAAGGAGAACTACAAACCACTACTCAAGGAATAAGAGAGGACACGAACAAATGGAAAAACATGGATAGGAAGAATCATGAAAATGGCCATACTGCCCAAAGTAATTTACAGATTCAATGCTATTCCCATCAAGCTACCTTTGACTTTCTTCACAGAATTAGAAAAAACTACTTTAAATTTCATATGGAACCAAAAAAAAAGCCCATATATCCAAGACAATTCTAAGCAAAAATAACAAAGCTTCATGCTACCTGACTTCAAGCTATATTACAAGGCTACAGTAGCCAAAACAGCATGATACTGGTACCAAAACCAGATATATAGACCAATGGAACAGAACAGAGCCCTCAGAAATAACACCAAGCATCTACAACCATCTGATCTTTGACAAACCTGACAAAAATAAGCAATGGGGAAAGGATTCCCTATTTAATAAATGGTGTTGGGAAAACTGGCTAGCCATATGCCGAAAACTGAAACTGGATCCCTTCCTTACACCTTATACAAAAATTAACTCAAGATGGATTAAAGAGTTAAACGTAAAACCTAAAACCATAAAAACCCTTCCAGGAAACCTAGGCAATACCATTCAGGACATAGGCATATGCAAAGTCTTCATGGCTAAAACACCAAAAGCAATTACAACAAAGCCAAAATTGACAAATGGGTTCTAATTAAACTAAAGAGCTTCTGCTCAGCAAAAGAAACTACCATCAGAGTGAACAAGAAACCTACAGAATGGGAGAAAATTTTTGCAATCTATCCATCTGACGAAGGTCAAATATCCAGAATCTACAAGGAGCTTAAACAAGTTTACACGAAAAACAAACAAACAACTCCATCAAAAAGTGGGCAAAGGATATGAACAGATACTTCTCAAAATACGACATCTATCTGGCCAACAAACATGGAAAAAAAGCTCATCGTCACTGGTCATTAGAGAAATGCAAATCAAAACCACCATGAGATACCATCTCATGCCGGTTAGAATGGCGACTATTAAAAAGTCAGGAAACAAAAGATGCTGGCAAGGCTGTAGAGAAATAGGAATGTTTTTACACTGTTATTGGGAGTGCAAATTAGTTCAACCATTGTGGAAGACAGTGTGGCGATTCCTCAAAAATCTAGAACCAGAAATACCATTTGACCCAGCAATCCCATTACTGCGTATACACCCAAAGGATTATAAATCATTCTACTATAAAGACACATGCACACGTATGTTTATTGCAGCACTATTTACAATAGCAAAGTCTTAGAACCAACCCAGATGCCCATCAATGATAGACTGGATAAAGAAAATGTGGCACATATATGCCATGGAATACTATGCAGCCATAAAAAGAATGAGTTCATGTCCTTTGCAGGGATATGGATGAAGCTGGAAACCATCATCCTCAGCAAACTAACACAGGAACAGAAGACCAAACACCTCATGTCCTCACTCATAAGCGGGAGTTGGGCAATGAGAACACATGGACACGGTGGGGGACCATCACACCCTGGGGCCTGTTGGGGAGTGGAGGGCAAGGGGAGGGAGAGCAGTGGGAGAAATACCTAATACATGTGGAGCTTAAAACCTAGATGATGGGTTGATGGCTACAGGAAACCACCATGGCACATGTATACCTATGTAACAAACCTGCATGTTCTGCACATGTATCCTAGAACTCAAAGTAAAATTTAAAAAAAATAAGGTTAAAAAAATAATAATTAAAAAAAATTTATCCCAACTCTGATTAAGGACCTGTTAAGGCTGCATCTGTGTTTTTCTTATTGGCTCTACTGATAAGTTAACATACTGTTATCATAGGATGAATTATTTTAATATATTGGCTAATTCTATTGCTAATTATTCTTTTTTAGTGCACCCTATACCTATAAGTGAGAAAAAGCTATAGAAACATTTTAATGCCATCTTTGACACATGTAGATTTCAAGGTTTGCTAGCTTTGGAAAATGACCTGGGTAGCTTTCCATATTTTTCTGTGGTGGGGAATCATATATATATATGTATATATATATATGTGTGTATATATATATGTGTGTGTGTATATATGTGTATATATATATGTGTGGGTATATATATGTATTTCGTCTTAAATAATTCACTCATAATACTATTCGATGCAAGAGCCTTTGATACCATCCTTAATTTTTCCCTTGTTTGCCTTTTATTTGGGTTTCCTATTTCTTCTTAAGTTTTATATGTATATTTTTAAGAAGATTTATTTCTTTTTTTGTTTTCAAATGTGTTCACATACCAGTGTGTGTATTAGTCTCTTTTCATTTTTACTTCTCTATTTCTTTCTGTAGGTATGCCTTTTTTATTTCTAATATCACTTATTAGGTTTTATTGTTTGTTCTCTTTAATGTTCTAGAAATTTTTCTATTTTCTTTGTTTTTCTAAAGACCCAGTTTTGAAAGTATTGATTTCTACAATCATCTTTGTTATTTCCTTCAGCTACTTGCCTCAGGTTTTATAGGAATTATTCTGAATTAACTCTTGAAGTAAGTGCATTAAAGACAATCAATTTTTGTCTAAAGAACATATTGGCCATATTCTATAAGTCCTGCTATGTAATGTTTAGCTTTTTTATTTTTTAAATCAGTTTTTTAATTTTAAAAAAATTTTTATCAATTGTTATTTTGGAAAATAAAATATTTTAAGTAGTTCAAATTTTTAGTTTTGAGCATCTATCGTTAATTTATCTTTAAAGTGTACAGCTATTATTTTATTGCTTAGTTATGAAATGATTAAAATAAGCAGAAAAAATACAGAAGATAATATAATATATATTTATGTCCTCATTACTCCAAATGATAGATGTTAATTTTGCCATGCTTGCTTCAGCAATTGTTTTTATGAAATAAAATATTACAGAGAAGAGTGAATGTCCTCTTTTCTTTCCCCTATTCCAATCCCCTCCATGTTTCTCTCTCCAAAGATGACCTCTATTCTGATGATGGCTTATATCTTTCCTGTCCATATTTGTATATTTTTCTGCATAAACTATATCTTAATATTTTTATACAAGTTGAATAATAAACATTGTGAAACTTGCTCTTCACTGAACATCATATTTTGATATGTATTGGGTATATTTATTCATTTTAGATACCATATAGGATTTTGTCATTTATGTGGCCATTCATCTAGTTGTTTCCATTGCTGTAATGAATACCTTTATAATGTCTCCTTATGCATATGTGCAAAAGTCAAGGAATATACCTGAATGTGGATAGGTTTATTTTCTTTACCAAGTGTTACCAAATTGCTTTCCCAAGTGGTTTTACCAATTTATACTTCTGCCAGAAGTTTATGAAAATTCCCTCTTTCTCTACAAGCTAAAACCTGGTATTAATAGACTTGTAAATTTTGAAGTATAAAATGTGGTCATTGTTGTTTTAGTTTGAATTCCCCACATTCCTAGTGAGGTTGGACATCTTTTAATATGTTTATTTGAGTTTTCTCATCTGTGAATTACCTGTTCATATTATTTGCCCATTTTTTAATTGCGTTGTCTTCTTATTGACTTGTAGGAGTTTACAGTTTCTAGATAGGAATGCTTTTTCTTATAAGTCTTGAAATATCTTTTTCCCTTTTGTCGTCATTTTTTAACTTAGTTTACAGTGTCTTTTTTTACATACAAGTTTTTAATTTTCATGTGTCAGATTTACCAATCATTTCTCTTGTGATCTGTTCATTTTTGCTCCAGTGCTATCTAAATCCATGTTTGTATTGCTATAAAGGAATACCTAAAACTGGGTAAGTTGTTAAGAAAAAGAGCTTATTTCGCTCACAGTTTCACAGCCTGTACAAGAAGCATGGCATCAGCATCTGCTTCTGGTGAGGGCTTCAGGCTGCTTCCGCTCATAATGGAAGGTGAAGGGGAGTTGGCATGTGCAGAGACACATGGAAAGAGAGGAAGCAACGGGGTGGCAGGGATGTTCCAGGCTCTTTTTTATCTTTATTTTTATTTTATTTTTTCACCAGGCTCTTTTTTGTTCTTATGGGAACTAATAGAACAAGAATTCACACATTATCTCAAGGATAACACCAGGCCATTCATGAGGGATCCACTCCCATGACTCAAACACCTTATTAGGAATCACATTTTAATATGAGATTTGGAGGGGTCAAACAACCAAATCTTAGCAAATGACACAAAAATATTCCCCTAACTCCTTTTAAAAAATTGCGTAGAAGCTTTGCTTTTCACATGTAAGTCTTTCACCCACCTGAATCATTTTTTGTATATTGCATGAAGCAAAATGAGGGAGAAAGAATGGATAAAATCATTAGTCCTCTATACTTCCTGTCAAAGATGAGACAGCCTATGTGCCTTACCTTTGAATAGAATGTCTGATTAACCATGCTAACTCATGCCTTCAAATTTTGTGACAATTTCACCTGCTCCACTTATTTCAGGGCTTTCTAATGTAAATAAAGAAGATTTTGTTTTTCTGGAAGTTGCAATATATGGCAAAGCACTTCTTTTTTCCTATGTGATAAGTAAGATGGGAAATAGTAAATGGAAGAAAAAAATCAACTCTATCAAGGCTGTTGCTTTGCTGCAGTCAACGGGGAGCTATATTGGAACTGAAGAACTGATCAGCAAAGAAAGAATGGGAAAAAGATAAATGTGTTGTCACTTGAGTCAGATAATCGTAGTTTGACTACTATTTAACTTCAGTTTAATGTGGCTTAATTTTTTTTAAGCAATGTGAGTTTCCAGAATGAAAGTCACACTCAAGTATATATGTATAAGTACACTCCAAAAACAAGAATAAATAATTATTTCAATTTTTCCCACTTGGATAAATGGGCATTCTTCTTATCCTTTATTAGGATAGCAGTAAGTAATAATTAGTTATTTAGCAGAGCCTTCTATTTGTACATTGGTGAAAAATGGGGTTTCTACAATACCAGGAACATGCTAACACAGCTTTTTCCCATATCTGGTTATGTGAATGGATTTACTTAATAGATATTTCTTAAGTGTTTTCTATCCAGCTAAAACATATCTGAACAAGAAGGCAGAACTTGCCTGACTAAATCTGGCTGTCCAGCAAACCCTTTAGTTGTATGCAACTCCAATGCAGTAGTGTGTCTCCCTCGCACCTAAGCTAATGAGTCCTCTGAATTACCCTCTTTCTGAAGTCATTTTTGGCTTCTCATGTCACTATCCACCATGCCAGATAGTGCTACACCACTTCAGGAGCCTAGCTTGGTCAATAGAATACAGAGACAAAAAAATGCAAATACAACATCGTACCTATCGTCAACTATAATTGTACACTTAAATATTTGCTAAGAGGGTAGATCTCATGTGAAGTATTTTTACCAGAATTAAATAATTTTTAAAGGATTTATGCCCATTAGTTCTTTCACAGATTAACATAAGGACAAAACAGGAAGAAGGTGGGAGAGTGCAAATACAGCTCTCACAACAAGCCTATAATTAGGGGAAGTGAGAGTTGTGATATTATCTTTCACAGATTGCTTGAAAAATTATCATAATGAGGGAAATGTAAGTAAAGGTCAAGACTGAGGAAGGCTAAAATCATTTACATGAATGCTTTAGAAGAAGCTGACTTATTTTACATTGCCTACTTTTGGAAAGGAGTTGCTAAATAGAGTTTATTACTCTTCTAAAGTACAGTAACAGGAAGAAGAACAAACTGAGATATGAAGACAATTTTTTTTTATTATGAGCTGACTTTATTTTTTTATTTTTTTTATTATACTTTAAGTTTTAGGGTACATGTGCACATTGTGCAGGTTAGTTACATATGTATACATGTGCCATGCTGGTGCGCTGAATGGATTTCATTTCATGAAATTGACACAGGAAGTGAAAGTTGTAATCAGGCTATAATTATAGACCCTGGTAGTTTGCCTTTTAAGTGAATTCAGTTATGTAAAGGATACATGTGTTAATGATTTTTACGCTTCTGACAGATTACCAGCCTCCTAAGTTAAGGTGCTATATCTTTTTCAGTAATTATTACTATTCGTGACATCTTAAATAAAATACCTTTAGTTGATACAGACCAGTGGTAAAATTAACTAAAGACCAAACCAGAAAAATACACTGTGAGACAGCTTTAGAAAATGCCCTATTATTTACTTATAGAAGGTTTAACTTTACTTTTTTTTAGAAAAGAAATTCAGCCTTTTGTGATAACAATTTAAAGACATAATGTCATAGCACAGCATTCTGAAGAAGTGAATTTAACACAATTATATTATACAAGCTTGGGATTCATATTGATTTATTAGAATTATATGAAACCTATCCTCTGAAGAGCTCCAACATGCCCTAATTGAACTCCAAGAATTTGTCTGATAACTCTCTCTTGGGAAAATTAGATGAAAGCTTGCCCTAGGAGTGATTAAGAGATTTATGGGATTTATACACCAACATGAAAGCTCAGGATTTTAGGCTTGTAGTAATTGTTTCCAATCCTAAGTCCCAAAACTCTGACTCTACTATTGAGATATCTTAAAAGCTATTTCAAAATGTGCTTCAGGAGTCACACAATGTTGTTTAATTCAAACATGACTTTATACTTTTTTTGATGTGATTTATACTGTAACACACAAACACACAAACCAACTTGTTCAAAAGTGCTAAATACCAAATGTTAACACATTGGAGAGCATTAATGCCTGATCTTTCGCTGTCAGGCACAAATTTCAAAATAATATTTGCTTGGACATCTCTTTCCATACAATTGAACTTCTTATAAATGCAATATTAATTTTTTGAAATACATGTAGCTTTTCATACGTGGCTTTTTATTAATTATTCATGAGTGTGATATCTGTCACATTTGATTATACATTTTACATCAGCTTCTTTGTCTTGACAGTAATTTTTACAACATAAATAACATTTGTAAGGCTGTTCAGGTTGTAGTTATACCATCCTTAGTAATGAAACAAAATTTTGGACTTAATATGAAAAGCAAAATCCATTTTACTACTTGAAATTTTAAGTGACTCTATATTTTATAGACAAACATTGAAGTATACAAGATTTTTTTAAAACACCACTTACCATCACATTATAAGATACAGTTTAAAAGCATTTTCTACCAAAAGAATTGATTATATCTTTTTATCAACTTCTCTGAAATTTGAACACTTAATTATGTGAACAGTAGTTAGAAGTATTAATGAATAAATGTAGGAAAACAATCTACCATTCTTTGTGGTGTTTCAAAATCAGTTAAGTAATCCAGTACCCAAAGAATGCAAAATGAGTGTGTTAGAAAGCTATTTGCTCCTATTTAGTGAATTAAGATTTTTCTCCCTATTGTGCAAACAAAATAACATACAAAAATCAGATGAGTCTTGAAGCTGACAAAGGACTACAACTGTCATAACTACTATTATAATGACAGCTTCTGTTTTCAAATTATCAGCTTGTCAACAGTCTATTTTTAAGTAAAAACTGTAATAAATGTGAATTTACAGGTTAAAACTAATAAATTTCTAGTTTTTGGTTTATGTATGTAAGATTCTATAGAAGATAAACTTGCAAACTGAGCTCCAATGTCATTTAAAACTTTTGAAAATTACTTTATTAAAATAATGCAAAGATAAAAATCACTAGCTTTTGGCCAAGCACGGTGGTTCACGCATGTAATCCCAGCACTTTGGGAGGCCAAGACAGGTGGATCACCTGAGGTCAGGAGTTTGAGACCAGCCTAGCCCACATGGTATAACCCCATCTCTACTAAAAATACAAGAATTAGTCAGGCATGGTGGTGCACACCTGTAACCCCGGCTACTCAAGAGGTTAAGGCAGGAAAATCATCTGAACCCAGGAGGTGGAGGTTGCAGTGAGCTGAGATTGTGCCACTGCACCCCAGCCTGGGCGACAGAGGGAGACTCCATCTCAAAGAAAAAAAAAAAAGTCACTAGCTTTCAAGTTGCAAAAGTAAAATATTAAATATATTTCAACAATCATCTCTAAGTTTTGTTTGCCTTTCTTGTTTTTGAGACTCTGAAGACCTAAAATCTAATTCTTGTTTTGAAAGCTGCATCTGCCTAAAGAGCCAATTTTAGTGCTGTCCTCTGAGCAACAGATACAAAATGGTATATATCTGTTGCTTGCAAACATGCAAATCTGCAAAATAATCTTGGCAAAATACCAAGGTTATTTTGCAGATTTGCATGTTTATGCTAACACTTCAGTGGCCTCTAAGTTTCTCCCGATACTCTGCCCACTATTTGAATTCTTTATTTTGGGGGCAGATGCTGTCATCCTTTTCAGAAGGATGTCTAAGTTATAGCTGCAAGGTCTGAATAGCTAGTCTTCCCAAAGGCATGATTAAGTCAGTCACCAAATTTAACAAAATTTTCTACTCAGGCTTCCTCCAAGGTAGAATTCTCTATTAAACAAAAAAATCTAGAAATATGAAGAAATACTCTCTTTAAACAAGATGCTCAATTTTAGAGGAAAACCTAGGGTAAATACCAGGTAAAATCGGGTATTATTCTAACTCATCTTCAGCTCTTAATGTGCCTTGTTAATTTTAACCTTAGGTTTCCTTTCAAAGCTTGAGTGATTCTCTTTCCATCTGATTCTTTTTTAAGATTTTCTAGGATTTCTTTAAATAATTAAAATCTTATCCACCATGGTCAGTTGTCAAAACCACCGTTGCCTTTGTTCTTCTCAGGCCATTTGTATAGTAATCGCATCTCAATTTCAGTCAGCCTCTTTATGCTTAAAAATTATAAAGAAAAAAAAAAAGCTTATGTGGTTTCTCAAGTGACTGGCCTTCCTTATTTCTCTGATTCTTTATATGCCTCTCACCCGACAGAAAAGAAGAGATTAAAACATCAACAGGCATCACAGTAATTCTAGCTTGTGGGAGGTGCTTCTGAGACTCCTCATTTAATTGGAATGGAATCTCATTTATTCCAAGCTTGCCTGCTCCCTTCCGTCTTCTGCCCTCTGCATGCAGGTAATTGGTCTTCAGCCACAACTTGCCCTATTTGAAAGGATCTGGGCCTCTTTGCCTAGAATTTAACTTTTCAAAAAATTTAAGCCTAAAAATATAAAAATGGTTTTAATGAAAGTGTCTCCAAAAATCTCATTAATTAAAAATACCACTCATGTATGTAGAACCTGCAAATGCCAATTTTCTCCCTCTCAGTCTGACTTCCTCCCTATTTCTCTCTTTTGACCCTTACACAATGTCAGCACTCATAGGGGTCTATAGAGGTAAGTGGTCAGGGTAGATCATTGAGGCCAGGGGAAGAGAGAAAGAAATTCAGAGTGGGAATCCTGGCCAATCCCTTATTTGCTAACTCTGTATCCTAGTCATGGATTGACTCGCCCAATTCCTGGCCCCAAGTAGCCTGGCTCACCAGATCCCTGGAGTTTTATAGCCTGGTAGATGGATTCAGAAAGTTACAAGGTTATAACTCACTGTTCTGAAGTGGCTATGAGAGCCAGAGAGGCCCAAAACCCAAAAGGACCTTACCTTTCTCGAACTGAGTATTACACAGACCCTTTTGTATTTTGGCACCATGTGGTACTGTATTCTAGGTCAATTACTTTTAAGTCAATATTGTACAATTCTGATGCCAGAAAAGAATTCTGTGCTTGGCACATAGTCCCTATGATGACTTAATAAAACAAGAATTGATGGAATGAATTAGAGCTGCCTAGAAAAGGCAAGGTATTTGCCAGATCTTATTTTGGGGGTAAGTTTTTGAATCAGTAGTACAAAATAAAATAATATAAAAAGGGATTCAGAGAAAAATCTTATTCTCACCTGTGACCATCTGTACTCACTTTCCCAGCCTCTGAACAAATAAGCACTATTACTGGTTTCTTATGTACACTTCCAAAGTTTCTGCATCTGTATACTGTCAGGCCTCTGAGCCCAAGCTAAGCCATCGTATCCCCTGTGACCTGCACATATATACCCAGAAGGCCTGAAGCAAGTGAAGAATCACAAAAGAAGTGAAAATGGCCGGTTCCTGCCTTAACTGATGACATTCCACCATTGTGATTTGTTTCTGCGCCACCTTAACTGAGCGATTAATCTTGTGAAATTCCTTCTCCTGGCCCAGAAGCTCCCCCACTGAGCACCTTGTGACCCCCGCCCCTGCCTGCAAGAGAAAAACCCCCTTTGACTGTAATTTTCCACTACCGACCCAAATCCTATAAAATGGCCCCACCCCTATCTCCCTTTGCTGACTCTCTTTTCGGACTCAGCCTGCCTGCACCCAGGTGATTAAAAAGCTTTATTGCTCACACAAAGCCTGTTTGATAGTCTCTTCACACGGACGTGCATGACATTTGGTGCTATGACTCGGATCAGGGGACCTCCCTTGGGAGATCAATCCCCTGTCCTCCTGGTCTTTGCTCCATGAGAAAGATCCACCTACAATCTCTCGTTCTCAGACCAACCAGCCCAAGTAACATCTCACCAATTTTAAATCAGGTAAGCAGCCTCTTTTTACTCTCTTCTCCAACCTCTCTCACTATCCCTCAATCTCTTTCTCCTTTCAATCTTGGTGCCATCCTTCAATCTCTCCGTTCTCTTAATTTCAGTTCTTTTCCTTCTCTGGTAGAGACAGAGGAGATGCGTTTTATCCGTGAACCCAAAAGTGGCACCGGTCACAGACTCGGGAAGACAGTCTTCCCTTGGTCATTAATCACTGCGGGGACGCATGCTTGATTATTCACCCACGTTTCAGAGGTGTCTGATCACCGCGGGGACACCTCCCTTGATCCTTCACCCTTAGTGGCAAGCACCACTTTCATGGGGGGCAAGAACCCCCCACCCCTTCTCTCCACATCTCTACCCTCTCTTTTCTCTGGGCTTGCCTCCTTCACTATAGGCAACCTTCCACCCTCCATTCCTCCTTCTTCTCCCTTAGCCTGTGTTCTCAAGAACTTAAAACCTCCTCAACTCACATCTGACCTAAAACCTAAATGACTTATTTTCTTCTGCAATGCCGCTTAACCCCAATACAAACTCCACAATGGTTCCAAATAGCCAGAAAATGGCACTTTCGATTTTTCCATCCTACAAGATCTAGATAATTCTTGTCGTAAAATGGGCAAATGGTCTGAGGTGCCTGACGTCCAGGCATTCTTTTACACATCAGTCCCTCCCTAGTCTCTGTTCCCAATGCGAATGATCCCAAAACCTCCTTCTTTCCCTCCCGCCTGTCCCCTCAGTCCCAACCCCAAGCATCGCTGAGTCTTTTCAATCTTCCTTTTCTACCGACCCATCTGACTTCTCCCCTCCTCCCCAGACTGCTCCTCCTCAGGTGACTCCCTGCCAGGCTGAATCAGGCTCCAATTCTTCCTCTGCCTCCGCTCCCCCACCCTATAATCCTTCTATCACCTCCACTTCTCACACCTGGTCTGGCTTACAGTTTCATTCTGCAACTAGCCCTTCCCAACCTGCCCAACAATTTCCTCTTAAAGAGGTGGCTGGAGCTAAAGGCATAGTCAAGGTTAATGCTTCTTTTTCTTTATCCAACCTCTCCCAAATCAGTTAGCGTTTAGGCTCTTTTTCATTAAATATAAAAACCCAGCCCAGTTCATGGCTCATTTGGCAGCAACCCTGAGATGCTTTACAACCCTAGACCCTGAAGGGTCAGAAGGCTGTTTTATTTTCAATACGCATTTTATTACCCAATCCACTCCCGACATTAAATAAAGCTCCAAAAATTAGATTCTGGCCCTCAAACCCCACAACAGGATTTAATTAACCTCTCTTTCAAGGTGTACAATAATAGAGTAGAGGCAGCCAAGTAGCAACATATTTCTGAGTTGCAATTCCTTGCCTCCACTGTGAGAAAAACCCCAGCCACATCTCCAGCACACAAGAACTTCAAAATGCCTAAACCACAGTGGTCAAGCATTCCTTCAGGACCTCCTCCCCCAGGATCTTACTTCAGTGCTGGAAATCTGGCCATTGGGCCAAGGAATGCCCACAGCCTGGGATTCTTCCTAAGCCATGTCCCATCTGTGCAGGACCCCACTGGAAATCGGACTGTCCAACTCACCCTGCAGCCACTACCAGAGCTCCTGGAACTCTGGCCCAAGGCTCTCTGACTGACTCCTTCCCAGATCTTCTCGGCTTAGTGGCTGAAGGCTGATGCTGCCCCATCACCTCGGAAGCCTCCTGGACCATCACAGACACTTTCAGTAACTCTTACAGTGGAAGGTAAGTCCGTCCCCTTCGTAATCAATACAGAGGCTACCCACTCCACATTACCTTCTTTTCAAGGGCCTGTTTCCCTTGCCTCCATAACTGTTGTGAGTATTGACAGCCAGGCTTTTAAACCTCTTAAAACTCCCCAACTGTGGTGCCAACTTGGACAACATTCTTTTATGCACTCTTTTTAAATTATCCCCACCTGCCCAGTTCCCTTATTAGGTTGAGACATTTTAACTAAATTATCTGCTTCCCTGACTATTCCTAGGCTACAGTCACACCTCATTGCTGCCCTTTTCCCCAGTTCAAAGCCTCCTTCGCATTCTCCCCTTGTATCTCCCTACCTTAATACACAGGTATGGGACACCTCTACTCCCTCCTTGGCAACCGATCATGTACCCCTTACCATCCCTTTAAAACCTAATCACCCTTACCCCGTTCAATGCCAATATCCCATCCCACAGCACACTTTAAAAGGATTAAAGCCTGTTATCACTCACCTGTTACAGCATGGCCTTTTAAAGCCTATAAACTCTCCTTACAATTCCCCATTTTAGCTGTCCAAAAACTGTACAAGTCTTGCAAGTTAGTTCAGGATCTGCACCTTATCAACCAAATTATTTTGCTTATCCACCCCGTAGTGCCAAACCCATATATTCTCCTATCCTCAATACCTCCCTCCACAACCAATTATTCTGTTCTGGATCTCAAACATGCTTTCTTTACTATTCCTTTGCACCCTTCATCCCAGCCTCTCTTTGATTTCACTTGGACTGACCCTGATACCCATCAGCCTCAGCAACTTACCTGGGCTGTACTGCCACAAGGCTTCGCAGACAGCCCCCATTACTTCAGTCAAGCCTAATCCATTACCTATCTCGGCATAATTCTTCACAAAAACACACGTGCTCTTCCTGCCAATCATGTCCGACTGATCTCTGAAACCCCAACCCCTTCTACAAAACAACAACTCCTTTCCTTCCTGGGCATGGTTGGGTGCTTTTGCCTTTAGATACCTGGTTTTGCCATCCTAACAAAAACGTTATAAAAACCCACAAAAGGAAACCTAGCTGACCCCGTAGATCCTAAATCCTTTCCCCACTCCTCTTTCTGTTCCTTGAAGACAGCTTTAGAGACTACTCCCACACTAGCTCTCCCTAACTCATTCCAACCCTTTTTCATTACACACAGCTGAAGTGCAGGGCTGTGTGGTCAAAATTCTTACACAAGAGCCGGACCACACCCTGTAGCCTTTTTGTTCAAACAATTTGACCTTACTGTTTTAGGCTGGCCATCATGTCTCCGCGCGGTGGCTGCCACTGCCCTAATACTTTTAGAGGCCCTCAAAATCACAAACTATGCTCAACTCACTCTCTACAGTTCTCATAACTTCCAAAATCTATTTTCTTCCTCACATCTGACACATATACTTTCTGACCCCTCCACTACCTCTCAACAAGCCGAACTCATTGCCTTAACTTGAGCCCTCACTCTTGCAAAAGGACTACACATCAATATTTATACTGACCCTAAATATGCCTTCCATATCCTGCACCACCATGCTGTTATATAGGCAGAAAGAGGTTTCCTCACTATGCAAGGGTCCTCCATCATCAATGCCTCTTTAATAAAAACTCTTCTCAAGGCTGCTTTACTTCCAAAGGAAGTTGGAGTCATTCACTGGAAGAGCCATCAAAAGGCATCAGATCCCATTGCTCAGGGCAATACTTATGCTGATAAGGTAGCTAAAGAAGCAGCTAGCTTTCCAACTTCTGTCCCTCACGACCAGTTTTTCTCCTTCTCATCAGTCACTCCCACCTACTCCCCCACTGAAACTTCCACCTATCAATCTCTTCCCATACAAGGCAAATAGTTCTTAGACCAAGGAAAATATCTCCTTCCAGCCTCACAGGCCCATTCTATTCTGTTGTCATTTCATAGCCTCTTCCATGTAGGTTACAAGCCACTAGCCCATCTCTTAGAACCTCTCATTTCCTTTCCATCGTGGAAATCTATCCTCAAGGAAATCACTTCTCAGTGTTCCATCTGCTATTCTACTCCTCCTCGGGGATTGTTCAGGCCCCCTCCCTTCCCTATACATCAAGCTCAGGGATTTGCCCCTGCCTAGGACTGGCAAATTAATTTTACTCACATGCCCTGAGTCAGGAAACTAAAATGCCTCTTGGTCTGGGTAGAAACTTTCACTGGATGGGTAGAGGCCTTTCCCACAGGGTCTGAGAAGGCCACCACGGTCATTTCTTCCCTTCTGTCAGAAATAATTCCTCAGTTTGGCCTTCCCACCTCTATACAGTCCAATAACGGACAGGCCTTTACTAGTCAAATCACCCAAGCAGTTTTTCAGGCTCTTGGTATTCAGTGGAACCTTCAGACCCCTTACGGTCCTCAGTCTTCAGGAAAGGTAAAATGGACTAATGGTCTTTTAAAAACACACCTCACCAAGTTCAGTTTCCAACTTAGAAAGGACTGGACAATACTTTTACCACTTGCCCTTCTCAGAACTTGGGTCTGCCCTCAGGATGCTACGAGGGTACAGCGCATTTGAGCTCCTGTATGGACACTCCTCTTTTTTAGGCCCCAGTCTCATTCCAGACACCAGCCCAACTTGGACTGCACCCCAAAAACTTGTCATCCCTACTGTCTTCTGTCTAGTCATACTCCTATTCACTGTTCTCAACTACTCATAAATGTCCTGCTCTTGTTTACACTGCCTGTTTACACTGTTTCTCCAAGCCATCACAGCTAATATCGCCTGGTGCTATTCCTAAACTGCCACTCTTAAAGTGGATAGATGATCTTTGCTGACAGGGTACACTCCAATACTTTCATCCAATGAAGTCCTATTCTTTACTTTTATACTCACTCTTATTCTCATTCCCATTCTTATGCCACCCTCTACCTCTCCCCAGCTGTCTCCACCACACTATCAATCTCACTCACTGTCTCCTAGCTGTTTCTAATCCTTCTTTAAAAAACAATTGCTGGCTTTGCATTTCTCTTTCCTCCAAAATCGCCAAAGCCTCAACTTACTCACTGCTAAAAAAAGGGGACTCTGTAGATTTTTAAATGAAAAGTGTTGTTTTACCTAAATCAGTCTGGCCTGGTATATGACAACATAAAAAAAACTCAAGGATAGAGCCCAAAAACTTGCCAACCAAGCAAGTAATTACACTGAACCCCCTTGGGCACTCTCTAATTGGGTGTCCTGGGTCCTCTCAATTCTTAGTCCTTTAATACCTGTTTTTCTCCTTCTCTTATTCAGACCTTGTGTCTTTCATTTAGTCTCTCAATTCATCCAAAACTGTATCCAGGCCATCACCAATCATTCTAAATGACAAATGCTCCTTCTAATAACCCCACAATATCACCCCTTACCACAAAATCTTCCTTCAGCTTAATCTCTCCCACTCTAGGTTCCCATGTCGCCCCTAATCCCGCTTGAAGCAACCCTGAGAAACATCACCCTTTCTCTCTCTATACCACCCCCCAAAAATTTTCACTGCCCCAACACTTCAATACTATTTTATGTTATTTTTCTTATTAATATAAGAAGACAGGAATGTCAGGCCTCTGAGCCCAAGCTCAGCCATCGTATCCCCTGTGACCTGCACATATACATCCAGATGGCCTGAAGCAAGTGAAGAATCATAAAAGAAGTGAAAATTGCCAGTTCCTGCCTTATCTCATGACATTCCACCATTGTGATTTATTTTTGCCCCAACTTAACTGAGCGATTATTCTTGTGAAATTCCTTCTTCTGGCTCAGAAGCTCCCCCACTGATCACCTTGTGACCCTCGCCCCTGCCTGAAAGAGAAAAACCTTCTTTGACTGTAATTTTCCATTACCCACCCAAATCCTATAAAATGGCCCCAACCCTATCTCCCTTTGCTGACTCTCTTTTCAGACTCAGCCCGCCTGCACCCAGGTGATTAGAAAGCTTTATTGCTCACAGAAAGCCTGTTTGATGGTCTCTTCACACAGACGCACGTGACATATACAAGCAACTATAAATATGTATTCTTAATGTCCTCCTTTTTATACACAAGGTGGCATACTAAGACAATATTTTACACTTTGCTGTTTTCACTCCATAACATATCTAGGAGTTCTTCCTATGTCAATACATACGAAACTCTCATTTTTTTTTTGATAGCAGCATAGCATTCCATTATATGAATCAAACATGGTTTATCAACTAACTGGTCCCTACAAATGACATTTAAAGTGTTTCTTTTTTTTTTTTTTTTTTTTTTTTTTTTTGCTATTTCAAATATTGCTTTGGTGTAGTTTATAGTTTGGTATAGTTTATATGTTTAGTACGAGTGAACTGTTGACCCATAATTTAAGGTCTTCTACTCCTTGATTCCAACCTATTTTGTGCTCCTTCCTACCCCAAGTTTGACTTCTCATCATTTCCTCTAAACAACTCCATATTTTGACTTAGCTTATGTTGCTTTTAGCCATGAAAAAATTGTTAAAATCATTATATATACCTTTGGTTTTATGGCTTCTGAGCTTCTAAGATCATAAAGGAATATTCTTATTTATTCTTCTAATGTTTTTATGATTTCACTTTTTACATTGATATTTTTGATCCACTTGGAGTTTATTCTGTAGATTGGAATTCTGTATTCTATAGATACAGTTTTTTTTCTAGATAGCTAGCCAGTTGTCCCAGTACCATTTAGTGACTAATTCATATTTTTTTCCATTGACCTAAGATGGCTTCTTTATAATATGGCATGTGTTTTGGTCTATTTCTGCACTGTCCTGTTCCATTGGATTCCCTGTCTAGTCTTGAACTGCTACTATAGTGTTTAAGCTATTGAAACACTTAGGTGTAATTTGCTATCTGATGGGGCTAGTCCCATCTATCAGCTTTCCTTTTTTAGAATTTTTATTTTTGAATATTCTCATTTATTTTTTCATACAAATTTTTATGTAGTTTTTCCAGTAAAAATGAAAGAAAACAATATTTTATTGACATAATAACATATTAAATTTTGAATTAACATAGGAAAATTGATGTCTTTCTATTTAGTCTTCTTGATCTAAGAACATAATAGTACATATTTCCATTAATTTGATTCTTTTTTTAGTCTGTTGACAGCATTTTGAAGTGTTCTTCATCTAAATCTTGCATGTTTCATAAGTTCATTTCCTTTTATCTTTTCGGCTGCTACTGTAAACAGGAATTTTCCTTCTATTATATCTTTTGTATTTTTTTTTCATCTCTAGACTTTCAAGTCATAATACAATTGATTATTTTCAGGTTTTCAGGAATGAAAGAAGAAATAGATAACCTGCAACACATTTCCGCATTTATGGTGGAAACAGGCTTTTACAATAGTGTAAAATCTGAGGCATCACCTCATAGAAAATATCAAATCTTAATCAGAAGTCCTTACATAGGAGTTGGTAAAAGGAACCACTTCGGTAGTTGGATTCATCAATTCTCAGACCTTTCCCACAACCCACATCATACCAGTAACATTATCCTTCCTGCTGCTAAATGTATCCAACTATTGCAAACTGACTTTTCTCAGAATTCACTGGTAGCAATTAAGGATGTTTCTGTTTAATATTTAATTTTAAGACTTATTTTTACTTAAGGTATAGTTTATATGTTTAGTACGAGTAAACTATTGACCCATAATTTAAGGTCTTCTACTCCTTGACTCCAACCTACTTTGTCCTCCTTCCTACCCCAAGTTTGACTTCTCATCATTTCTCTAAACACCTTCATCTGAAATGCATCCCCCAACTTCATCTCCACCAACCAAAATTTGATCTGTAACTCGAAGCCCAGCTAAAATTGTTCTACCTCTCATAGTTCTAATTGACTAGCTCTTTCACATTCCTAATTAAAACTGACCCTTCTCTTTCTCTCTCTCTCTCTCTCTCTCTCTCTCTGAATGTCCATGCCATTTTACCTGTAGGTTTCTCTGGTAGGAAGAATGCTCCTGAAAGATGTCCACATCTTAATCCTTGAGGCCTATGAGCATATTATGCTGCATGGTAAATGGCTACAGACCTAAGATGGAAGGAATATCTTGGGTTATGCAGGTTGGCCGAATTTAATCATATAAGCCCTTAAAAGCAGAGAACTTTCTCAAGCTGGTGTCAGGGATATGTGGCAGAACATGAAGTCAGAGAGACGGGAAGCATGAGAGCTCTCCCTGCCATTGCGGGTCTGAAGGTGGAGCCAGTCACATAAAAAGCATGAGAGGGAAATGAGTTCTGCAAGTAAGCAAGAAGCTCCTAAGAGGACCCTGAGTGCCAGGGGAGAACTGCAGCCCCCACTGATACCTCGATTTTGACTTATTTTATTTTATTTTATTTTACTTTATTTTATTTTTTGAGGCAGGGTCTTACTCTGTTGCCCAGGTTGGAGTAGAGTGGCACAATCACAGCTCACTGCAGCCATGACTTCCTGGGCTCAACCAATCCTTCCTTCTCAGCCCTCAGTAGCTGCAACTACAGGCATGTGTCACTGCACCCAGCTAACTTTTAAACATTTTTTTTTTTGTAGATACATGGTCTCCCTATGTTGCCCCAGCTGGTCTTGAACTCCTGGGATCAAGCAATCCTCCTGCCTTGGCCTTCCAAAGTGCTGGGATTACAGGCATGAGCCACTGCACCTGGCCTATGACTAATATTTATAGTACACAAAATCCCAATATAATGGAATCAGGTTCAAGTGGTTCAGATTACTAGAAATCACAGTGAGAATTGGAGGTAAAGCTGACACAGATTCTCTGAACAGAACTAGCAAGTGAGAAAAATGATAGGGCACACTGGCAAATCAAGAAGTAGAATTGAGTTAATGGTGATGGCATCAAAATAGATAGAAACCTTTATATAAGCATGCATTAAGCCCTTCAAAGAACTGAAGAGGGTGTGTGTGTGTGTGCACACATATGTGTGTGTATGTGTGTGTGCATGTGTGTCTGTATAAGATGCGGGTGTTTGGGGGCAGTTTCGTCATGACTAAGACCATTGGGACATCTGCAGTCAAAGAAGGTAAAGGGAATCCAAAGTCTGGTACTTGATTGTAGAACAAAAAAACTGTGATGAACTCAAGCACGTATCAGTTCACCCTTTCTTCCAATTTGCAAGACACGGAGCCTATAATCAATCACTATTTTTAGAGAAAGTAATGATTAGATGGAAAGGAATCAGCAGAAAGCACATGGTTTACAGAATTGTTTCTCACAGAGGTTATTGTAACCAGAGCAACACATTGTCTTCATTATGGGTCATAAAAAAATTGCTCATTTCCCTAGACTTTTTTTGCTGTGATGCAACATTATTTATATTTTACAAGTTGACGTAAATGGTATCTTGATGAGCATTTTTGGAAAGAGTTGCTCCTTGATTAAGAAATGCTAAGCTTTCTCTGATTGATTCTAAATTATGCTATACTTTTTTTTTTTTGGCAAATGTCTATTGTTATAAATCTGGCCATTAGATATTTCTAGGAACATCAGTATCAAGTGAGAAGCCACTGTATCTCTCTAGGGTCTGTGAGCCTCTGAAGTTAAATACTTGGGAGTATAAGTGCATATTTCTGTAAAAAAAATAAAAATAAAAATAAAAATAAAAAGAGGCCATAGTGTCATCAGATGTTCAAAAGAGTCTGGAACTAAGTTTTTTTTTAAATTAGGAAACCCTTTGCTCTGAATGTACAAGCTTAGTTATTTATTTCAGGTTGTAACCTTGCCTTGGCCCAGTGTATTTTCCATTAATCTCCAGAAGTGCTTTAGATTCATGAGAGTAGACCCCCCACGCTCAACCCTGTGTGACAGGAAGGAGCCCAATTAAATAAATACACGTTTTTGAAATAATTATGTTGTGACTGGTGAGGATCAAATAATTAATTCATCTTCTTTTTTAAACTTTTAGCGAACATTTCACAATGATGCTCTTTCCACCTTTGTAAAATAGGGAGATGTCATTTGTAGTAGGCACAATGGTTAGCCCACATGAGTGAGACTTAGTATAGATTTTAAAATACTGAGGTTCAGCCATAACAATAAAGTGGTTCTCAGAGTGACAAACAACATGTGCTTAAAATCTTTCAGTGGTGCCCCCAAATTCCTAGAATAAATCCCAAATTCCTTCAGTAGCTTTGTAATCTAACCCCAAGTGTACAGGTTTATCTTTTAATATTACAGAGTTTCTTAGCTTAAGCATTACTGACCTTGAGAGCTGGTCTTTGTTGTGGAGGCTGTCCTGTGCACTGGCGGATGTTTAGCAGCTTCCCTGACCTCTACCCACTACAAGCTAATAGCAGCCCCCTCTGCCACTTGTGACACCAAAAGTGTTGCCAGAAATTGACAAATGTTCCCTGGGGCCAAAGTCTGCCTTGATTAAGAACCACTCATTTATAGTCCTTCATTCTCTCAACTCATCTCCACCATGATGAACTTCCTTCCATTTCGGAATGCACATTTCTTTCTCCTCTGTACCTTTGTACCTCTGTACCTTTTATGTATGCACCACACTTCCCACTCTGTTATGCCTAGCAAACTCCTCCGTCTTATCTTCAGGACTCAGCTTAGCAGCCTGGGTTAGATAGGTACAGCTTCCACCTGCATTTCCTCTTTCACAGCCTAGCTCTGTTGTATGATTTAGTTGAAGGTTTATCTGTACCTCCTATTAAACCATAAGTGGCAAGAGATCAAGATCATTACTGAGGTCTTCACTGCTGTATTGCATTGCCTGGCACATATTAGGAGCACAATAAAGAGTTGCTGAATAAACTAACATTTGAGCCCCACAAAGATAAGTCAACACTACTATAGTGTTACTTTTTTAAAAAATTGCATTTCCTTGTACAGTTATTAAACATTAAGAGTTCAAAAATAACCTTGGGAAAAAACTGGTACAACGTGTGTTTAACACAAATCACTGTTTCAACTTAATTCTTTCCATGCATTTGACCTTTACAAGTCTTTTTAGCTTAATTTATTTTAGATTTAAAACCTGTATTTTATCACAATTTGGCAGATTTTTGTTTGCTGTCTATTAGCATGGTAAAGGTCACATCATTAGATGAAGTCTGGTGGCAGAAAAAACAGTAATTCGCCAATGGGAAACACAGAAAAACTGGCTTCATTTTTTATGTTGTACTGTAACTTTTATCTTGGGGTTGATTTAAAATGTTATTATTCAACACTGAAAATTATATCTGAAATGAATTCTGTAAAGTACACAAAAGAGAAAAATTGCCTAGATGCTAAATCTAAAACCATGGTTATGTTACACAATTAAATATTAGAAAGTGCTTAAAATATCTTGGCTAACAAAGGGACTTAAAGATCTGTTAAATAAAAACTACTAAAGCATACAGACACCCTAGACTATGTGTTTCTCTTTGGTTCTTATCACTTAACTTTTTTTAATGATAAAAGAAAATAATTTCTGACAATACTTATATGTCAGCCAGATAATTATTTGATGTGTACTCAGTTGGATATAAAATACAGTCCATTGTTGATAGTGTTATATAGGACCCAGGGCAATGTTCACAGTAATTATCTAGGCACTGTTTCTCATTTCAAGGATTTTCAATACAACATAAAGCAAGGTAACTTGTCAAAATGATTTACTGAGTGTCCATTCTATGCAAACACTAGAGTTGATAACAAGAAGTAACTGAGACACAGCACTTGCCTCGAGAAACCACCAGTCTGGCAAAGGACAAAAGACATGTACACAAAGGACTATACTTTTGTAAAGAAAGCCCCATGCATTAATATAAACAGAATGCTATATGTCTTCAAAGACAAGAGAGATATCTGTGTGTGGGGGTGGGTGGGTGTGTAATGGGGTTGTCTCCAAAAGCAGGGCATTCAAGATAAATTAATTTGCTTAAAAACAGAATTTACATAGACATTTTTTTCCTACTTTTGCATTAGGTTCAGGGGGTACATGTGCCGGTTTGTTATATGGGTAAATTGCTTGGTGTTTGAATGATCTTGTCACTAAGATAATGAGCATAGTAACTGATAGGTAGCCTTCTGACCCATGCCCTCCCTCCCACCTCCCCCCTCAAGTAGGCCCCATTGTTGATTGTTCCCATCTTTGTGTATGTAAGACATATTTTGATAACAATAAGCAGAGTATGGAAGTATTTGGAGGTAAGGGCTAGAATGGTTGGTGACTTACATATCACAGTGAAGAACATGTTTCCACCTTGGCTGAAAGGAGCCATATTTCAACACTTTTTGTCTCTACCCACTAGTGTTCAGTAAAATGCTTGTACCTCCTTTGGTAACGGTGGTGGTAGTAGAGCATGTGCGAGGCAAGACAAGGGAGGAAGGAAGACAGAGAGGAGGAAAAGAAGGGAAGGGGAGAGGAAGGGAAAGAAAAGGGGTCCATTATTGATAGTGTTGTGTAGGACCAAGGGCATTGTTCACAGTAATTATCTAGGCACTATTTCTCATTTTAAAGGATATTCAATATAATGTAAAGCAAGGTAACCTGTCAAAATGATTTACTCTATGCAAATGCTATGCAAATGCTAGCATTGATAACAAGAAGTAACTGAGACACAGCACTTGCCTGGAGAATATATATAGGGGACTGTATTAGATTCACTACTAAGGAGCCACTGAAGATTTTAAAATCAGAATACTATAATTTCAGCTCTACTGTATAATCATCTGACCATGGGCATAGAATATACTGTGAGAAAAGAGGCATGTGGTAAGTTACCAGCTGAAACTACCTAGATAAGAGACATTGAGGCCCTGACTCTGGGGTTAACCATGGGGATAAAAAGGAAGAGATCAGTGAGATATTTCCTAAGGAGGATTTCAGGGACATGATAAGCACTGAATTAGGTGCAAGCAAGAAAGACTTGATACCACTCTGAAGTTTCATGACTAAACAACTTAGCAATTAAAGAAGCTATTAATAGAAATGGAGAAGGGAAGAAAAGGAAACGTTCAGTTCTCAGAAGGTAGAACTGTCACATGCTTGCAGGCCTCTGGGCAGAGATAATTTCTCTTGGGCCTCAGAAGAAAGCCTCAGTCAAGGTTATGCCTTTGAGAGACTCTAGCATGGAGGAGAAGACAGAGAAGCCACTGGCATGGATGAGATGGTCTACTGAGTGGGGAAAGGAGATAGACTAAGGGCATTTGGTTAGACCTATATTTAGAATATCTAAATGATAAGGAGAAAATCAACCAAGGTCATGGTCTGTGAGAAAATTCAAGGCAGGCGATGTAAAAGAGAATACAGGGAAAGCAAAACTCCCCTCTCCCTAAGAGTGAGCTGCACTTAGTGACTTGCTTCCAAAGAGGACAGTATAAAAAAAGGAAGGGAGGCCAGGCATGGTGGCTCAGGCCTGGAATCCCAGCACTTTGGGAGGCCGAGGTGGGCGAATCACTCGGTCAAGAGATCGAGACCATCCTGGCCAACATGGTGAAACCCCATCTCTACTAAAGCTACAAAAAAAAAAAAAAAAAAAAAATCATCTGGGCGTGGTGGTGTGTGCCTGTAATCCCAGCTACTCAGGAGGCTGAGGCAGGAGAATTGCTTGAACCTGGGAGGTGGAGGCTGCAGTGAGCCAAGATTGCGCCACTGCACTCCAGCCTGGCTACAGAGCAAGACGCCGTCTCACAAAAAAAGTGGGGGCGGGGGAGGGGAAAGAGGAGCTTGACAGAACAGTAACCTGGCAAACACTGCCTCAGCCAGGTAGGGGCAAGTCTTTTAATCTTCCAGCAAGTCTGTCCTTATCTGTAATGATAATAATAATACTACCTACCCCATAGGGTTGTTGTAAAACTTAGATGAATTCATGCTTTAAGGTCTTAAAATAGCATCTGGCACATGGTGTTCAGTAAATGTTAGATATTAGGTTGGTTGGTTTGTTTGTTTTTGAGACGGAGTGTCGCTCTGTCGCCCAGGCTGGAGTGCAGTGGTGCAATCTCAGCTCACTGCAAGCTCCGCCTCCTGGGTTTACGCCATTCTTCTGCTTCAGCCTCCCCATTAGCTGGGACTACAGGCACCCTCCCACCACGCCCGGCTAATATTTTGTATTTTTAGTAGAGACGGGGTTTCACCTTGTTAGCCAGGATGGTCTCGATCAACTGACCTCATGATTCGCCCGCCTCAGCCTCCCAAAGTGCTGGGATTACAGGCATGAGCCACGGCGCCCAGCCAGATATTCATTCTTTTTTTTTTTTTTTTTTTTTTTTTTTTTTTTTTTTTTTGAGACGGAGTCTCGTTCTGTCGCCCAGGCTGGAGTGCAGTGGCGCAATCTCGGCTCACTGCAAGCTCCTCCTCCTGGGTTCACGCCATTCTCCTGCCTCAGCCTCCGAAGTAGCTGGGACTACAGGCGCCCACCACCACGCCCGGCTAATATTTTGTATTTTTAGTAGAGATGGGGTTTCGCCATTTTAGCCAGAATGGTCTCGATCTCCTGACCTCGTGATCCGCCCGCCTCGGCCTCCCAAAATGCTGGGATTACAGGCATGAGCCACCGCGCCCGGCCTATTCATTCTTACATGTTTCAGGCATGAACTGAATGAAGCAAATCAGGATGTGTAGTTTGTAAATGACATCAGACTAATGTGAATTAACAATGCTCTGAATAACAGTAATACATTTTAAAATTTTCTTAATTTCTTTCCACAAATATTGTCATTGTTTTTTACAGCTAGGGTCTCACTCTGTCACGCAAGCTGGAGTGCAGTGGTGTGATCATAGCTCACTGCAGCCTTAAACTCCTGGGCTTAACTGATCATCCTGCCTCAGCCTCTAGAAAAGCTAGGATTACAGGTGCATGCCATCATACCTGGATACTTATTAAAAAAAAACTTTTTTAAGAGAGGGTCTCACGATGTTGCCCAGGCTGGTCTCAAACTCCTGGCCTCAAATGATCCTCCCTCTTCAGCCTCCCAAAACACTAAGATTACAGGCATGAGCCACTGTGCCCAGCCTCACAAACATTTTTGACACCCAACTATGTGACGAGGTGCTAGAAGTTGTAAGCAGAGATAGGAGTAGGTCATAGTCACTACCCACAAAGTGGTCTTTATCACTGTCCTTAGATGTCACAGAAATGGACTCATAAACTAACAAGGGGTAAGATAGAGGATCCATACGGTGTACTATGGGAGCACAAAGGGATGGTGCTTAGACGGGGGAGAATATGGGGAAGGCTTCCTAAATACAGTGACCTTTGAAGTTTGCCTTAAATGACAAGCACAAGTACCCAGGTAGAGAAGAGGAAGGAGGATGCTTAGGTATTCAGGCATGAAAAAGCATAACAGGTTTGCAGGAATGTGAGTCATTTCTTGTGGCTGGAACTTAGAGTGTTGTGTGGAACTTGGTGGGCAAAGGCACTAGAAACTATGAAAAGAAAAGATTGCCTATAAAAATAAAATGAAATGCAATAGGAACAAGTGTAGAATACACTTGCTTTTAGGGAAAAATTAAAGGAAGTAGAAGTGCTAAAAGTTAGCTAGAGAAGAAAAAATATATAAGTGAATAGAAATTCATACAGTCGTCTCATAAACAGGAAAGACCAAAATGATACCAGGCTTTATTAAAAGACATAAAAATACTGATGAGCTCTCCTTCTGTGGTCTATGATATTTGGCATGTGGTCTAAGAATTTCTCAGAATTCTTACCCTGTTAAACACTCAGTTTAAGATTAGCACACTTTTCAATCAATTTGGAGACGATCCAGCACGAGTGGGAAATTATTCAAAGGTGTCAAATATAGGAAAAGAACAAAGAAATGGCATAGTTATCCTTTTCAATTATGTGAAGGGGTCATAGAAAAGATATGCTTATTAGATATTCTCCATGTCCACAAAGTCATCAATGAGAGGAAGCAGTCTTTTTGTCAAGGAGACCAGAATGTCACGCACATAGAGGGGACTTGGGTTCCAGGTGACGAGGCTTAGGAATGGACTGCTAGGGCATGACTATGCACTGGCCTTCCCCAGAGACCTTCAGCAGGAGAGGGCAACCCTCTTTCTCCTAATTAGATATTAATTTACCTGAAGACTTTGAGCACCTCTCTCAAAGACTATACAAAGAGCCATGATTTGCTGATCAAAGACCAAAATACAATTTCAAAATCATGCCTTTGTCACTAATGTAAAATCTAGTAAGATATAGAAAAAGTAGTAGAAACTTTATCATCCAATTTTAAATGAATATTGGGCAACTGCTATATAATTGCAACAAAAAGGTTTGAAAGGCATCTCTGAAACAAAGTTCACAGCGGGAAAAAGTGAGAAGCCATTAACCAGAATTCTTCACATATTTTACTCAATTTTTTAACATTTTCTAACTCTAAACAATTCCAATTAGAGTAAGTTTGATTCTGCACTAAGTATTTCTGAAATAGAGATATTTAATAAAATTCCCTGTTCTATTCATGCAGCTAGAATGGCTTCATTTTAGCCTGACCTCCTGGCACAGAAAGAACCTAGATTACATATATATACTTCTAAGTTAGAAAAAAATTAAAGATTGTTTTAAAAACCTCTTCAGGATATATAGTACATTCTGCAAATACGAGACATTCATTTGCCAATGAGCTTTCCATCTGCTACCAAATTAGTTATGAATTATAATCACTAGAGTTATATCCAATTCTACCAAAAAGCTAATTGTAGAATTTCAATATGTTTAGGCCCTGAAAGAGGAGAATGATAACCTAGATGAACTAAAATAACCAAGAAGGGATACCTATCACAGAGTTGTTGACAAAGTTTTATTTCCTAATTAAAACAAGCATCTCAAATGCTCTTGAGATTCCACAATATAGTTACTCAAACAAAAGATTTAAAGTGATACTAAGATCTAACTTGAAAAGAGCTATTAGAGTATTCATGCACACTAACTTGCATTTTCTCAGAATTCTTACCCTGTAATGTGATGAAAACACAGCATTTTTTTCTAACCTAGATAGAAAGCGCCTGCTAGAAGGACCCAAATTCAATCTATACAATTTCAGGTTCACACCATCCTGGAGATAGTGGAGAAACTGTTTTGTTTCTGTTTTTGTTTTAAGCTACCATCTAACATGGTGATAAAAATATAACCACAAAATACGTTACTTTCTCTACTTAGATGTATGCATAAGAAGTTCAAAGTAAGTTTTTGATTTTTTTGTTTAGTTTTTGTTTTTCATTTCTTGTTTTTTTGTTTGTTTGTTTGTTTGTTTGTTTTTTGAGACAGAGTCTCTCTCTGTCACCGGGCTGGAGTGCAGTGGCACCATCTCGGTTCACTGCAACCTCCGCCTCCCGGGTTCAAGCAATTCTGCCTCAGCCTCCTGAGAAGCTGGGACTACAGGCGCACACCACCATGCCCAGCTAATTTTTGTATTTTTAGTAGAGGTGGGGTTTCAGCATGTTGGCCAGGATGGTCTCAATCTCTTAACCTCGTGATCTGCCCACCTCAGCCTCCCAAAGTGCTGAGAATTACAGGTGTGAGCCACCACACTCGGCCTAGTATTTTTTTTAATAAAAGATAAATGTACTCTTTTCTTACTGTGGTCTCCTGAAAGAACTTGTTGAAGGTTCTGCAGCCTTCTGGCAGTGACAGACTGTATAAAATTAAAAAGCAATGAAATTTGAAGGGGTGGGGGTGGGAGGGGATAAAATGGATAAAAAGCTAAAAGTGAGATAAAAGTTCTATATTTATTTTTTAAAAACAAGGCCAGGCATGGTGGCTCACACCTGTAATCCCAGCACTTTGGGAGACCGAAGTGGGAGGATCACGTGAGCCCAGGAGCTTGAGACCAGCCTGGGCAACATGGTGAAACCCATCTCTACAAAAAATACAAAAAGTTAGTTGGGTGTGGTGCTGTTTGCCTGTAGTCTCAGCTAATAGGGAGGCTGAGGTGGGAGGATCACCTGAACCCAGGAGGTCAAGGCTACAGTAACTGTGATCCCGCCACTGCACTGCAGTGACAGTGAAATCCTGTCTAAAAAAAAAAAAAAAAAAAAAAAAAACAGATTAGTATGTCAGTACACCACATTTTCTTCATTAAATTTGAAGGAAAGGAAAGATGATAAAATTGATATGGAAATAAATTTATTCACTTGAGTAGTAGAGAAGTATAATTTTATAAAACATAAGTTGGTAACCACTTATAAAAATATATCAAAGTTTATTTAACATGATATTCCTAAAAATTAACTAGCAATAATAAAGTAATCTAGGGCAAATAATTCGCAACTATTCAACATGCACTTCTAAACTATAGCTAACACTTACAGAGTACTTGCTACGTGCCAGAAACTTTTTAAATGTTTTACATGTATTATCTTATTAATTATCTAACAGCAGTATGTGGCAGCTACTATTATTAGCCCCATGTTAAAACTGTGGAAACCAAAACACTGGAAACTCAAGTAATTTGCCAAAGATCACACAAGCCAGTGAGTAGGAGAGCTGAGGTTCAAATTCAGGGACTTTGGGTGTTAGCTTCATTTAATTTATGTAATAAGTCATATAGTATCTTAGCTTAAAACAAACAAAAATGAGGCCGAGCGTGGTGGCTCACACCTGTAATCCCAGTACTTTGGGAGATGGAGGTAGGTGGATCACGAGGTCAAGAGTTCAAGACCAGCCTGGCCAGCATGGTGAAACCCTGTCTCTACTAAAAATACAAAAAATTAGCCAGGCATGGTGGTGCATGCCTGTAATCCCAGCTACTCAAGAGGCTGAAGCAGGAGAATTGCTTGAACCCGGGAGGCGAAGGTTGCAGTGAGCCGAGATCATGCCACTGCACTCCAGCCTGGGCGACAGAGTGAGACTTCATCTCAAAAAATAAAAATTTTTTAAAAAATTAAAAAATTAAAAAACCCACTCAGAAACAAACAAAGCCGTATAAAATGAAGAAATGAAGCAATAACAGCACTTGTCTAGCCTAGGCTCTGCAAGTAAACACTATTGAGAATTTAGTGTAGGTACACAGATAGACTTAAGATACACATGTGAACACAGCATTTCTATAAAAATGGGATACATTTATACAATGAATATTTTTTCTTAATATCAAAAATACATGTTTAAAACACATCTTTCTATGTACTATTTAAACACATCTTTCTATGTACTATTACAAATAATACAACAGTTATTTGTATTTTAAACACATCTTTCTATATACCATTTAAAATAATCTTTCTATTTAAAACACATATTTCTATGTACCATTACAGATAATACAACAGTTACTATTCATATGCCCATAAATGTTTTTACATGTGCTGAATTTCTCCAGGACAAATTCTAGGACAAGTGATAGACTATCCTCCAAAAGGATGAATTAATTTGTTAACTGTCACTGGGAGTATAACTTTAAAATGAGATATTTTGTTGGCATGCCCAAGTTTTGATTCCTGTATTAGCAATCATCTACTGTCTCTGCCTAACTCACAGAACTGTATAATTAGTTCTACCCTTTTCCATTTGATTCTTTTAGATTTCTAGGTAGGCAAACCAATTATTCACACATACACTTGTCTCTTTTTTGTCCACAAAAATCTATTCTCATTTTGCTAACTTGTCTAATTTTTCAATCATTAGCATTACCAGAGCAGGGATAAATAACAGTACCCCTTCTTCTGATTTTAATAGGAATACCATACAGTTATTCCAATACATATGCTTGGATACATTTCCAGTAAGATATTGTTCATTAATAGAGCAAATTTAGTTATGTTTCTGGCTTATTGAGTGATTTTATTCACTTTAGTTGTTGAACTTCATGTCTATCAGAATGAGACTATAGCTTTTGCTCTGGTGTAATTTTTTTTCAGAAGTCTTTCTTATGCCCCTGGCTCTGTTTTCAGCTGTCATTTCTACTTGAGCTTCTATTAATAAATACTGATTTCTGCAATGAATTGATTAGTTCTCATTTCTTTAGAGAGTTCTCCAGATCCATCTTGATCTTCTTTTTTGTCTCCTTATCACTTGTTTGATCTCTTTTTTCTACATAATATCCATCTTCTTTGATATGAGAATGTCAGCTGTGTGCTCCTGAATAATAGCTAACACAGAGAGTGTACTATTATGTGCCAAAAGCTTTACAAATGTTTTACATATATTATCTTACCAATCCTCTCACAAACCTATGACGAAGGCACTATTGTCATTTCTTGTTAAAAATGTGGAGACACTGAAAATTCAAGTAATTTGCCAAAGATCCCACAAGCCAGGGAGTGGTAGAGCAAGGGTTCAAAGTGAGGGAGCTTCAGTATTAGTGTTGTTTAGTATGTGTCTGAAATTTTCTTTTGTTTCCTGGAGTGATTTTTTTAATATGTTTCTCTCTCTCTCTCTCTCTCTCTCTCTCTCTCTCTCTCTCTCTCTCTCTGTCTGTCTGTCTCTCTCTCTCTTCCCCACTGCCCACCTCTGTCTCTTTCCTTATATTATCAATGTATAGATCCTATGGATGTTTCTTTCTGCATGTTACTCTTTTATGTGTATGTACAGTTTATCCTGGCAACTGTTTGACTCAAGAACACAGTAGGAATGGATTTGGGGGAGCAATTATCTGTTACTAGGTTTAATCTGGATAACTTGTTTTTAAGTACTTTCTCATCAAATCAGCTGTATCTTCTGACCTGGAGGAAACATCATCCCTCAGTTTCTGGCATTTTTCACTTCGGAGTAAGCATGACGTTAGAGTAGCTTCCTATGTTACAAGCCCTTCTGTAATTCAGTGTTTACCTCTGCTGAGCTGACTTGGTCAACACATACAAAGATGATCATTGCTTCTCTTCTCCCCCACCAACCCTCTAGCAATTTTAGACATTTTTCCTAGGAAAGGCATCCAGTTCAGAATAAATACAAATGGCAAGCCATGCATTTTCTTTTCTTTTTTTTAAATTTAATTTAATATGAAGTTTCAGGATACATGTGCAGGACGTGCAGGTTTGTTACATAAGTAAACATGTCCCATGGTGGTTTGCTGCACCTATCAACCTATCACCTAGGTATTAAGCCCTGAATGCATTAGCTATTTATCCTGATGTTCTCCCTCCCCTTGCCCCACTGACAGGCCCTAGTGTGAGTTGTTCCCCTCCCTGTGACCATGCACTCTCGTTGTTCAGCTCCCACTTATAAGTGACAACATGGGGTGTTTGGTTTTCTGTTCCTGTGTTAGTTAAGCCTATGCATTTTGTTTCCCTACCTTTCATTCTCTATGTGCAATGGGGGTTCCATGATGATGTTTCCTTCTTATATCCCACCTGGCTTCCTTCTTATATCCCACCCTACACATCATCACCCCTTTAGAGGATCTTTCAAGCTACTTTCACTTACTGTTGAAGAAAATGTAGATATATCCAGCTAATCGTAGCATGGGATATTTCCTTGACTTCACATTTCTGGCATTTACCTGGGAACCATCCAAAGCTGCCCCTTCAAACCTGAGATGAAAGTTATATATTAGTGGCACATAGTCTCTATTCAGCCATTCAACTGCTGAGCTGAGAGAA
This sequence comes from Homo sapiens, assembly GCF_000001405.40. Classification (NCBI taxonomy): domain Eukaryota; kingdom Metazoa; phylum Chordata; class Mammalia; order Primates; family Hominidae; genus Homo; species Homo sapiens. The sequence continues at coordinate 67,022,372 of NC_000003.12, read as the reverse complement.
AAGTGACCTGGGCTATGCATATCCACAGTCACTCAGTGATCTTGGCTACTCTGTACTTTGTCTTCGAATGTTTGGATCCCTTGTTCTACAAGTCAGCGCTGCCAGATTGGGTACTGTTTAGAACCTGTGCTAGGGAAACTCCTGAAATTTGAGGGTCAGGAGGCCACTTTGGTAAGAAGTTGGATTCGAATGGCAACTCACGTGTCTTAGATGGATTGACAACTATTTTATTCTACGTATGTCTCTATACAGCTGTGTCCTCCAGCTAAAACACTGACAGACCCCCATATGATGCTCTCAGGCCTCACTTTCTCTGGCAAGGTGAGACCCAGAAGACATTTTCTGGCACACAAGGATTCAAAGAGTATACTATCCACAAACCTGTATGAACATATTGCTTGAAGACACAGTTGTCCCTTGGTATCCATTGGGGAATGGTTCTAAGACCCCACGGATACCAAAATCCACTAATGCTCAAGTCCCTTAGTAGTAGCCTATGAGCTATGTACACCATCCTGTATACTTTAAGTCATCTCTAGATTACTTATTATATCTAATACAATGTGAATGCTATGTAAGTAGTTATACTGTATTGTTTAGGGAAGAATGACAAGAAAAAAAAGTCTGGATATGTTCAGCACATATGCAACCATCCATGTTTTTTCAAAAATTTTTATCCACCCTTGGTTGAATCCCTGAATACAGAACCCATAGAAACAGAGGAACAACTGATAAAGCAAAACAATATAGAATGAAAAAGACAGGCCTGGCGTGGTGGTTCACGCCTATAATCCCAGAACTTTGGGAGGCCAAGGTGGGCAGATCACCTGAGGTCAGGAGTTCGAGAACAGCCTGGCCAACGTGGCAAAACGCCATCTCTACTAAAAGTACAAAACTCAGCCGGGCATGGTGGTGGGCACCTGTAATCCCAGCTACTCAGGAGGCTGAGATCCAGGAGGCGGAGCTTGCAGTAAGCCAAGATTGCGCCACTGCACTCCAGTCTGGGCGACAAGAGCGACACTCCGTCTCAAGGACAACAACAAAAGAGACAGCTTTCTAATGGTCTTTAAACCAAGTATATATTTTTCCTCACCATCCTCAAAACTCTTGCAAATACATATGCAAGTACTATATTATATATGCATATATATGCATATGCAAGTATATACACACATACCATAAATGCACAAGAAAAATTGTGATAGGGGACAACTGTGAAAATATTTCAACCAAATTTGGCAAGATAGGAGAACAAAATGGAGGAGTAGCTTTAGCAGATTGGAAGAACCCGTACCTGAAGAGTACACAGGGGGCTATGAATGAGAAGAAAGCTGATTCACTCCACCAAATCCTGGAGACCCTGGGACCAAAAGTGCCAAGGAAGGCAGAAGGCATTGGTGAGGAATGAGACTGAACACAGGACAGGATTGAAGATCTATACAGAGAAGAGACAATCCATTCTCCTCCACCTTCCTGACACACTGAATGGTAGCAGTCAGGGATCCACTTCTTTTCCTCAAAGCTTGGTGGGCATGGTCAGGAGTTTTAGGATTTTACTCTTAAATGTGAGTGGGTAACTAGGAACTCAGACAGATGAGATCAGCCTGGAAGATAAGAAAGAAATAAACAATAAAAGAAATGAATCTTGAAAAAAATGGAGACAATCCAGAGCACAAGAAACAGAAATCTTTTAAAGATTATTCATTGAATAGATGGATATGTGATTAAATAAATATATAAAAATTGCAGCATGTAATTATGGGATATAGGTCATAAGTATATTGATATTTACTATGCAATTCTTTAACATTTTTGTGTTTGAAATTTGATATGATAAAATGTTGGAAAACAGGATTCTCAGAGAAATACAAGAAAATATTTTATGCATAAGAAAAGAATATTTATTAGATTGCCATAAAAAGAATAATCATAAAACAAAAACAACTTCTTGCAAATCAAAAAAAAAACAGTAGCTGAGTTATTAGAAGAGTTGAAAACTTCAATCAAGAAAATCTTCTAGAAAGTAGAAAGAGATTGAGAAACAGAGAAATACGAGAACAAACATATCTAAGAAATTCAATATCTAATAGGAATTTCAGAAAGAAAGCAAGCAAGAACACAGGGGAATAAATTATCAAATAAATGACAGGAGAATTTCCCAGTGCCAGTATATCACATGAAAAATCCATAAACCTAGGCATATATTGTGAAATTTCAGAATATAAAGGAAAATAGAAGATTCTATAAGATTCCAGAAAAAAAGAAAAAGAGAGAGGAAATTTACAAAGGTCAGGGAAACAGAATAACCTGCAACTTATCCGTAGTAGCACTGGCTGCTAGAAAGCAATGGCACAGTGGCTTCAATATATATTAGCAGAGATGAGGGAAGGGAGGGGAATGAGCATTTTTAATCACATGTGGAAGCCCATCTAGGAATCTAAAGGATATATATGCAGCACAAAGCAGGTTGCAAAGCTTTAATATTGTAACTCAGATGTAGGAGGGGAAATAATTTCATTATTTTGAATATAACCAATCAGGCCATCCTTTTGGGTCCCCACTCACAGGAAATTGATAAAATGTCTCTTTTCATTTAAGCTAAAGCAAAGTTTGATCCAGCAAGTTTAACAATTCCCTTTCAAGCGCCTAGTTCTCATCCCCTTCTCCAGTCTGTTAATTTTATCTTTCTTTGCCCTCCTCCACCATACATACATGATAGAATAGAATCAATGCAACTGCATCATTGTTTGAATGAAACAAAAACCTAAATTTTCCAGAGAGATTTGATAAGCCTGTCGGAAAAGTGTATGAAAACTCCACACTGATAAATACTCCACGTTTACACCCAGTCCCCTTTTCAGTAGGAGATGGTATTTCTATGTCCTGACTGAGTGCTCATGCTCCAAAACAAAAAACAATACTCTTCCTAAAATCTGGTAAAACAGAGTCCAAGTGTAGCACAATAAGCAATGGTCTGATTATTTGCATAGCCGATGTGCAGAAAACCACCAGATATTTCCATCTGTCCATCTTTATCTGCAGCTAATTGATTTCACAACTTTTCCAGATGTTAAAATGCCAAGCCCCATATAAAAATGTTTGCCAATCACGGCTAAGCCTGCAAATGTATCTTTCCAAACAACGGGAAATATGGAGTCAGAGAGTCCCAGAGAGGAAAACTAAACCGCCGGAAAGCAGAAGCGGGATATTCATGCCATTGTTCCTTGAATTGGTTGAGGGACCCCTGTCTGTCAAGCACCATGATCCGCGCTCAGTACACACTCGAGATAAAGGGTCCTTGCCCTTGGGGAGCTTCAAATCCAAGCAGACTCAGACACAGAAGAGGAGCAGTGTCCCGTGTCAAGGTGCAGAAGGGTGAGCGGAGAGGAAGGCCACACTCATTAACAGAGGAAAGTTCCTCTGAGTCACTGGTTAGGCGGTGAGATGTTCCAGTGAATGAAATCATTCATATCACTATTCTATATGAAGAAACCATTTTTCAGAGTCCAAATTTAAAACCTGCACTTAACAGTGAACATTTGATGAACAAAAGGTTGAACTGAGTTTTCAGGAGCCGTCTTCATTCTGAACACCAAGTTTTCCCTTCACATGCAGCCTCTTTCCTTTCTCAAGGCTATGCTCCTGCTTCTCCCAGGACCTCTCTGTCCTTGGCTCTTTGAAATGCTCTCTTCCCCTTCCTTAAGTCCTCACGTGGGCCCTCCGACGCTTGGCTCTCACCCGGGCTCTTCTCGTTCCCTCTGTAAGTGCCTTGAGCGCTGACCGGTATTTGGGTGACTGCCAACTCCACATCTTCGCCTGACCTATCACCTTCATTCAGTTTCCTGTCTCCACACCCATCCTGGCTGTTTCTCGGCACAGTAATCTATACATAGTGATCCTCTGTCACTTGAAACTCAGCTCTTCCAAAAGTGAACTCACTCACTTTACATCCCAAACTGGCTCCTTGACCAGCAAGAAGGTCTGCAGTCCCAGCACCTCCACGTTCTGCCTTTGAATATAACCATTCGGGCCATCTTCCTGGGTCCCTGCTCACTAGGGAGTGGGAGGAAATTAACAGGTCTGCTTTCATTTACAGCTAAGTTTGATCCCTAAGTTTAACAACTCCTTTTCTGTTTCTTTGTTTCTTCAAAAGTAAAAGGGGGACAATGACAGATGGCTGCAGCACCGGTAGTAGGAACCAAAAAGATAACAGATACCAAAGCATTTCAAAAACTAGAAAGTGATATGCAAGAATAAGATATTAGTCAGTGTCTCATAGATATTATTTTTCACATGGGTCGTTGTTATCATATATGTAAGTATGATAGATATGTTTTGTCATGCAAAACAGGATAGATATATTTTTTCATGCTACCATGGAAATCAACCTCACACAGGTCAGTGCCCAGTAAAGTGTGGATAGCATTTTAATTTTTGGAATAGTAAAATGTAGATTAAAAAGAAAATTATAACCAATTTCTTAGAAACCTTCAAGAAGGATACACAGATACTGATGCAAGTATTTTGCTGTGTATCACATTTATATATGAATATAAAAACCTCGTGTATCCCGGAACTTAAATGAAATTTTAAAAAGGAAAAATGAGGAAAAGATATGAATAAACAATTCATATAAAGTGAAAAAAAAGCCTATATACACATATCAAAATTACTCTCCTCTTTTTTCTGCCTGCAGCTATAGGGTAAAGTTATAAAATAAAATTATAAAATCCTACCATGATTTTATAAATTGTGAATCAAAATTGCCCCAGGACATATACTTGTACAACTTGAGGTGAGATCCATGAAACTCCCCACTCACTGGGGCAGGCCCCTGAGTGATAGGTGTCATCTCCCTGTCATCTCCAGCTACACAAACACCAAGTGAGAGGACCCTTGTCCTCTTTACTTTCACGTATGCATGCTCTGATTAGCTCATCCATTCTTCTGCCTGTTGACTCCTGCCATCACCACACCCACCACATACTTTAGAAAGCACAGGATAATTGAGCCCTTATCACAAACCAGATGTTTTGGGTCAGGGGTGGGAACCATATTTGGCTCTGGGGCAAAGTAGCAAGAAGTTGCAAAAACTCTTACTATTTTCATTCTTTTTCAGAAATGTAAGAGGCTATAGAAAGTGTGTCTACCTCTCTCTGGGTCAGGATTTTCTCTTTTTTCACTCTGCTCCTATTTCTAGGGGTTTGTCTTTCATCAGTCCTGCCTCTTTGCATGTTTTTGCATATCCCTAATCTCTTTAACTTTTGGGGTTAACGGGTATACTGCAGAACTCTCAACCGGGAATAGTCTAGAAATGGAAAAGATTTTGACTTTTTGCAAGGATATTTCTCATTTCCCATTTTTATTGAAAAGGCCTAAATGTTCTGATTTTTAAAAAAATATTATTTCTCCAGCACCTCCACGTCTCAGAATCTCCTCACCTGCAGGCTTCCTGGGGAAGCACCTGCACTCTCACCCACTGACACCCACTCACATCCTCCACCTGCACCTTAATTCACAGCAATTGGTTTTCATCTCTTGCACTTGGCTAAAACCACTTTCTCATTTCAGATCTTCACATGGCTAGACCAGGAGCCTCTTACTCTCTGCATTTCATTTCTTCTCTTTGGATCTCATTCCTGAAGTTTTCTCATGCATTACTACTCCTTTGTGATTCTCCCTTCTTCTCTGATAACTTTTCAGTTGCCTTTCTTCTGTTCCTTCAGCTGAATTTCTTAAATTTTATTCTTAGCTACTTTCGCTTCTCATTTTACAATTTATCTTTGCACTAACTCATCCATTAACTCAAATTCAACTAAAACCAGCTCTGTGGATATGCCAGACTCCTAAGTTCCATCGCTAACCTTGACCAAGCTCTTGAGCTTTAAGAACAGTTGTCAGAGAGCACCATGGATTTCTTACTATCTCAGGTTCTCACTGATTACAAGGAAATACTCCCCTGCGTTGTGTGGGTTCCTGTTGGCATTTGCTCCTCAAGACTTAACTTTGGCTACTTGACATCGTAATCTAAGTGTTGGGATAAGATGTTTTGACCTTATCTTCTTATCCTTAAAGGATTTTGCAAGCATGTGTTTCAAGAACTGAACTATGTGACCGCAACTCTGTTAAATCCTGCTGTGAACTGAATGTTTCTGCCAATTCCGCCAAATTCATGTGCTGGAATCCTAACCCCCAATGTGATGGTATTAGGAGGTAGGGCCGTTGCGGGTGGTTAGGTCATGAGGGATCTGGGATTAGTACCTTTATAAAAAGACACTAGAGAGCTTGCTTTATCTTTCTCTTTCTCTGCTCTTCACCATGAGAGGATGCGATGAGAAGAGGGCCCTCACCAGACACAGGATCTGCCAGCACCTTGATCTTAAACTTCCAGACTCCGGGACTGGGAGAAATAGATGTTTGTTATTTAAGCCATGCAGCCTATGGCAATTTGTTATGGCAGCCTGAACTGACTAGGACAGGTCCTTATCTCTGAATGGGAACAGAGAACAAGATAAACTCTAAGGACAGGCCCTTGTCAGTTTGTAAAAATAGACAAGCCAAAAAGCATTATTTTTATTTTGCAGACAGAGGTTACAAGCCTTGTTTAAATTATTTTAAATACCATTGGTTTAATTTCAGTCCTTTAGAAATGCACAGTCCAGAAATGAAAGTGAGAACTGTGTGACTGTAAAACTGTAAAAATTGTTTTCATGCATGGCTTATGAGCACAATCAGAGTCCAAATGGCTACACTTTAATATATACTTTATATTAGCTATTAAGGAATATTGTTCTACAATGGTTAAGTATATCTAAAAGACTGCAGAATAGTCGTTAATAATTTCAACAAATTAATATTTAGGAAGTGTTCATTATGTGCTGTGATAAGGCACTGTGATAAGTGTTTCACATGCTTATTTGATCCTCAAAAAAACTCGATAACGTGGTAGATTATTAACCTGTTTTATGCATGAAAAAGTAAAGCTAGAAAAGGTAAGTAATCTACCTGCGGTCACGGAAAACACTATAATTCATGTTGACCAGACCAATATAAAATATTTAGAAAATATATTCCACGTTTTACTTAATATTATAGTGTTTGATTCACCAAATCATATAATTGTGCATATCCTTATGGAAGAGGAAAGAAAGGAGAAAAAGGATCTATTAAATCTCATTTCTAAAAAACTAGCCAATAGAAAATGTTCTGTCTATCCATGATAAGGATAATTTAAAATTATTACATTGTAATTTTCTATTTAGTTTTAGTAGCCTGGGAAAAAAAGTCTTAAAATGATTGATTTTTTTAACTTATATAATTTTAATTTGGTGCAAGAAATATGGATTATTAGGTACTCAAGAGTCAACATTCACTGAACTACATGTCAAATAATCCCATGGCCGTATAAATTATAAATAAAAGATACCTAAATATGATTAAGTATATAGGTTTTTAAAAGTGAGACTTTTTAGCTTATTTTTTAATTGTTAAAAAACATTATACATATAAAAGATGGCATAAGATATTTATGCATAACTGAAGAATCATTCAATCAAAAATATGTATTAGAAGCTTATTATAGGGGATTCCACATTTAGCACTGAAAATGTAAAGATCCTGGATGTTGTCATTCCTAACCTTGGAAGAAAAAGGTATTCAAACTGACAATCAATGACTTTTATTAGATCCATCAGAGAAATTAGGCTGCAGGGCAAATGTTACCCTGGATTAGAGGTGAATTCAGAGTCACAGTCCAGATCTGCTAACCTTGACCAGAAGTAACCAGAGCCGTAAACTGTAAGAACACTTAAATGGTCATTTTTGATGAATCGCTGAGGCTGAACATGGACTCCCATGAAAGTGGAAAACTCCTGGGAACTTCAGTCTTTTGGGGCCCCTACGCTTCTGTGGATTTTACCAACAGGCACTCTACCAGGTTCTCATGGCAAAGATCTGAGACAAACCTCCTAGTGGCTCTGACTAGGGGACAGGAAGAGTAATGATCATGAAATACACCCAGAACCTTTTCCATTTAAAAAGCATACTCTCCACGGAAAAACATTTTGGCAGAGTTCAACAAAAGCAGGGGGAAGAGCATTCCTCCCATCCCAAACCTCTCTAACCTTCTCTTCTCACCTAAAGGAAAAAGGATTTAATCAACATGGGTCAGGGCTTCAAAGAAATAAAATTGGGAATGGCACAGCCAGAAAGAGGATGGAGAGGGGAAAACCAAAAGCTGTACCACTAGAGAAACACCTGTGAAGATCACAGCCCCAAGACACAGGCCCACCAAACCACTGATATTTAATTAGAAGCTACTCACTTTACAAAGTTGAAGCAAAACACCCACTAACCTAGCATTCTAGATCCAGCAAAATTATCCTTGAAACATGAGAAATAAAGACTTTTTCAAACAAAAATCTGAAGGAATTCATGACCTGCAGATCTGTCTTGCAAGCAATGCCCAATAAAAGAAGTTATTTGGGCAGAAGAAAATTGAAACAGAACAGAAACTTAGATCTGCCTAAATAAATGAATACTGAAGGAATAAGTGAAGATGAAGTAAAATATCTTATTTTTTAAATATCAATTGATCTAAAAGTATGACTTTAATCATAACAATGTATTGCATGGTTATAGCATATGGATAACTAAAATGAATGACAGCAATGTCATGAGGGATCAGAGGGGAAAATTGGGAACTTTGTTCTAAGATACCTACACTACACACGAAGCAGTATAGTGTTATTTAAAGGTGGACTTAGATTAGTTTTGAAATGTATATTGTAAGTCTAATGCAACCACTGAAAAAAAAATTAAAGTATAATTGAAGTGCTAAGAGGAGATAAAATAGAATCCTATATAAAATGCTCAGTCAAAACCAGAGAAAGCAGGAAAATAGGTGAAAAAAAGAAACAAAGAAGAAGGGCAACAAATAGAAAACAATAACCAATATGTTAAATATTAACCCAACTATATCAGTACTCACTTTAAATGCAATGCTGGTCTAAACATACCAGTATTCTCACAATGGATATTAAAATAAGTCCCAACTGTAAGTTGTCTACAAGAAAGCCCTTTTAAGTATAAAGATTAGGATAGGTTAAAAGAGAAGGGATGGAGAAAGATAAATGAAGCAAACAGTAATTAAAAGAAAACTTGAGTGGCTATGTTAATTTCAAACAGAGAAGACTTCAGAAAAAAGATTATCAAGGATAAAGAGAAGCAATTACATAATTATGAAAGGGTATATTCCCCAAGAAGACATGATAAAAATATTTTGTACTAAGAAAATGAAAATACTAAATAAAATTTGTGGGATTCTACAAAAGAAATACTTAAAGGAAAATTTATAGCATTAAATGCATATATTAGGAAAAGAAGGCCAGTCACAGTGGCTCATGCCTATAATCCCAGCACTTTGGAAGACTGAGGCAGGCAGAACACTTGAGCCCAGGAGTTTGAGATCAGCTTGGGCAACATGGTGAAACCCCGTATTAACAAAAAAAAAAAAAAAAAAAAAAAAAAAAAATGAAAATTAGCTGGTCACAGTGGCGTGCGCCTGTAGTCCCAGCTACTCAGGAGGCTGAGGTGGGAGGATCTCTTGAGCCGTGGAGGTGACTGCAGTGAGCCAAGATTGCGTCACTGCACTCCAGCCTGGGCAGAGTAAGGCCCTGTCTCAAAAAAAAGAAAAGAAATAGAAAGATGAGTTATTAATACTTAAAGCAACCAGAAGAAAAAAAACTATAAAAATTAGAACAGAAATCAATGAAACCGAAAACACAAAACAATAGAGAAAATTCATTAGAACTAAACCTGGTTTTTTTTTTTTTTGAAAAGACCAATAAAATTGGTAATCCTTTAGGCTCCAAGACTTAACTGAAAATTCATTTCTTCCCACAAGCATTCATTGAGTGCCTACTATGTGCTAGGCATCAATCTAAAGTGCAACAGTGAATTAAAATAAATTCGTTGCCTTTGTGGAGTGTACATTTCAATGGGGGAAGACACATATGGAAAATAAAGCAGAAAAATAAAGCAGGAGGTATGATGGGGGTGGGGTTGGATGATCTTATTTTACAAAATGTGATCAGAGAAGGCCTCTCCAGTAAGGTGATGTTTTAATAAAAAAGAAAGTGAGTGAGTTGTCAAGATCTATCCAGCAAAAGAGACAGCAAGGGCAAAGTCGCTGTGGAGGTGCTCAGCAGGTTTGAGCAACAAGCAAGGTCAGTGTGGCTAAAATAGAGCAAGCCAAGTAAATGGCAACAAGTTTGAGAGGGGTGGATCATGTAAGTATGGAGTTTGGCTGTCATATGAAGGGAGATGGGAAGCCATTGGAAGGATCTGAGCAGAAGAGAAACATGATCTGACTTGTGTTTTAAGAGGATCACTCTGAGTACTGTGTGGAGAAAAGAATAGGTTATGAGGGGTCAAGGGTGATAGAAGGAAGACCAGTCAGTGGAAACTGCATTAAGTCAGATAAGATAAGCTGGCTTAGACTAGGGTGACAGTGGTGCAAATGGTATGTGGTCTGAGTCTGGATGTATTATGAAGGAAGAAGCAACGGGACTTTCTGATGAATTAAACATGAAATACGTAAGAGATTATATAGTGTGGGCATTTGTCCCCTCCAAATCTCATGTCGAAATGTGATCCCCAGTGTTGGAAGAAGTGGGGCCTAGTGGAAGGTATTTGGATCATGGGGGTGGATTCTTCATCAATGGCTTGGTGCCCTCCCTATGGTAATGAGCGCATGTGAGATCCCATTGTTAAAGAGACAGGAACCTCCCCCAACTTTCTCTGGCTCCCTCTCTTTCCTGCTCCCGCTTCACCCTCTGCCATGAGCTAAAGCCTCCTGAGGCCTCAATCTCAGGTATTCCTTTACGGTAATGCAAAGTGGACCAACACAAAAGAGTCAAACATAACAAGATTTTAGGCCAGAACAAACAGAACAAAGAATTTACCAATATAAGTGAACTAACTTGCTTTAGAATTTAAAAAGTATTATATACATAAAGTAGTTCATTTTTTACCAGAGGACAGGTATTCAATAGATTAAAATCTCATTCCATTCTATCATGACATAAGGTATTTCATGATTTTTTACCAGATTTTAATTCTGCAACACTCACTAGTCAGATATCACTTTGCAACACTGGAAGTTTTCAATCAGAAAAGGTTTTATTATAAGAAACAATGACATCAGGTAAAAATGCAAAAAATTGTGCAATTATGGCAAAATGTTTAAAAATATCTACACATTTGCCCCCACAGGACTACAGTACTTACTACATACCTGAGCACTGAACATTGAATTCCATTTTAAACTGCTTTACATAGGGAATCTGATTCCTTCATGATCACATCCATTTGTTCTCATGACCAATAAAATCAGCTTGATGCTTAAGCATCAACTTTGTAGAACAGAAAACAAAGATGGAAAATAAAGAATACAATTTCTACTTTCCTATAACATAGTTATACCCAGTCCAGTTTTCAATGTGTGACAAATATATAGGAAAGTGCTACATACATTCTTCAAATGCAAAAACAAAGTTAAAGTGGAACTGGCATTATGTTAGACCTACATTTTAATTCTGTAGTACCCATTGTGCCTTTTACTTAAGGTCTTACCACACTATGAAAATGCACCTTAAATATCTAAATATAAACCCACACATGTCACTAATCTTACTTTTCTAGGACCTCTTCTGAATCCATTTTAACAGTGGCAAAATATCCCAGCTATATAATTTAAACAAATAGTTCTTCATACAAAATTCAATATATATTCTACTCCCATAACAAATCCTAAGCCTTGCTTTTGACACACTTAACTTAGATCGTACCCTCCATACAAATTGTCATAGCCAAAAGATCAACTGTTGTGCAGGCTAAAAGAATAAATCTACTGTTGAATTAGCCACAGTATGTCATTCTCTTATATAACATACAGCCCATGTAAATTGCTAACTCAATGTTCTATGTCATGTTTTCAAGTAATACATTTTTCTAAATACACAAGATTGTCAAAAAGCGGCAGGAAATCTTATTCAACAAAGCTTTCAAAAATAAATTACATGAACATCTCTTGCAAAAAAATTGTTTTTTCTCTCTCCTCAGCAATGCAAAACTGTAAAGAATGATTTCTAAAATACACAGTAATAACTCCAAAACATCATGATGATAAAAACAAAAACAAAACAGAAGATAAAACTGGGGAGGTAAAAATGTTGACAAAGTTTATACAGAGATTACAGACATACTATCAACACCAATAAGAAGAAACCACATATCTAGCTAAGACTAGATTTTAAAATGTTAATTCTAGAAATGCTGTCCATTTTAACTTCTGCTTCAGAAAACATTCCCTACTTGTAGAGGTCTATGTAAAGCAGTTTGGAAAGTTTCTGAAAAACGAGGTATGTGATGCAAAGAGGCAATGTTTTCAATTTGTTTCACAGTATCACATTACAATTTGTGCAAGATTTTTAAAATACGAACCATGCCAGTTTGCTTTCAAGTGAATACAAATATTGTGATTGAGGGCAAAATCTGTCCTATGCTTATACCCTTTACGAATTACTCTAGGCTTAGTAAAACATGTTACTGATCCAAATGCCTGCCTTAGGTATACAAATAAGTTGGTTTATCCTTCATGTTAATATTCCTAACTGATGATTGTTAGAAATTTCATCAGTTAAATGCAAAAAATGCTTTAGTACCTAGAAAGCTATGGTTCTGTTCACTCACTCTTTTCCTTTTCAATCACCTTCAGCTAGAAGGAGGATTCCAACGTAAAAGTATTCATCACTGTTAAGTGCAAAAATGGAAAAAAAAAATGAGGTTTTAATTGTAATATGAAACTTAAAGACATTAAATTAGACCACTGCAGGAATTTTGTTTCTGGAAAGCAGAATTTTAAAAGTAGGTATAAAACTTCACATTATGCTCTGTGCAGAAGAGAAATAAGTTACCTTTCCTTGTACCAATAATGAATGGACAGGTAGATGGAAGAGAAGGTTGGGCTACAAATGGCCCATGTTAGTGCAAACTGGGTATAATGTTCCTACTATTCTAAGATTGAGTCCAGTTAGATGAATAACTGGCCATACCCTCCTATCACATAAGTAGAGAATCTTGTGAAATCACAAGAGTTCAACAGGTAAAGTACTATGGCCATGAAATCCACACCAATTTGAAAGATAGGCATAGGCTCAGACCATTTAAATCCATCTAGTTATACACATGAATTAAGTTAGACTAGCACCAGCCACCTGTGAATATGAGCACTTTTCCAGATTTTCACAAAAGAGACAGTGTTAGCACTTGAAAAAGTCATCGACAGAAAACTGCCACTTTAAAACTTTAGCTTAACTTAAAATTACATGGGAAATGGAAACAATCAGACTAAAAGCTCTTTCTGAGACTAATTTTTTCTTCGATCTACTCTAATAATAGAACACATTTAAATCTCAGTACACTTGAAAACAGTACACAAAAATAGATACATATAAATATTAAGAATGAGGATCTAAGTTAGTGCTTCTCTGTGTTAGAGAGGTCACAGCTAAAGTCCTAGTGATATTGCCTCAGATTGTTACCCGTATTTAAAATTAAAAGTCACATCAAACAAGTTTAGACGTCTTTACCCAATAATACCCTAAATGCTCTTATAAGAGTGCATAGTTGTCCTGATTCATCTGGTACCTCAGTTACTATTTATCACAAAATTATAAAATGAAATGATTAATTTTATGCCAGGAAAAAAAAATGCTGATAATTGCACTTTGTTATCTTTTCCTTACTGAAATGAAATGTCACAAGGATGAAGGAAAATCCCTCCCTACCCTGCAATCTTTAAGCATACCCATTTTCCATGTATAAAACTCTCTCAGCTTTCTGAAATACTGTCAGCACTCTTTTGTATCAAAGACAAGTTTCCTAAGAATGAGATGCCAGTGATGCACTAAGGCCTGCTACTCATTTAGAGTACTTTCTGAAGACACTGAGGATACAGTTTAGCAACAGCACATTCAAAATGCCGGCCAAGGTCCCAGAGCCGATCTGGGGTCTCATACACTTTCATCCACTGGTCAGCAATGTCATCATATTGGTAAAGGGAATTTTTTCTGCTGGTTCTGAAGACGTGTTCTTCAACAGTCACTTGAGTAGCTCGAACAAATAAATGGAGTTTGTTCTGGAAAAGTACCAGTTTAAGGTATGGATTTATGGACTGATCACATGGAAAGTCTTTCTTACGAGTCCATTTATTTAGCTCAATATCATAGGCTTCTACAGTAAACATACGTTGATGATTTCCACAGGTTCCAGCTATGTAGTAGATAGAGTCCTTGTATACAGCTGCTAAGCCCTGGATTCTAGGCACAGTCATGGGGGTTAAGAAACCCCAGTAGTCTTTTTGAGGCTCATAGAAGAGAAAAAATTCTCCTAAAAAAAAAAAAAAGAAAACAAGAATATGTAAATTTTTATGTTTGGTTTTTGGTTATATGTTGTAACTACAACCTCTAAAGATTAAAGGGCATAATTTGCTATATATTTCACTTTCTAAAACATTTCTTTTATAATCTCCAGAGATACATTCATATGGGTTACAAAATACCTTAAAACTTTGTCATTCCATGACACAATATAACAGATAATATTATAATCAACCTGAATTGGGAGGTTTGTATTGGGAAGGTACAAGGAGTTACTTGGGCTTGATGGCAGAATTGTTAAGAGCTTGATTCTGGCCAGGCACAGTGGCTCACGCCTGTAATCCCAGCACTTTGGGAGGCTGAGACGGGTGGATTACTTGAGGTCAGGAGTTTGAGACCAGCCTGGCCAACATGGTGAAACCCCATCTCCATTAAAAATACAAAAATTAGCCAGGTGTGGTGGCAGGCACCTGTAATTCCAGCTACTCAGGAGGCTAAGGCAGGAGAATCACTTGAACCCAGGAGGTGAAGGATGCAGTGAGCCAAGATCACGCCACTGCACTCCAGCCTGGGTAACAATGTGAGACTCCATCTCAAAAAAAAAAAAAAAAACACAAACTTGATTCTATTTGCTCTATCCAATTTGTGTGTTTATAGAAAATTCATTTTACTCTAGCTCTAAAAAAGCATTATTAGTAACGTTCAGCCAGTAAGACCAAAATGCATACATGTAACATCATCATAAATATGCCATGATAAATGTGTATGCTATTTAATTAGAAGACAGCAGATGGAATTGTGCAGATTTATGCTTATGGGTCACTGATGTGCTTACCTGAATGTTGCTATAATGCAAAGAGAAATATTCAGCAGGAGAAAACATGACTTTAATAAGATAGAAAACACATACATGGTTTGTGATGTTGACTTTGAGTCAGTTTCTATTTTGATTTGATAATAAAAAGGTATGCTGAGTCAGACTGCCAATATGAAAATGTCTGAAAGAATTAAAGTAGTGAAGATTTACAATAGTTTTGCTAATTATAGCATTTGTTTAAAATCTTTGTAATAAAAATCTGAACACTTTATGAACAGATTAAATGATACTTCAATAGCCACAGATAGTACAACATAAGCTTCTGACTATGCATGTCAGGTTTATTTATGTAAAGAGGCTTTGTTTAGATTAGAAATACCAGATTCTAAATTGAGCTTCCCCTTGAAAACTGTTTTGAACTAGGGTTACTCTTATCTACAAATTCAACTACGTACTTCGTAACAGTGATGCTTTGCCTTCAACTAACTTAAAATAGCTTGTAAAGCTCCCAGATTTGCTCGCACATCATCTGCCCTTATTGCCTAACTTGTAACAGGATTCTCGATAAATAAGGTAGGAAATTTAAACTTTGTAATGTGTGCTACTTCTCTATAAATTTCTTATAGATAAGAAAGTAAAGACGACACACCAAAGAAGTTGAATGTTAAAATCTAAAGTACTCTTTAATAAAAGTTAAAGCTAATAATATGCAATTAAGAAACCCTTAGGGCTTCAGAGTCCTCTTATATAAAATATAACCTCAAATTAAATGATGTTAATAATTCCAGCCCTGAAATTCTATTAATTCATTGCTAGTTTGCTTTAGTATTTGCATTAATATACAAACTTCACATTCCAAATAGGAATCTAATTCTACCTCTACCAACTAACAGTTAGGCAGTAAGACCAAAATACACACATACACAGACAGCTTCATCATACTGGATGACATAACCTATCCAAGTATACTGGACGGATCATACATCCATTCTTATATTCCATTTTTCCACAAGACAGCAAACCCAAATCATGGCCTGTGCTTCTATTTAACTAAAATAAGGAACCAGAGAGTACAACTCCTTCTGAGGAATTAACTTGACACTGAACTTAAACAAATGAGCTCAGATATTACTAGGAAATTTTTAGTTAAATAAAGGATTAGAGCAAGGAACACAATTTTTAAAAGAAAACAATGGTGGGAGGCCAAGGTGGGTGGATCACTGCAGGTCAGGAGTTCAAGACCAGCCTGGTCAACATAGTGAAACGCCGACTCTACCAAAAATAAAAAAATTAGCCAGGCATGGTGGCAGATGCCTGAGACTGAGGTGGAAGAATCATGTGAACCCAGGAGGCGGAGGTTGAAGTCAGCCAAGATCATGCCACTGCACTCCAGCCTGGGTGACAGAGTGAGACCCTGCCTCAAAAAAAAAAAGAGAAAGAAAGAAATGAAAGAAAAGAAGGGAAGGGGAAGGGGGAGGGGAAAGAAGAAAGAAAGAAAACAATGGGATAAGGGCAGTCATGCATCAATTAATGACAGGGACATATTCTGAGAAATGCATCATTAAGTGATAGTTGTCCTTGTGGGAAGAACATCATAGAGCATACTTACACAAACCTAGATGGGAGCTTACTACACACCTAGGCTACAAAACTGTACAGCATGTGACTGTACTGAGTACTCTAGGCAACTGTAACACAATGGGAAGCATTTTTGTATCTAAACATATCTAAACATGGAACAAGTACAGTAAAAATATGCTATCATAATCTTATAGGACCACCATTGTGTATGTGATCCATCATTGACCAAAACATTACATGGCACATGACTGTATATCTTCATAGAAGCTGCTCCTTTTCCTTAAGTAGTAGTGTGAGAAAAACATCAATTAAGAGACACATACGAGGAATAAGGATGTTGCTATTATCTACACTGCATTAAACATTCAAGCAACTAAAATGTGTAAGAAACCAAATAAAAGGAAAATAGTTATCACAAATCAGAGCCTTGAATCAAATGTCTTATTTACTCTGACTCAGTCACTCTACCTCTACTGTATTTTTGCCAAAGTAGTAGTCCTTAACAGTTAAAAAAACAAACAGAAAACAAAACAAAACAAACACTACATATATCAGATAGTCCCACTTAAAATGGCAAACCAAAAAAAAGGGACATCTCAAAGTTTTCCGGTGAAAAAAATTGAAAATGTATTATGAAAGGCAACATAAACAGCAGTGAAGGTGAAACTTGAAGACCATACTTCCAAACTCTTTGTAATTAAATTTCATAATTTTTGCAATAATAAGGCTTATATAAAACTCTTTGGTAACTAAATAGTATAACTTAATTAATGCTTTGTTCTTTTCTCTTTTAAACTAATCCAGTAAATTCCACAGAATACCAGTTGCTACAACATCTCAATTTTACTCAAGAGCAAAAACAGCCATGTAACAACCTTGCTATTTATTTCAAGTCCTACAAACTACTCTGAAATAGTTATCCCAAAATGCCGAACTATTATTTATTAAAGAATGTTTTCAAAAATAGTTATTCTACATGATATCAAGACACAAAATCATTAAAAATTATAGGATTATTTTAGTAATTTAACAATACCTGCCTTTTTTTAATTCAAGAGTTTATTTTCTTTATAGCTCTTTACAGAACAGACTGTTCCAATAGTTTGATAAGGAAGCTGGAGGTATTCCTCAATTAACGGGAACACAACTGTTTCAGTATAATTAAGTAAACCACCACTTGATGTGTTACCCTTCCATGAAAAACTAAATCACTTAGGCACCTACCCTGTAAAACATAGATCTTCTCTTTGTACTCCACAGCATTATGAAATTCCATTGCAACTGGCATCGCGCAAACAGTCGTCCAACAATTCTCTCTACTGTCGTAGCACTCAACAGATTTTAGTGAGTTTCTCCCATCACCTTCATAAACACGACCTCCGATTGCATACATTTTACCACAGCAATAGACAAGTTTGCAGCCTATTCTGGCTCGAAGCAAGGATGGTTTGGATAGCCATCTATTGGTGGAATGATCATACATCCAGAAATCATTTTCTGCCTTATGGTCGATGGAGACCTCACTGCTGCTTGGCCTGTACCCTCCTGCAATGTAAATGTCATTATCTGGTGATACAAGAATCCCAACTTCTCTCAGGTCATTTGGTGGTTTGCATAGTTTAAACACCCTTCCTGTGACTATATCTAGACAAGGCACTGTTTGCTTCTTTCCTGAGTGTTTGTGGGCAGCATCAAAACATATGATCATTTCAGAAGCAGTCATTCCAAGCCTCTGTGTACAGCCATTGGTGTTGGATGGTCCCTTTTCTACACAGCTTTTGGCTATAGCCTGTGCAAACTGAGGTGGAATTTTCTCTATAAAGGTATCTTCCATCAGAGGAAAACGTATGCATTTAGCAAAAATTTCTGGAAGGTGCACTTCTCTTTCATTCTGTTCATGCTCAAACCACCTTATAATGCTTTCATAAACATGCTCTTCTCGGTCTACATTTAAATCGTCACTGTCTAGTATACTTATCAGTTGGTCTTTTGTCAACTGGAGAAACTCTTGTTCTTTGGTGACACACAGAAACTTTTTACGAATGTATTCTTTTGATCGATCTCCGAGTTCCTGATGACCATAATGATCAGCAAAGATAAAGACCCCAATAGAATTCTGTGGGTCCAAATGACTGATCATATACTTAGCACATTGGTCTTGGATGGAAGGAATCTGGAAGATGCTAGCTGCAGTGAACAAGGCTTGAACATTGGCCTCTGTAAGAATAACTCTGGAAGTGTAGGCATAGTTCAACACTAAATCCATCGATTCAGCTTCAACACCAACTATTCGAACTTCTTTTTGAGTACTTTCTGTAAGGCCGCTAGTGAACATGGATCTAAGAAGGAAAGAGTGGTTAATATTACACGTGTGCTATAAATCAAAATTATTGTGGCAAGATTTTAAAAGTACAAAGTTACCACAAAGATAACCTTTTGAAACAGAATATTTCCTAAAATAGTCCCTGATATTCTGAATAGGAGTAAAAATTGATAATGTATCAGAAGGATTTAGTCTGGCTAACCTCAAAACCCATATTCTCAGGGCTAGCTCGCTGTGTGCC
The DNA here is from genome assembly GCF_000001405.40 of Homo sapiens. Classification (NCBI taxonomy): domain Eukaryota; kingdom Metazoa; phylum Chordata; class Mammalia; order Primates; family Hominidae; genus Homo; species Homo sapiens. The sequence continues at coordinate 67,002,969 of NC_000003.12, read as the reverse complement.
AACTATGAAAAAAGGAGAGTACACCTAAGTAAATGCAAATCAAAAGGTGACACACATATTCCAGGTCACTTTATTTTCCTAGAAGCCCCTATCCAGAGTTCTGGTCAAGTTGCCTTAGGGACATCAGATCTTAAATTGGGCCATGCCAGTCAGAAAGCTTAAGAATACTGGCCCGGTGTGGTGGCTCATGCCTGTAATTCCAGCACTTTAGGAGGCCAAAGTGGGTGGATCACATAAGGTCAGGAGTTCAAAATCTGCCTGGCCAAGACGGTGAAACCCCATCTCTACTAAAATAAAAAATTAGCTGGGCGTGGTGGCACATCCCTGTAATCCCAGCTACTCAGGAGGCTGAGGCAGGAGAATCGCTTGAACCCGGAAGGCGGAGGTTGCAGTGAGCTGAGTGCCAGCCTGGAAGACAGAGTGAGACTCCATCTCAAAAAAAAAAAAAAAAAAAAAAGAATACCTATAAAGGTATCAACATGATACATTAGCATACAAAGAAACAACCTAATAAAAACTTTTCATGTCCTGGTGAAAATTACAAGGCAACTTGTATCCAAAATATATCTTTAAAATGTTCATCTTAGAAAAGCAAGAAGTTCTTTAAAAGTACATATTCTCCACCTACTCCTTTTTAAAACTGTCATCTTTTGAATGCTGCCTTAACCATTATAAGTAATATAATAATCACTTCACTTACCCTTGGAAATTTTGAGAACATTTGCTTAAAAGGAAATACTTCATTTTCTCAAAGATACCATATTTTACCTACCTAAATCTAGACATAAATAAAGATTATGGTAGAGTCAATACATAATGCCTGTTTTAAACAGAGTTTAATAGTTAACTGATTCTTTGAAGATAATGGTTTTTAAAACCCCAAACTTTTACCTTCGAGACCAAGTTGGTTTTTTCTATTATTAAAATATTGTTGCATTTATGGGATTTTCTTGACCGAAACATTAAGCAGCCTGGCTCTTTAAGTATTAGTCACTTGCAAACATCATTTGCCTTTCTTTTCGCTCCTTTAAAGTTTCATTCTAGATGATCCAGACTCATCCTATTTAATTTTTGTGATCTTATGAAAAATGAATTGCAAAGATTTCCAGTCACTTAAAAAATATCTCTCAAATTCATGGAATTAATTTTAAAATGCAGTATGAGAAACACTGGAGGTACAAGGACTCAACTTGCTGCCCAGGTTAATCATCTTCGAGTCCTGTTTTTACTTCTACAATGTACATTTTAATTTAGTATCACACTGGCTTTTTTGATGACTAAAAACTAGATGTTCCTACGTATGTGCTGGTTTTCAATTCAGGTGCTGAAAGACTCACCGATACAGCTACCAATTAAAAAGAAAAATAAAGCCCTGCATTAGGGAGACATTAACTCCCAAAGGAAGACATTACCACATATCCCTTTATCATGGGAACTACTGCTGACTTGAATAGGCTCATCTTACACACAGGAGTGGTCTCACACTTCATGAGTTTTCCTCTGTTCTAGTAAGTTCTTCATGTAAACTCAACATAAATGAAGCCAGGGCACTTCCTCACACAAAATCCAGAGCAGCAAAAAATTTCTAATAATCATACAAATTTCAATTCTGATGAGTTACTGGTATCATGAAACAGCCATTCCAGATTTCCAGCCGTTCTAATTCTTCCACTAGTGATGCAAGACGTAGAAACATTAAGTACGATTTTCTACATCCCACACAGGAAGCAGCGCTGGTACCAAGAAACTTCAGTACAAAAACCTCTAGCAAGAGATCAAATTCTAATCCTTGAGGTTTCTAGCCAAATATCTTTATTTCAATGCACATATCGTATCCCCAGAAAATTTCTCAAGTATTTTTTACTCCTTTTAAAAATTGACTTAACAAAATTAAAGAATTTAAGATTTTAAGGAATCAAGAAAATTAGAAATCTATCATAGCATACTTCTTTTAAAGTAAAATTTTTTTCCAGGTCTTCAAAAATAAAAAATGAAACTGCAAGGTGAAAATGTCATACTTATGTAAAGTTACTAATAAGTATACTTACTAAGTATTATACTTAATAAGTATACTTAATATGTATACATATATCATATTTATTATGTATGCTTACTAAGTATTATACTTAATAAGTATACTTAGTAAGCATACATAAGTATGACATTTAAATGATATAATCCAGATTATTAAATTTCAGTAAGATATAGACATTTTTACTTTGCAGTTTTTGTTTTGTTTTGTTTTGTTTTTGTTTTTACTATTCAAATGCAATATACAATAAAAATGTTTTAAAGGAAACTGTACCAACTCTTGTTCCTTAAGAGTCATATGGCTACTAAGAAGCCTGGCTCTGTAATCAAATGTAGCCTCTGCCATTTACTTGTTGGATAGATGATTTAGGCAGGTTATTAAAACTCAATCTCACTGAGCCTCAGCTTCTTCATAAGTAAAATGGAACAACAACTATGCAGAGATAGGATTATAAAGATTATATAAGGCAATACATGTAAAGTAAGCTTAGCCTAGAGCTTGATAAGTAGTAACTGTGACATATATTTAAACATACAAATGACCTAACCATATCTAATAGATAATCTGGGTAAGTGAATCTCACTAGAAGTTTCCATTACCAGGCCAAACTTCATACCTTCTGCATATGTGAGTTTTTTTTTCTTTCCAGCTCACTGTCTTGCGATGATTAATACTTAGTAGTCCAATGACCTACCCTAGGCAAGTCTAAACGGTTACATCACAAGCATCAGACTGAAGTGACTATATTTAACCCAGTATTCTGAGAAAGAGGAACCAGAAACTACTGTTGGAACATTATATGGTTATGTGCCCTATAAAGGTAAGCACCTTCAAAAGGAAAAATCACATTCAGAGTGTGGTTGATAACTTTACTATTATTTATGCACCACTTGTGAATACTGAAAGGCTTAAAGTGAGCATTTGACACAAAAGAAGTTAAGCCCATGCAGAAAACTGCCTTTTCCACTCATCTTAAAGTAGGAAGTTATTTTTCAGACCCAAGTTTTTAAATTTTACTTTTAAAAGTTTTATAGTAGACAATATAAGTAAAAACAAAAACTTCGTTTAACATACTTCTAGAAATCTTGGATATTATTAATTTGGGGCCTTAGGCACAAAGAAACTATATTCATTCTTGCTTTGACCCCCATAGCATTTAAACAATCTATTGAGTGGTAATTTGTTTTTGAAGGAACATGCTACATGTTTTAAACTATTTTATAAAAGAGTCCCATACACTAAAGAAACATGCATTATGGATAACTTTTTGAAAGAAATTCTAGATCAGCACTGTCCAATAAAATTGTCAATGATGAAAATGCTGTATTTCTGTGCTGCCCAATATGGCAGCCACTAGCTGCAGGTGACCAGCAAGCACTCAAAAAGTATTTAGTGTACCTGGGGAACTAAATGTTTTATTTTATTTAACTTATAATTTAAGTTTAAACAGCCACACATGGCTACTGGCTTCCATACTGACCAGCACAAGTCTAGATTTTCTGGTCATTTACCTCAAACACACACACACAGGCCCACTAACTTAAAAAGCAATCACCCGAAATCTAGAAGAATCCCTCAAGTCAAAAGAAGGTCTTAGTTAAGAGAGGACTTGTTTTCTAGTCTCAAGAAACAAAGTCATTGGTTTCATTTCATTATCGCATCTCAATATAAACATCAAGTGGACAATACTGAGGGGGAAAGGGAGCTTGGTGCAGATACCAACAGAAGTTCCTACCATCATCATACCTGAAGTAAGGGCTGATTGCAGCAAGAACGTTTCTATGACAGGAAAATGTTTTCCCGTGATCCACTTCCACTACAATGTCTGTCAACTGTCCTTCATCGTACATTGTTTTGAGTTGCTTAAGAATACTGCAAGCATGGAAGGGGTCCATGGCATCGCTGGCTGGGTCTGAAGATGGAATCCCATTCGGTGTTGGGGAAGACTTACTTAAATCTAGGAGGAGAAAAATCGTACAACTACAAGAAGTGCCGAGCCAGTTACGGCATCGCGGGATTTTTCTGTTTGTGTGTCTGCTTGCTAGGCTTTTTCCCCCTACAAGATATATACAAATGTCTGTGGATATACGCACGACCTCGTGGGACCGCGAGTTAAGGATCTGGGAGACAGAGGGCGGAGCGCGATCGGCGGAACAAGTTCAAAGGCCAGCCTGCTCCTGCGGAGCCCGGCGAGCCCGGCACCCGTGCTCGCGGAGGAAACGCGCTCGCAGCCCAGGAGAGGCGTCTGCGCGGACTCCGCCGAGAGCCGAGGGCAGAGCCTCACGAGGGAAGCTCGAACAACGGCGGCCGCCGGTGCCCCCTCAAGCCGCCTCCCGCTGCCTCCTGGGGCGCAGCGCCGGCGGGTACCCAGCCTCCCCATCCCGGTCCCGCCGGACCGCCCACCGCCCTCCGCACCATTCATCCTCCCTCTTCTCATTCCCCTCCACCGCTTCATCCTTCCCTCTAGCTCCGCACCGCTACGTCCTCATCCCACTGCCTGTGGCCGGCCCCGGCCCACCTTCCCCCTCACCTCCCTCCACGCCGCCCTGGCCACCACACGACCCACCTGCCGACGCGGCCATTTCTCGATGGGGCCCCGACTCCAGCTATTTAAAAAGGAAATGTCATTTCGCTTCTCTAGCTCCCGGGTTCCGGCTCTTCTAAGCTTCCCCTGGCCAATGGGGTGTCCTGTGCATCTGGCTCCACCCCTAGCCTCCGAATTCCTGGCGCTGATTGGCCACGACGCGAGCACATGCGTGTCGGGAAATGTAGTTTGATTGCCCCGGCTCCCGCGTGGTCCGGGTCGGGCGGAGGCCCAAGCCGGGAATTCCTATTGGCTGATTCGGATGGAGGTGGAGAGCAGGGAGCTGGCCAGCCTGTGGCCGTCGAGCGCGCAGTGCCTGCCGGGAGAGGTAGTCTTCTGGCGGAGGAGAACTGTCATTCTGAGGGGCTGGGGTAGGGAAAGCTCTTCAAGTGCGAATTTCCCCATTTTAGGCCTCTCTCCTGGCCCCCGGCACATTTTTTTACCTTTTTCTTCTTCCGTAAACTTCCTGCCAGTGACTAGCTTCCGGTATGAAATCAAGCTCTGCGTGAGAGCTGTAAAACCAGAAAAATGTGGAAATGGACAGGAGGGCTGTTGTCCAAAAATGCAAAGGAAATCTGACGTCCCACCCTGAAGAAAAATATCACAAGGCCCAAAAGCAAGGCGTCTCTGATGAGTCACCTATGACACCCAATTGAAATAGCATCGCCTTGGCCGGGTGCTCTGGTTTCCACAGATTAACTTGGTCTGGTTACAGCGGCTGCTTAGGATCTTCAACTCCCACTGGTGCCTTGCTTTTCTAGCACACCCAGAGAACACCTGTTCCTCACGTGAACATTACAAGGGGATCCAAGATGCTTTACTTTTTGCTCTTGGGAAATGGAGGGGATACAATACTAAGTATTCCGGAATTTCCTTTGAAAAAATACCGGAATGCCCTGAGCCCGGAGCCAGGGATGATTACTGAAGCCCTGGCTCTTTAGTCACTATATGTGAGAACTGACATAAGACCTTTCAACCCCTGAGCGCTTAGATCCTTCATCTGTAACGTGAAGTAATAGTAATCCGTACTCCATGGATTTCATAGGCTGCAACCTTTTGGAAAGAAAATCAAAATTTTACTGTTGACGAATTTTTATTTACTCATCTTGTGTTTCTAACATCTAACGGGGTGCCTGGCACATTATAGATGTTTCATATTTTAAAAATAAATGTAAGGTGCAAATGAGCTAACATTGGGAATGCTATTTCTAGATGTTAAAATGTAAGGAAGTATCAGCGAATGGGAAGAATTTCTAGTAGACATATAGTTAGCCCGTGTGCATAACTTTTCTAGCACTGAAAAGATCAAACCGTTGAACTTCTTGATAAAGAAAGGATCTTGGAATTTAAATTGTGATTGAGAAAGAGAAATAATTATGAAAAACAATTCAGTTCTGTCTTCTAGGTCTGCTGAGAAATTTAGAACTTAAAATACTATAATCCCATGCAAGTTAACAGGAAGTGGTGTTTCCTCATGACTGGGGTTTCTGCATATACATATGCACTTATAATTTCTTCTTTGTGAATGTCCTGTATGCACGTTTCTGGATAGATGAAATTGACTTAATTTTGGTTACTCATAACTTTATTTTTTCGTTTTTATGATGTTGCTTTCTAATTTATTAAAATGGTAGCACTTTATGACAATATGGTTAGTATTGAGGAAAAAAATGGCGTTAATCCTTAGGGTTTGACAACATCTGACGATATTGCAAATAAAAATACAGGGCATGCATTATTTGAGAAATATTTAAACTGAAATATCATTTGTTGTTTATCTGAAATTTAAATTTAATTGGGTGTTCTGTATTTTATCTGGCAACCTTTTCAAATCTGTTAAAATAGAGGAGTTTTGTTTGTGCTTTGTTGTTGTTTTGTAGCCATCTATCTATTTAAGCCTTAAGAAACTTGGCCAATTTTTTAAAAATTCAATTCTCAACTTAGTAACAAACAGACTTGACAATATTGTTTGATTAGTGAGAAGACAGTGTTCTGATTCTTTGACCCACAAAGATTTATAAATTGGAGATGCAGCAGAATACAAAGAACAAAAGCCAATCTAAAAATAAATAGAAAAAAAATTATAGGTAAAAAGTTGCCATTTATATGACACTGTAAATGGACTCCATTCTACTGGGCAGATGGCATTACATAGTAAAGATTTAATCATCACTAAAATGCATTTTTAAAAAACACAGAATATGTAGGAGGATCTCGAAATTCAGTCAGTTGTACCACAACAATTCTTTCTCAATGATCTGTAAGAATACTGGGGAGATTCCTTTTCAGGATTGATACTAAATAGCCAAAGGTTACAGCTTTGTTTTCAAACACCTCTAATTTGAATTTTAGTAAAAACCTCCTGAATCTACTGCACATCTGGAAAGAGCAGCAAAAGTAAACCAGTTTTCATCTTAAGGTATTAAGTACTATATTGCAATTTACTCCTATATTTAAAGTTTAAAGTAAAATCAATTAAGGATGGAAACTGAAAAACTGAACCAGAATATTTGAAGGTCCTATATTTAGTTCAAATTAGACACTTAGAGCTTTATTATTTTAATATTTTTTTTTACCTAGGAATCACAAGCAAAGAGAATTGCTATAATCATGGTTGCTTGAGAGAAGAAAAGTTTTTACGTTTAAATTCTAGCAAAAATGAAGGATTATGAAAGCATCAAATTTGGAAAATGAGAAATTGAAGGCTCCTTGTTTTTTTCTGCTTTCATTTCAAGAGAATGACTTTTAGCAATTATCAGCTATACCCAGGCTACTCTCAATAATACCACACAACACAAGAATGATAGCAACTCTGATGAAGAAGGTGTAAAAGAAAATAGAACTTCACTTCTGCAAATCAATTCTGCAGTTTTCCAATTTCCCTGTTCAGTACTGGTTGGGGCTGTGAAATTGACCAGAGCTATATAAAATGAAAGTAAAGACAGAATACTTGAAACTCATACCTTTTAGCAACTGACATCCTTATATATTTATACTTCTCAGCCTACAGCTACAACCTTCTTGATATTTTCAATGTGACTTTTTTTTCTTGCTTAAAACTTCTGCATTGGCTAGATAAATGAAACAACAAAAGTGATTATTCAATATAAATTTAATATGACATCAGATACACAAAGTTTTTTAAAATTTCTAAAACTTTATATATTGCCCATGATTTAGTTTCTTTAAATACAAAACTCTAAATAGATACTAACATTAGGTTTACTGATTGGGCACCACTGGGCTTTGTTGTATTTTTAGTTTTTTATTCCCTTTGAGGTTATATGAGGATTCAACATGGTAATAACTAGAAGATTGCATTTCATGAATCACTGAATTTGATCATACTGGAGGATATTAATGTGCATTAATTTTTAAGTATTTGGAATTTAGCATATACATGAAAAAAAGACTTTGAAGCTAGTGGCAGTAATATTCAGTTCCTCAGAAATATTGATTGCCTCCTCCCACAACCTGCATTCTAAGAAGGCACTGTCTGAATCAATGTTTCCTATACAAAACTAGATAGATAGATAGATAGATAGATAGATAGATAGATAGATAGATAAAGATTAGATGGATGTAGAGATATGAGATTCCTAATCTCAAGGATCTTATGGTTTATCTGTGAAAATAAAACTTATTCCCATGAAAATCAACTAGAAAATGAGAACTAAGGGCAACCCCTAGTTAGCATAAAATAAGTATTTCCAACAATTAATATTAAGGATTTCGAAAGAGATAAGAAATTCTGTTCAGCTGGTGTGGGATTTAAGCTGAGCATCCAAAGAGGATACACCATAGAACTATTTGCAAAAGTGATGTGGAGTACTTTCTTGCCTAATTGCTTTATCTTGGCTTGACCCAGAAGGTAAAGCATTCACTTTAATATTGATAGGGCTTAATTTAGGAATAGAACAAGGAAAAGGAATTAATGGTTGTGTTACCTACTTTATTGCACTTAATTTCACCTTTTAATTAAATTTTCTAAGAACAAAGTTACAATGAAGTGACCAAAGCCTTGAGAATTTCAATAACCTGCCCGTAGTCTTTTAGGGGTCTTTGGCTCCAAAGCCAACTGTCTTTTGATAACAGCATGTAAAGGTCTGGGAATAAATGGAGTATTGAAATTGAAGTGTAGGATTTTCTCCCTATTGAACATGTCTGGTTCTTTGTCTAACACAAGGTCAATCAATATCTGTCATGAATGGACAGAATTATTGGTATAGGTTTGAGATGGTTTCACGCCCCAAGAAATTGAAAAAAAAAAAAAAGGAAAGACTAGAGGGATATATGTCATACCATTAAACTAATTTGACTTTGTCAAACCAAATTTATAATTTTAGAGGTATAGTGATTTAGCATGTTTTGTCTGTTCACTAAATAATGAAAAGAAGTGGCTAAAATATATATGTGTGTGATTAGCCATCCATATTTATTAAGTAGACACTGCTTCACTGTTCTACTGAAAGATTGAATTATTGTACCAGATTGGAGATCCTGAATAGAATTACTCTACTTTACCCTTAATTTATTCAGTAATATTCAAACTTAGAATGATTGCATGAGCCAAAGCCACTGTCAAAATGTGAGACATCAGCACTCTTCTCTGTTTGAAGATTGGCTTATAACCCAAATAGAACTAATGGAATTAAACAATGATTGTTGATTCTTTCTAACCCCAATTATGATTTGATTTTTTTTAAGTCCATGGAATCACTAAAAACTCTAAGTGTAAGGAGAATCAGGGATCAGTAATCATCAGTGTGTAGACACAGGAACTGAAATTCATGAAGAATAGGCATCAGGTGTTTGGAAAGGAATTCCTTAAACCCAGCAGAGAGAACATAGAGGATGAGTAGTTGATTATATTTTAATCCCCCAAATAATCAAATATTTATAAATCAAATCTATTGACATGTCACAATAATTTCAGGGATTTTTTTCTGGTTGTTCTACACATGGTTTTTCTTTATCTCAGCACTCTTGGCATTTTCAGCTAGACAATTCTTTGTTGTAGGGGCTGCCCTGTGCATCGTCAGATACTTAGCAGCATCTCTGTCCTCCACCCACTAGGTGCCAGTAGCACCCACCTCTCAGTTACGAAAATTAAAATGGCCCCAGACATTGTCTAATGTCTTCTGGGGGAAAATCATCGCAGTTGAGAACAAGTGTTCTACAACATCCTCCTTCTACCTGCTCTGTGGTCCTCTGTGCTGTATGTTCTCCCACTTTGTTAACAGCACTATTAAAGTTTACATAAGTGTACTTTGTTTATTATTTAAAGGTAGTTTGTTTGTTTTCCTTTTAAATATCCATTTCACAGCGTAGAGTTATACTTCTTGGTTCACAACACAATATTATCTTTGGTCCATATGCCCCATCTCTTTTGCTACATATGTACTGTTGCCTTCAATCCCCATTCTTTACTTCCATCCTCTTCCAACTTCAAATACAACCATTATAATGGGTTTGATGTGGATCCTGTGTTTCTGTTCTTGTAAAATATGTATTAATGTATTGAATATGTGTTGATTATGTGCTCTTATGGTTTATATAATGGTATCATGCTATGGATCTCAATTTGTTTCTAACTTTTTCACTTGGTACCATGTATTTAAGTAAGGTCTATGCATGCTGCTTTGAACGCATGTAGTCAATTCTTTATATTCTTTACATTTCTATCAACTAGCTCACTGTTTGATATGTTATGTATCAATAAATGCTTACATAATTAATTGCATAAATGAATATATTGAATGGGAATGGATGTAGTGAACAGAATAATGGCTGCCCAAAGAAGGTCACACTCTAATCCCCAGAACCTGTGACTATGTTATCTCACATGGCAAATGAGACTTTGAAGATGTGATTAAATTAAGGATTTCAAGATGTAGGGGTTATCCAAGTGGGCTCATTGTGATCACATGGTCCTTATAAGAAGAGATGTGATCACAGAAGCAGAGGCTGAGTGACATGCTTTGAAGATGAAATAAGAGGTCATGAGACAAGGAATGTAGGCAGCCTCTAAATGCTAGAAAAGGCAAGGGAATGGATTCTGCCCTAGATCTTGCGTGAGGAAGGCAGTCCTGCCGCCATCATGGTTTTGGACTTCTAACATCCAATACTGTAGGATAATTTGTGCTGTATTAAACCACTAAGATTGTGGTAATTTGTTACAGCAGCAAAAGGAAAGTAGTACAATGGATAAACAGTAAACTCTTATGCAGTAATTCATCCATCATAGTAGTACTGTATTACTGCATGAAGAGTCATTCATTCATTGTACTATTACAATGGATGAATTACTGCATGAAGAGTTTACTGAGCTTTCCAATAGTTGAACGCTAAGTTTCATGGCCTCAGTTTTACTTCTCTCTGCTCTCTCCTCCAGGTCTCTCCATCAAATGTTTAATACTAATAAAAATGGAGAGAATCTTAACATTTAAAAGAACTCAAATAAATAATACTTTAAACAGAAAATTGCAAGGTAAACAATCACCCCAAATCTATCTGTAAAGTATGTATTTTTGTTGCAGGAGGGGCTCCCTGGGTCATCTTGTGAGAAGAGTGAGATTCAACATGGGAGGGAATTGCAAAATGTCCTGAATACCAGGAAGTATGGTTGCGTGTGAGTCATATTTGGAGATAAGCCACCTTACTGGCTGTAAGACTTAAAGATGGCAGGTTAATATAATAGAGACTTTAAGCCTTAGTCATAATTGTGGCTGAATGCTGTATATATATATCTGGAAACAAAATTATAACACTAAGTAGATTAGTTGTGACACAGGGCCAAAGAAGCATCTTAAGAACAGATGTTTTACATGTTGTTCTCTTGCATACCCAGTTTAATCCCTAAGAAAGAATTATATTCACTTAATTACAGTAGATTTGAGCGACTCGGTTTACCATAATCCATGGAGAAGAACCAGCCTTTAACTGATCTTGTGCCAATTCAAATATATGGCTGCTTTCTCCAATGTTTCTCAAGACCTCTTTGTTAGAGAACACATAGCTCTAACTTGTGTCTATGTCTGCACAATACATACGTACCTGGTTTTCTGGGGTATCAGAGTGAAAATCACTCTTTAGGAGGTAGATTCCCGTAACTGTGAAGAGGCACACACTCTGGAATCAGACTACCCAAGTTCAAATCTCACTGAAACACTTTCTAGCTATGACGCAGAGGAAGCTAATAATTTCTTCATGCCTCAGGTTTCCCAGCTTTAAAATTGGGCTAAAAGAGCATTAACCTTACAGAACTATTATGAGGAGTAAAGGAGATAATCTATGCAAATATATGCAGAGTGTTTAGCTCAGCCACTGGTACAGAGAAAGTACTCAGTAAATATTAGTTATTACTACTTGTGGTAGTACTTGAATAGTAAAATGAAAATTCCATTTAATTTTTCAGCTTATTATATAGCAATTAATTTGTTGTTCTTCATGGTAAATTAACCAGTTTACAGATTAATCACAGTTAAGCTGGAGCAGGAACCCAAGATGCAGCTGTCTTCTCAGCTCAATGTGGTGGCATAGGCTCATCATCACTGGTGATTCCTAACCTTTCTAAAGTATGGAAGAAAAGGAACCAAACCACTCATAGGCGCTCTGAATTCAAATGTCTGTGACACTGAAAACATATCTTAGCCTATCATACTGTTAGTTGTAACTAACACATACTGTTACTTGTAACAAACAACCCCACACTTTCAGCAGCTTATATCAACAAAATTTTGTTTTTCACTCATGCTTATATCCAAGTCAGATCAGCAGGGGGCTCTACTCTTTGCAGTAACTGAGAGGCCAGACTGAGAGAGCAGCCATCTTGGCAAATGTGCTTGGTCACCATGCCAGAAAAAAAGGAAACGTGGTAAATTGTGCATTGGATCTTAATGTTTCCACCTGGAGAAACACGCATCACTTCCAGTCCCATTTCATTGGCCATAACAAGTCATGTGACCATCTAAAGTGGAAGTATAATAGGAAGTCCTATTCTACCATTCCCGGAAGGAGAAAAGCTAGAAACATCTGGGAATCAGCACCAATCACAGACATATTATAAGAGGACTGTGCTAGACACTCTTAGTGATGCAGAGATAAAGAAAACCTTGTGACCGTGCAGGTAAGTAGACACTCCGTAGCATATTCACATATGACTAAGACAAACCAGCACTTTCTAAGATTGGTTTACTTTGGCCACATGGGAAAATAAACCAAAACAATTTATTGCAGGGATTCTCCCCAAGGGTGATTTTTGTCCCTCAGGGAATATTTGGGAATCTCTAGAGACATTTTTGGTTGTCTCCTTTTGGGGTGTGAATGTTGATACTGGCACCTAGTGGATAGAGGCTAGGATGGCTATACCTCAGCAAAGAATTATCTGGCCCCAAATGTCAATAGTTAAGAACTCTGGGCTCTTATAATTTTCACGCTTTTCTCACACACATGCCTTAATCTATTGAAATGAAAATTATGCCTTCGAAATGTCTATAGTTGAGACTATATACACCAATACTCATGAAGTCCCACTGTGCTCTATCACTGCACATTTTATGTCCAGGCATATGGACTTCTATTCAGAAGTGCAGATTTAGTATATTCATTTTGAGCTCCAAATGAAAGAGTTGACTATATTTTCAAAAATATCTTGTAATTCAAACTTAAAACACTGCCCTTCAAAACAGTACCATAAATATATCCTCCAACTTGATGAAAGCAGCAGTCTGTCCCATTGGAAAAACAACACGGCATGACATAATCGGACACTGACCATTGACGATAAGCTTCATGTGAGAGCTATTGTGAGATCTTTTTTACAAGAGCACATTTTTCTAAGAGCAGTCCCTGCCACGATAGGAGCAGTCAGGAAAAGATCTACTGTAAGTGACCAAGGAAAGGGGTGTGTTTAAGCTCAGTGGTTCTAATTGAGTTTGTGAGACAGGCTTTGTCAAACACAGTTGAATGCAGAGGCGAAAGGCATGTGGAAGGAATTTTTTATACTTAACGGTGGGGAACTATTAGTAAACTACACTGAGGAATCTTTGATCTTTCAGCATCAAATTGTGTTAGAATTTAGGTTTAATGTTATTTCCCAGAGGGTAAGTTTTGTTTCCTAGTCTGAGCCTCAAGCCTTGCAGAAGAACTGACTCCGGAACTGACTACCTGGCAAAAGGATATTTGTGGGTTGTTAATTTGTGAATCAGAAGGCAAACCCTGGCCCAGCAGTATGTTAATCCCGATGGCTGAGAGGGAGCCAATATGATCACAAGAATGCACACAGCTTGGGGTCTTAGAAACAGCTTAAGAAAGCTTCAACTATGTTTGGAATGTACCGAATCAATAAATTGCTAATTTTTCCACCTGTGTGTTAGCCTACTTACTCTTCAGGGAGTTGAGGCTTGTAGTGCAAATACAATCCAAACACTTTATTAATTGCTCAGGCTAAAACAGGTCAAAGGAGCATGCCTAAGCTCAGTTTGAAATTCTTTTACTTACAAGGTTCCTGCAGTCACAGGGGAAATTTAATTGCTGTGCAAATTCTTCGTCAAAAAATTGGTCCCTTTTGTATCTGTCCTTGGTGAATACCAGCCATTTCTTCCTTTCACCCTCTAGGCCCTGTTTATTAGGTAAATGCCTTTGTTCTAAAAGAATACAAGCTAAAGGCCGGGTGCGGTGGCTCACGCCTGTAATCCCAGCACTTTGGGAGGCCGAGGCGGGTGGATCATGAGGTCAGGAGATCGAGACCATCCTGACTAACAAGGTGAAACCCCGTCTCTACTAAAAATACAAAAAATTAGCCGGGCGCGGTGGCGGGCGCCTGTAGTCCCAGCTACTCGGGAGGCTGAGGCAGGAGAATGGCGTGAACCCGGGAAGCAGAGCTTGCAGTGAGCCGAGATTGCGCCACTGCAGTCCGCAGTCCGGCCTGGGCGACAGAGCGAGACTCCGTCTCAAAAAAAAAAAAAAAAAAGGAATACAAGCTAAAGTGAAGGGCCATGATTTCTACTACTTATTGTCAAGTGGTATGGCACTAATAATAAGTATAAAAGTACATATGCAGAAAATAATATAGCAAACGTGGTAAAATGTCAACCTTTTGGTAAATTAAAGACTTTGTGGGAATTCACTGTACTCTTGCAGGTTTAAACATTTTCAAAAGAAAAAGTAAAGAAACAAAAGTAGTAGAAAGGAGGTTCTACTAAGCTTGAACTGTTGCAATGAGATGACAATAAAAATTATTTTGTTTTTTCCTTAAAGAAAATATGGCAGAACTATGAATGTTTGGTTTTTTGTTTGTTTTGAGACAGGGTCTTACTCTGTTGCCCACGCTGGAGTGCAATGGTGAGAGCACAGTTCACTGCAGCCTCAACCTTCTAGGCTCAACTGATCCTCCCACCCCAGCCTCCCAAGTAGCTGGGATTAGAGACATGTGCCACCATGCCCAGATAATTTTTAAATCATTTGTAGACACAGGGTCTCACTATGTTGCCCAGGCTGGCCTCGAACTACTGGGTTCAAGCAATGCTGGACCCTCGGCCTCCCAAAGTGCTGGGATTACAGGTGTGAGTCACCCCACCTGGCCAGAGTGAGTGTTTGGATATGATGGAAAGCAGTACAAGTTGAGTATTCCTTATCACAAATGCTTGGGACCCATGTATCTGACTTTGAAATGTTTTGGATTTTAGAAAACTTGAACATATATAATGAGATATCTTGGGGATGTGACCCAAGTCTAAACACAGAATTCATTTATGTTTCACATATACCTTATATACATAAGCTGAAGATAATTTCATATAATACTTTTAATAATTTTGTTCGTGAAACAAAGGTACAACTGTGTGTTTGACTGCAACTTGGAACATGACTTCAGATGTGGAATTTTTTTTTTTTTTACTTTTTTTTAATTATACTTTAAGTTTTGGGATACATGTGCAGAACGTGCAGGTTTGTTACATAGATATACACATGCCATGGTGGTTTGCTGCACCCATCAACCCGTCATCTACGTTAGGTATTTCTCCTAATGCTATCCCTTCCCTAGCTCCCCACACCTCAACAGATATGGAACTTTCTACTTGTGGCATCATGTTGGCACTCAAAAAATTTGGTATTTTGAAGGATTTCAGACTAAGGATGCTCAACTGTATTGAGATCTTTGTTAATGAATAGAAGTTGATGCTGCTGCTCTCCTGGGTATTTTTCCAATAGTGATGATAGATGATTCCAGATTTTGCCACACAGTGTCAACTGGTTTCTCTCCTTAACGGAAAAAAAAAAAGGCATATGGATGAAGGTGAAAATAAAGGTAGGCTTTTTTTTCTTTTTGGAGACGGAGTCTCACTCTGTCATTCAGACTGGATGGAGAGGGTGGAGTGGCACAATCTCGGCTCACCACAACCTCCGCCTCCTGGGTTCAAGTAATTCTCCTGCCTCAGCCTCAGCCTCAGCCTCAGCCTTCTGAGTAGCTGGGACTATAGGTGTGCACCACCACACCCGGCTAATTTTTGTATTTTTAGTAGAGACAAGGTTTCACCATGTTGGTCAGGCTGGTCTCGAACTCCTGACCTTGTGATCTACCCGCCTCAGCCTTCCAAAGTGCTGGGATTACAGGCATGAGCCACCATGCCCGGCAAAGGTATGCTTTTTTATGATGATTTAGTCTGAAATGACTTTGATTTATCAGCACCAGGCCCTAGGCTGCCTGGCTCACTCGCTATACATTATGCTGAGAGAAAAAGTGCTGAATTAGCACTTGGGTGCATATGAGGCCTAACACTTCGTTGTACCAGATTGCACCCTTGGTGACTTCCTTGTTGATTGCTACTGTGTACTGAATTGTATCTCTCCCAAATTCATATGTTGAAACCCTAAACCCCCATGTAATATTTGGGGATGGGCCTTTGGGAGATAGTTAGGTTTGCATGAGGTCATAAAGGTGAGGCCCTTATTGTCGGATTGGTACCCTCATAAGAAGAGATATCAAGGCAAATTAAAACCAAAATGAGGTATAACATACTGCTGGGCCAGGGTTTGCCTTTTGATTCACAAGTTAACAACCCACAAATATCCTTTTGCCAGGCATCATAGCTGACATTCTGGAGTCAGTTGTTCCACAAGGCTTGAGGCTCAGACTAGGAAACAAAACTTGCCATCTGGGATATAACTTTATAGCTAAATTCCACATTTTTTCACTGGACTAGCTTCATACCTTTTAGGATATCTATTAGCAAAAAGACAAAATATAGTGTTGGCGAGGATATGGAGAAAAGGGAAACTTGCACACTGTCAGTAGGAATGTAAATTTGTACAACCATTATGGAAAACAGTATGGCAGTTCCTCAAAAAATTAAAAATAGAACTACCATATGACCCATCAGTCTCACTACTGTGTATATATCCTAAGGAATTGAAATCAGTACGTCAAACAGATATCTGCACTTCCATGTTTATTGCAACGCTATTCACAATTGCCAAGATACGGAATCAACCTATGTGTCCGTCAACAGATGAGTGGATTAAAAAAAAAAAATGCAGTATACTCTCACTGCTTCAGTGGACTAATCTGAAAAAAAAAGAAAGAAAAATGTGGTATATATACGCAATGGAAACTATTCAGCCATAGAAAAGGAGGAAATCCTGTCATTTTCAACAACATGGATGAACCTGGAAAACATTTAGTGAAATAAGCCAGACACAGAAAGACAAATATCACATGTTCTCACTCAAATGTGAATCTAAAAATGTTGATCTCATAGACATAGCAGACTGGTAGTCATCAGGGACTGGGGTATTTGGGTGGGGCAGGGTAAGAAGATGTTGCTCAAAGGATACAAAGTTTCAGTTACGCAGGAGGAATAAGTTCAAGAAATCTATTACACAACATGTTGACTATGGCTAATAATATACTGCATTCTTGAAAAATGCTAAGAGAGTGAATATAAAGTGTTCTCACCACAAAAATGATAACTTCGAGGTACGGCATATGTTAATTGGCCACATTTAGTTCTTTCACAATGTATGTATACTTCAAAACATCATGTTGTACACAGTAAATACGTACAATTTTACCTGTCAATGTAAACAATAAAATTAATAAAATAAAATACTGTAAAATAACCCCCACCCCCAATAAGAGATACTAGACAGCTCTCCCTCCCTCCTTTTCTCTTTTTCTCCCTCCTTCTCTTCCTTTCTCTCTTTCCTTGCCATAGGAGGACACAGCAAGAAAGGAACTGTCTACAAGCCATGGAGAGAGCTCTCAACAGAACCCGACAGTGCTGACACCTTAGATCTTTGTTAATGAATGCATTAACATTCATTAAAATCCATTAATCTTGGATCTCTAGCCTCTGGGATTGTGAGAAAATACATTTCTGTTGTTTAAGCCACTCAGTATACAGTATTTTGTCATGGCAGCCCAAGAGGCCTGAAACAATTGTCAAACATTTTGTTACGAGGGAGAGCTGATAGGAACTACAGGAGAGAAGTTCTCTGTTTCTTTTTTTTTTTTTTTTTTTTAATTTTCCTTACCTTGTTCTTATGCCTAGCCCATGTCCATTTATATTAAATAAACTGTACTAACTGCTGTTTTTGTACATCTTTATATGGCAAAATTTAGGGAGTCTAACATTTCTGCATCTAGAATGTTGCCACAATTGTATTATAAATATCTGGGAAAGGTGATGTCCCAGCCAAGACCCAGGACAGAGGAATCAGTATTGTGGGACTCTCCCATTTCTTTAAGGCCCTTCTGCCGTACCATTTCAGTCTATTTTCACACAAAAGAGAGTCGAAATAGAGCCCTCTTACTTTAGTAAAAAGTCTGTTAAAACACAATGAAGCAATGGACATTGGAGACTCCAAAGGGTGTGAGGGCAGGATGGGGGACGAGGGTTGAAATTTTTCCTATTTAGTGCAATATTCATTATTCAGGTAGTGGGTACACTGAAAGCCCAGACTTCACCACTACTCAATACATCTGTGTAGGAAAATTAGACTCGTATGCCCTAAACCTATGAAAAAATTTAAGAAGAGCAAAAAAAAAAAGAGAAGGAAAAAAACCTGTTAAAATCAAGAATGATTATTAAAAAAAAGATACAGAGCTTGGACTTTTAATTTGAATTCAAAACATAAACGATCATTCTCACCAGTATTTTGGTGTAAGACCAAGACGTCACCTTGGACTGAATCTGCTGACCAGAATCCTGCACTATTTTCCTTATTTATATAGTGTCTGTGATTGCACAGTCTATGCTTTCTACTTTTAATATCTTTAAAGTAGAATGAGAATTTAAAGAGTTTTGAAATGATCTGTGTATAGAATCAGTCTAGATTTTTAGTCTCCCATAATATTATATATTTGTTTTACCTATACTTAATGTGACAGGGTTTTTTTTTAAGCATCTTTGTGGGAAATGCTGTTGCACCATCACACCTATCATGCCAGCAGGGGTTGGCAATCTACTGCCCATAAGCCAAAGGCTGTTTTTTCAACAATAAGATGGGAAGCTGAAAATGTCTACTATCCGACCCTTTAAAGAAAGTCTGTCAATCCCTGCCTTAGGCCATCAGAGACCTCTTCTGGATCCTTTACAGAAGCAGCAAGAGAGAACAAGGAGAATTTTAAGTGCTAAACCTCAAAATGGTATTCATTTTTGCCCACTTTCCATTGCCCAGAATTCAATCAAATAGATTTCCCCTAACTGCAGGGGAGGCTAGGAATTGTTTCATTGTATATCCAGAAGAAAAAAAAGATATGCTGAAGAAATAATTTGTCTCTGCCATATAGAGTCTCTTCCAATCATCTGACTTCAAAAAAAAAAGCAAACAAATACTGTCTTTCTTTGTGTCACATTTCATTGGATGGCATGATATTTATGTGAACTACATAATTACAAGTGCAAGCGACATTAATAGCTTTGATGTACAACTTGACACTTGATAAGCCCATAGCTCAACTAATGGGATCAGGAGAGCATGGGCATCTTGGAGGGTTCAGCAGGCTGTGGTTATCAGGCATTCTGTGTTCCTGATGGATGAGAGCAATGGTTCTCCACTAGGGGCAATTTTGCCCTCCGAGGGACATTTGGCAAAATCTGCAAACAAGTTTGCTTGTCACAACTAGGCAAATGCTGCTGGTATATTATAGGTAGAGGCCAGGTATGCTGCTAAACAACCTACATTACACAGGACAGCCCCCACAACAAAGAATTATCTGGCTCTAAATGTCAATAGTGCTATTAATAGGAAAACCTGCAATAGGGGGTGATCATTCATCTGGCAAGTTGCTAAGTCTGAGGTTTGTTAAGGGAGCTTCTAATACATGTATGTAAGAATTAAGTTCGGCGAAACTTTAAAAGAAGTCTTGGAAATTGTGGAGGTTTCTAAGGAAGCAAATTAATTCAGTTACTCGCCCCCTGTCTGGATCCTAAACCAACTGAATATTAGGCGTAGAAAGTAAACAGGGATCAATACAATAGCTTTATATCTGGCCAAGCCTGATTGGAAAGAATGATATGGACAAATGGCCAAAGGGGAATTCTAAATGCTTTCCCCCAAATCTGGGTGTAGAAAGAACTGTGTCCGCCCAGCACAAACAGAAGTTCAGGTATGTGGAGAGAACAGAGCCATGGGAGCAAAGCAATGTTAAACCTATCAATAGCTTCTAATAGAGAAATACAGATCAGAGTTTTTGCCATCTCATCAGCCAGATAATTCTTTTCTCTTTCTCTGAGAAGTGTTGAAGAGGTGATAGTTGCAACCTTTCAAACAGAATGGAATTTCTATTTTATTGGCTGAAAGGTCTATTGACAAAAGGAAATGTTGGTTCTCCCTCAGTCATAGTGGAAAAAGCCCCTTCCCTGCAGGAGGCTCCTTTCCCTTCCTCTTCTAACTTTCCCAAATGTAGGACCCTGAGCAGGTCACAACCTCTCCAGGCCTCAGTTCCCTCATGTGGATAATGATTCAGATTTGTCAGAAGGCTGAGGCCTGGCTCAGATAATCTATGGAAGTCTCTTAAAATCTTAAGAATATTCCAAAGGTCACACTGATGGTTTAAAGACAGCACAAAATGTATGCATTTATGAAATCTTGATTGTGAGGTCAAGTGTATAATCTCAGTCTTCTGAATGATTAGAAATTGGGCATGGGGTAAGGCTGTTTGTTTCCAGTGTGAATCGAAAAGATATGGGTATTTTAGGGCATGATTCTGAGCTTTTCTAGGCACAGTGTCTTCCCCGGCTGAAGTGGGAACTGCACCTGTGTTTGGGAACTTGTTTATTCTGTTCCTCCAATTTTTTTCTGGTGCCTTGGAGTCTGTGACAGTTCTGACATAGTTTTTGTCATTTCTTTGCGTCTTCCATCTATTGTAACTCTCATGTCTAGAGAATCTTTGAAATGGCACTAAGATTTTTAACAGTCACCTTACATATTTCTGTGATTCATCTTTATGGCACTGAGGTTAATAAGCATATGGGATTTGAGATCCAAAATGAGAATTTTAGTTCTGATACAACCCCTTGCTGACCTGGTGACTGAAATCACCTGATGCTTCTGAGCCTTCATTGTTTTATCTGTAAAATGGGGATAAAAATAGTACTTAACTCTCAAGGATCTTCTAAAGTTAATTCGTATGAAAACAGAAGCATGCTCAAGTCCTAGGTGGTGTTTTTAATTCTTCATTTTCAGCCACCCTTGGAGACATTGCTTTGAGGAATAAACATGCAGGAAAGAAAGTGTCTATTTACCCGATAATTAGGTTGTGTGGTGAAGAACAGATGGGGGTCCCTTTCTACTGAATGAAGCATCAAAATGTGTTTGCTTAACTTATCCAGATGTGTTCCTGAGGGTTCCATCTCAGCATGACCACATGAGTACAGCAAAGAAACCCTCAGTCCCACGTCGCTATGTACTCAGTGGTAAACTCAGGCCCCTAAGGACACTAATTTGATTAGTGGCCTCTTTCTAAGCCATAGTGGTTTCTGACAATAAAATTTAATGTTGCAGAAATGTTCAATGCTGTAATACTCTATCTCTTTAAGCCTTGGCTTCAGAACCTGTTTGACCTCGTTAGAAAAAAAAAAATGACGTGAAAATGTGTTTCCCCAAAAAGTTTTCTTTCTCTTGTTTATTAGAAAACTGTCACAGATCAGTCAGGTGTAAGAAGTGGCAACAATACAGTTTAGCTAGCATTTCTAATGCAGATCTCTAAGATATAACTTCTTGATCCAGCAGAATTCTAATGAGTCTTCATTGAGCCAAAAAGGTGGGCCCTAGCTCAGAACAACTCTTTATGTTTGCACACTAGGCTCAGCTATTGCTGGCAGTAGCGGTCACAGTAACATCCCCATTGCTACTTCCTTATTTGATTTAATTAAATTCAGAATTCTATCCCTTGACCCAGGAATTTGGCAATATGCACTTAAAGAGCCACAAAAAGTCCATTTCTTTGACTTCTGGTTCACCTTTAGGAAAATGGTTGTCAGTTGTGGTGTATGCATTCAATAGAATATTGTACAATCAACAAACATTATAGTTATGAAAGCTATGTTGAAACATAGAAATGTTCATCATATAGGCCAGGCATGGTGGCTCATGCCTATAATCCCAGCACTTTGGGAAGCAGCACTTGAGGTCAGGAGCTCAAGACCAGCCTGGCCAACATGATAAAACCCCATCTCTACTAAAAATAAAAAAATTAGCTGGGTGTGGTGGCTCACGCCTGTAATCCCAGCTACTCAGGAGGCTGAGGCAGGAGAATCACTTGAACCCAGGAAGTGGAAGTTGCAGTGAGCCAAGATCACACCACTGCACACCAGCCTGCACAATAGAGTGAATGAGATTCCATCTCAAGAAAAAAAAAAGAAAGAAATGCTTATCATATAATATTAAGAGAGAAAGAATTTGCAGATGTTGGTGCATTTTTGTAATAACTATGAAAAAATATGCCTGAGAGAAAAGACTAGAAAGAAATTTCCCCAGAATCCTATTATCATGCTATTATCCTGCCATTATCATGTGACAATCGTGAGATCATAGATGCTTTAAAAAAATCTTGTCTTTCAAATAATGAATAATATTTTTTAAAATAAAATGGAATTTAGAGATTTCCAGCCCTCAGACTTGCTCTTGTCCTCATTTCTCTGTCTAGTGCATGATGTACACCTACTTCATATTTGTGGAATTAATAGATAATTAGAGTAACCTTGGAACCATAAGGAATGATTAATGATTACTGAAGAAATGCTATACGTCCTACAAATAAAAGGAAGTTTCACAAAGACATGAAAGGAAAAAAATGTGGAGAAGAGTAGGCCACATTAACATTATTTTATGGGTTCTAAGTGCTCTGTTTTACTTCCAGGCTTGGAGAAACAAATGTCTTTAGGAGAACAAACTTTTTGGGAAGGAATGACTGCCATGCAATGCTCTGAGCACATTTGCCTGGGTCCTTAAAGTGCAGCAGTTGGCAGGGCTCCTTTGGTGGGAAGGGTCCTTGCGGGAGAGTTCGGAGACTTGGATCCTTACTCTGACTCAGAGCTCTGCAACTTCCCACATATACTTCAATCTCTCTGAATACTGTTCTAGAATGAGGGCAGTATAATCTCTAACCTCCTTTCCAGCTCTCAACTTTATTCAGTCATTTATTCAGCA